>NC_000007.14:98567385-98870415 GCF_000001405.40 Homo sapiens | reverse complement strand
GCCCCTGGGGACGCTGAGTCAGAGCCGGCGGCATCGGATCCAGGGCGGGGAGGGGCTCGGGGGAAGGGAAAAATGCGGGTGCGGGGGGCGTGGTTTCGGGTAGTGGAGGGGAAGGATGCGGCCGGGGGTGGATTTGGGGTGGGGAGGGATGCGGGGAGGAGCCAGGGCGCAGGAAGGGAGCTCTGGAACCCCTAGAGGGGAAGCAAGCTGGGAGGGGCGATCGTGGACTCCAGGAGGGCAGGGGGCGCGGCCGTGGGAAGAGACCCGGAGAGGGAGGACGCGGCCGTGGAGAGGGACGCGGGAGCAAGGGGCGGCGGGAGGAGGAGGAGGGCGCGCGGCGCGGCTGACGTGGGCCGGGGTCGCGCAGCGGGCTGTGGGCGGCGGCGGCGGCGCGCAGCGACAGAGCGTCCCCCGGCGAGGACGAGCGAGCACGGCGCCCGCACCTCCCCGCACCGCCCGCGCTGCGCGCCCGGAGGAGCGACCGCCGCAGTTCTCGAGCTCCAGCTGCATTCCCTCCGCGTCCGCCCCACGCTTCTCCCGCTCCGGGCCCCGCAATGGCCCAGGCAGTGTGGTCGCGCCTCGGCCGCATCCTCTGGCTTGCCTGCCTCCTGCCCTGGGCCCCGGCAGGGGTGGCCGCAGGTAAGGCGCTGGGCAATCCGGCCTCCCTGCAGCCGCAGCCCGCCCGGGGCCTGGAACCGTCTCAGCGGGCGAGTGGGCCCGGGAGCAGGGATTGCGGAGGTGGCACCGTGCGCCCTGCGCGCATCTCCCTCCTCGGCTGAGGCCACTGCAGCGCCCTTTCCCCTCTCCTTTCATCCTTGTTCCCCAAAGTCGCCTGGGCACTGGAGGGGGCTCCCCGCACCCCCTGGATTCCTGCTTCCACCCCCCCAGGCTGGCCCTGCCCTGGAAACCGCGCGGGGGTGGCCGGCGCATCCGTCGATGCCTGGGGACCATGCACCCGCTAAGGGAGGGGAGGACGAGGCAGGGAGGCGGGGATGCGCCAGGGTCCGTCATCGCGCCACAATTCCCCAGTCCCCCAGGGAGCACGGGATGGGCAACGTTTTTGCCTTAAAATGTCGCCTCATCTAGAGGGGTTTCCCACCGTGTTGGTGCTGGCTTTGGGGAGATGCGAATTTAGAGCCCAGGAGGCCAGGCTGCCATTTCCTCTCTGGTGGTGATTTCCAAAATGGACCCGGAGCTGACAGGTTCCTGGGGTGTGTGTGTGGGTGGGGGAGTGGGGGAAGCAGGGTTGTGTGTCTACTGCCCCCACTTCCCCACCGCCAGAAAGCCAGCACCCACCTCTCTGCCACATTTTGGGAACCATAAAAGGACCCAGATTTAAGACTATTCGAGGGACAGATGGGACGTGGGCAGCTAAGAAGGTTGAATACTATCCACCACTTTTCACCCCCTCCCCCCTCATAAAAGAGCGGTGGAGAGAGAGAGCAAGGGATCTAATGAAAATTTGTGAAAGAAAAACCATGAGGTCAAAGAAAACCTGCAACTCAGGGATGAATTAGACGAATTTTATGGGAATTGCACTTGGACAAGATTACCTATTTCCTCCTGGAAATACAGGAAAGGGGTCTCTTGTCCATCAGGTTGATTTGTGTCAGAGATTTTCAATGTGTCCTAAATTGCAAAAGAAAAAGAAAATAATAACAAAAGTGAATTAATTATTTGGAAATCATGTGTGGTTCCCATTCTAGCCAATTGCACCCTTGATGTGGTCAAAATCACAGTGGCTAAGAGTGGAGTTGGGAAACATCTTCTCCCTCACCCGTCGGGGAGACTTTTCTACCCTTCCCCTTTCTGGAGTCCATGAATCAGGGATTTGTAAGTCAGAAGTCCATGTACTGGACTATTAATTAATTCTGGGTTGTGTTATCCAGACTTTAGAGGTACTCTTTGGAAGTGTTTTGGGTAGTCTGCATATTCTGTGTGAAAGGACTGGTGTAGCCATTTTCTAGAATGTTCAGGGCTGCACATGCTGTGTTGCTGGAAAAGGTAGGTGTTTCTTCCATGGGCCAAGCTTTGGGGTGAGTGCCCCATCTCTTTTTGCTTTTGCCCCTTGAGCTCTGGGTGACTTGGGGGGCCCTTGGAGTCCCCTAAACCTCTGCCTTGGCTGCTCCATACCCCAACTCCATGTCACATGGACTCCCAAACATGGAAAGATGAATTTGTTTGTTTGAGATGCAGTCTTGCTCTGTCACCCAGGCTGGAGTGCAGTGGCACAATCTTGGCTCACTGCAACCTCCACCTTCTGGGTTCAAGAAATTCTCCTGCCTCAGCCTCCCAAGTAGCTGGGATTACAGGCGCCTGCCACCACACCTGGCTAATTTTTGTATTTTTAGTAGAGATAGGGCTTCGCCATGTTGGCCAGGCTGGTCTCGAACCTCTGGCCTCAGGTGATCCACCTGTCTCAGCCTCCCAAAGTGCTGGGATTACAGGTGTGAGCCACCACGCCGGCCTGGAAAGATGAATTTGGTGGGTAGAGCACCAGGCCCTGTGATTGGTTCCTTCAGCCACATTTGGCAAAGGCTTCCTGGTCCATTTCCACCCTGGATGTCCTGGCCATCCCTGAGACCCCTGAGGAACAGGGGCAGCATCACCCAGGGGCTGTGACACACCTGATTTTGAAAAAACAGACTGAGAAAAAGTGTCCTTGGAGCTGGCAGGTGGTGGTGGGGGAGTCGGCGGGCTCCCATGAGCTGGGCCAGTGTCTGCAGCAATGTCTGCAGCAGACACAGCCCCTCCCTGCCCCCCATCCCCCCTCCCAGTCCCAGCTGGCTGCCCTCCTGATCCATTCCCCTGGCAACCGATCTGCGTGATAACATGCGTCTGTCTCACTGCAGATGCTGTTTGGCCATTAGCATGCAGCCGAATGTCCCTGCTACCTGCCAGCCTCGCTCAGGCCCACGCTTCTCAGCTGGGGTGGCAGGGAGGGGATGGGGAGGAGAGGGGTGCCAGGAGTTAGGGGGATAAGGGAGGAGGTGGTCTCTCATCCATGCACCTCTCTGTCCACAGCCTGGCCAAATGCTGCCTCCCAGCCAAAGTGGGGAGGGAGAGCAAAGCCCAACCAGGGTAGTACAGACTGGTTGGGTGGCCTCAGGCAGCAGCAGTGACCCATGCGGGCTTCAGGTCCCTCAATATCATATACCCACTCTGTTTGCGTGGAAAAGCTCCCATCACAGCTTCTGGATTTCCCTCTTTGGGGTTAAGACACTGCAGGTCCCCTTTTCAATGCCAGCATTCCCTTGGAAGTGACCAGCTCTCGGCATCTTGACTCAAATGACTTGATTTTTATTTATTTATTTTTGTAGAAAGGGTCTCTCACTTTGTTGCCCAGGCTGAAGGGCAGGGGCGCCATCATAGCTCACTGCAACTTCAAACCCCTGGGCTCAAGAGATCCTCCTGCCTCAGCCTTCCAAGTAGCTGGGGCAACAGGTGCACGCTACCATGCCTGGCTAATTTTTAAATTTTTTTTTTTGTAGAGAATGGGTGTCGCTGTGTTGTTCAGGCTGATCTAAAACTCCTGGGCTCAAGTGACCCTCTGGCTTCAAAGCGCTGTGATTACAGGTGTGAGCTGACTGGGCCCGGCCTCAAATGCCTTTATAATTTAAGAAATGGCTCTGAAAAAAAAGGAAATACGTGATGTGGGCCAAAGCAGCGAACGTGTGAGGTGGGCCTGAGGAAAGGTCGGAGCTGGAGTCCCCCACAGGGACAGGTGATGTTGCTTTGAAGTGAATGAGATGCGTCTGAAAAAAATAATCTCAGAGTTGCCTGGGCACTAGAAGGGGCTTCCCTTGCCCCCTCGATTCCTGCTTCTACTCCCCGGGCTGGCCCTGCCCTGGAAACCACACGAGGGTGGCCCACGCATCCGTCAGATGTCTGGGGACCATGTACCTGCTAAGGGAGGGGAGGACGAGGCAGGGACATGGGGATGTATCAGGGTCAGTCATCGTGCCACAACCCCCAGCCCCCAGGGAACACGGGATGGGCAGCATTTTTACTTTAAAATGTTGCCTCATCTAGAGGGGTTTTCCACCCTGTTGGTGCTGGCTTTGGGGAGATATGATTTTATTTGATTTATGTATTTATTTATTTGAGATGGAATTTCGCTCTTTTTGCCCAGGCTGGAGTGCAGTGGCGCAATCTCGGCTCACGGCAACCACCATCTCCCAGGTTCAAGTAATTCTCCGGCCTCAGCCTCCCGAGTAGCTGAGATTACAGGCGTTCGCCACCACACCCGGCTAATTTTGTATTGTTAGTAGAGACGGGGTTTCGCCATGTTGGCCAGGCCGGTCTCAAACGCCTGACCTCAGGTGATCCACCCACCTCGGCCTCCCAAAGTGCTGGAATTACAGGCATGAGCCACCGTGCCTGACCGAGATGCAATTTTAGAGCCCAGGAGGCCAGGCTGCTATTTCTTCCAGGAGTGATTTCCCAAAATGGACCTGGAGCTGACAGGTTCCTGGGGGGACTTGTGGGGGGACCTTGTGCCCACTCGGTCGTGCATCTACTGTCCCCACATCCCCATCGCCAGAAGGCCAGCACCCACCTTTCTGCCACATTTTGGGAACCATAAAAGGACCCAGATTGGAGACTTGTTGAGGGACAGGTGGGACGTGGGCAGCTAACGGGGTTGAATATTATCCAACAGTTTTCATCCCCCTCCCCCCTCATAATAGAGTGGCAGAGAGAGGGTAAGGGATCTAATGAAAATTTGTGAAAGAAAAACAAGGTAAAATAGTTGAAATAGTTGAAAACCACAAGGTCAAATAGTTGGCCTTTCTTTTTTTAAATTTTTTTGAGACAGTTTCGCTCTTGTCGTCCAGGCTGGAGTGCAGTGGCGCAATCTTGGCTCACTGCAACCTCTGCCTTCCGGGTTCAAGCAATTCTCCTGCCTCAGTCTCCCGAGTAGCTGTGATTACAGGCGCATGCCACCACACCTGGTTAATTTTGTATTTTTAGTAGAAACGGGGGTTTCTCCATGTTGGTCAGGCTGATCTGGAACTCCTGACCTCAGGTGATCCGCCCGCCTCGGCCTCCCAAAGTGCTGGAATTACAGGTGTGAGCCACCACGCCTGGCCAGCCTTTCTTGTTGAAAGCCCAGCAGGTCTCCTGTGAGGTCCCTCCAGGGAGGGGCTTGTTCTGTATTTCTGGATCCTCCCAACACGGTAGGGATGGGGTCCATGGAAGGGACTCAGTCAGTGCCACCTGGGTGAACAGTCTCCTGGGGCAGGGCCAGGTGGGCTGGTCCCTCTGCTGCACCTGCTCTCCGGGTGCCCCTTGGCAACAGCAGTACCAAACACCTGCTATGTGCCAAGCGTTGTGCTGGTCACAGGGATGATGGAAATGACCCCTGCTCTAAACGAGTTTGAAGCATAGCAGGAAAGGCAAAGAAACTTTCATTTCCACATGGAGTTGTGACAACAGTGGACTCAGCTGTCGGGAAAGAGCTGAGGGGGTGAGAGGTACAGGGAAGTGTTTTTATTGTTTGTTTTCTTTTGTTTTTGAGACGGAGTCTCACTCTTGTTGCCCAGGCTGGAATGCAGTGGCTCGATGTCGGCTCATTGCAATCTCTGCCTCTTGGGTTCCAGCGATTCCCCTGCCTCAGCCTCCTGAGTAGCTGGGATTACAGTCATGCACCACCACACCCAGCTAATTTTTTGTATTTTTAGTGGAGACAGGGTTTCACCATGTTGGCCAGGCTGGTCTCGAACTCCTGACTTCAAGTAATCCGCTTACCTCGGCCTCCCAAAGTGCTGGGGTTACAGGCATGAGCCATGATGCCTGGCCAACAGCTGGATCCTTTAACCCTGACAGAGAGAGAGGAGTGAGGAGAGGAGGAATCCAGAGGCATGAGACCAGCACTGTCCAGTAGATCTTTGGACAATGTGGTTGAGGACGCTGGCTCATGCCTGTAATCCCAGCACTTTGGGAGGCTAAGGCAGGAGGAGTGGTTGAAGCCAGGAGTTCGAGACCAGGCTGGGCAACATAGTGAGATCCTGTCTCTACAAAAAAAAAAAAAAAAGAAAAAAATCAGCCAAGCGTGGTGACTTGGACCTACAAGTCACAGCTACTTGGCAGGCTGAGGTGGGAGGATCACTTGAGCCCAGGAGTTTGAGGCTGCAGTGAGCTATGATCATGCCACTACACCCCAGCCTGGATGACAGAGGGAGATCTTGTCTCAAAACAAAACCAAAAGAATTCTGGGGAATGGTAGAAATGTTCTCTGTGTGGCCTGTCCAGAAGAGTAGCCACTAACCAAGGCCCTGCCCGGCTGGCAGGAAAAACAAAATATAATTTGGGCAGCCTGGGCAACATAGACCCCCATCTCTACAAAAAATAAAAAATTAGCTGGGTGTGGTGGTGTGTGCCTATAGTTTCAGTTATTTGGGAGGCTGAGGCAGGAAGATCTCTTGATCCTAGAAGGTGGAGGCTGCAGCGAACTGTGATGATTGTACTCCAGTCTGGGTTACAGAGTGAGATCCAGAGAACGAAAGGGAGAGAGAGAGAGTGAGAGAGAGAGAGAGAGGAAGAAAGGAAGAAAGAAAGAAGGAAGAAGAAAGAAAAGGAAGGAAGGAAGGGAGAAAAAAAGAAAGAAGAGAAAGAAAGAAAAAAGAGAGGAGGGAGGGAGAGAGGAAGGAAGGAAGGAGAGAGAAAAGAAAAGAGAAAGGAAGGAAAGGAAAGAAAAAGAAAGGAAGGAAGAAAAGAAAGAGAAGCAGGGAAGGAGGAAGGAAGGAGGGAAGGAGGAAGGAGGGAAGGAAGAAGGAGGGAGGGAGGGAGGGAAGGAAGGAAGGGGAAATAAGACTGAAAAGACTGTGATTTGGAGTCAGTGGGACCCAGGTTTGATGTCGAATTGGCTGAGTGACCCTTGGGCAAGTCACTTGAGCTGCCTGAGCCTCAGTTTCTCCACCTGGGAAATAGAATAGTTGATGCCAGCCCAGAGGTGGCTGTGGGGCTCCTTGCCACACACCATTCTGAAACACAGTCTTTGTTTCTGGGCTCCTAGGCCTGTATGAACTCAATCTCACCACCGATAGCCCTGCCACCACGGGAGCGGTGGTGACCATCTCGGCCAGCCTGGTGGCCAAGGACAACGGCAGCCTGGCCCTGCCCGCTGACGCCCACCTCTACCGCTTCCACTGGATCCACACCCCGCTGGTGCTTACTGGCAAGATGGAGAAGGGTCTCAGCTCCACCATCCGTGTGGTCGGCCACGTGCCCGGGGAATTCCCGGTCTCTGTCTGGGTCACTGCCGCTGACTGCTGGATGTGCCAGCCTGTGGCCAGGGGCTTTGTGGTCCTCCCCATCACAGGTGAGGGTCGCTCCCATTTGCTAGTTTGCCTTCAAACCCTTGGTGCAGAGAAAAACATCAAGCTTCGCTAGGAATCAGATCAATGCAGATTAGGCCCGTAGGTTCTGGGGGATTAGGCCCGTAGGTTCCTTCCCCGGGTCAGTCGAGTTAGAAAGGATCTGAAAATGGCAGTGATTGCCCCCAGGAGGTATTGTGCTAAAAGGGACGCCTATTGCTGCTGAGGGTATACATTAATACAACCCTGTGGAGAGCGACTGGTCAATAGGTACTGTTGGTTAGAAATTATTGTAGTCTCAGCTGGGCGCGGTGGCTCACGCTTGTAATCCCAGCACTTCGGGAGGCCGAGGCAGGTGGATCGCCTGAGATCAGGAGTTTGAGAGCCATCTGGCCAGCATGACAAAACCCCGTCTCCACTAAAAATACAAAAATTAGTGGGGGCATGGTGGTGGGCACCTATAATCCCAGCTGTATAAGAGGCTGAAGCAGGAGAATCGCTTGAACCTGGGGGGCAGAGGTTGCAGTGAGCCGAGAACGTGCCACTGCACTCCAGCCTCGGGGACAGGGTGAGACTGCATCTCAAAAAAAAAAAAAAAAAAAAAAAAAAAAAGAAATTATTGTAGTCTTGGGGCCAGTCATTCACTGGTTCTTTCTCCCCTCTTTCTCCCCTTTCTTTTCTGTCTCTCTCTGTCCTTCTCTCTGTTCTATCTCTGTCTGTCTCTTTCTGTCTCTCTCTGTCCCTTCTCTCTCTGTTTTCCCTTTCTATCTTGCTCTTTCTGTTCTCTGTCTCTTTGTCTCTTTCTGTCTCTGTCTCTTTGTCTCTGTCTCTTTATCTCTGTCTCTATGTCTCTTTGTCTCTCTCTCTCTCTCTCATTCCAAGAGAAGATGCCCCTTTGCCCCTTTAGACTTTCCAGTCTAATAATGAATTTATCTTCAGGAAATAAACCTGCATTTGGGTCATGCCTTTTGCATTAAGGTGTTCATTGCAATAGTGTTTATAATAGCAAAAGAAGAGATAAACAAGCTAAGTGAGCAACCATGAGGAGATTGGCTAAATATAATAAAATCATTTATACCACTATTAACAGTGACCCTTACAATGAGTTTGTAAGGCCATGGGTAAATACACATGCATGTAAAATTACATATTAAAAAAGCAAAGCACAGAATTGTCTAACCCAATAATCTGTATTTAATGTATGTGTATATTAAACACTGAAGCAAATACTTTGTCATACTTCAAAATGGCAACAGTGGTTGAGGTGAATGTTAGTTAGCTTCTTTTCTTCTTATTTTATGTTTGAACATTTTCCAAATGAGCTCTATTGAGCATGCCTTTTTCTTTCCACTTTTACTAATTTTAATTAATTTATTATTACTATTTTTGAGTCAGAGTCTCCTTCTGTTGCCCAGGCTGGAGTGGTGCTGTGATCTTGGCTCACTGCAACCTCCACCTCCCAGTTCAAGCGATTCTCGTGCCTTCGCCTCCCAAGTAGCTGGGACTACAGGTGCTGGCCACCACACCCAGCTAATTTTTGTATTTTTAGTAGAGACAGGGTTTCGCTATGTTGGCCAGGCTGGTCTCAAACTCCTGGCCTCAAGTGATCTGCCCACCTCAGTCTCCCAAAGTGCTGGGATTACAGGTGTGAGCCACCGTGCCCCACCAATTTTTTTTCTTTTTAGAGAAGTAGACATAGGACAGTGGTCCCAACGTGTGAAGCTGTGATCAGTGGAACTGCTAATTTTTCTTTTTTCTTTTTGAGACGGAGTCTTGCTCTGTCACCCAGGCTGGAGTGCAGTGGCGCGATCTCGACTCACTGCAAGCTCTGCCTCCCGGATTCACACCATTCTCCCGCCTCAGCCTCCCAAGTAGCTGGGACTACAGGTGCCCGCTACCATGCCTGGCTAATTTTGTTTTTGTATTTTTAATAGAGACAGGGTTTCACTGTGTTAGTCAGGTTGGTCTTGATCTCCTGACCTCGTGATCTGCCCGTGTTGGCCTCCCAAAGTGTTGGGATTATAGGTGTGAGCCACCGTGCCTGGTCATTGGAACTGCTAATTTTTCTAGGGTCACCTGACATTCTGAAATATTTCTCAAAAGTTCCTTTCAAAGCTTATGCATTTCCTTCTTCTTTTTTTTTTTTTTTTTTTTTTTGAGACAGAGTCTTGCTCTGTCGCCCAGGCTGGAGTGCAGTGGCGCGATCTTGGCTCACTGCAACCTCCGCCTCCCAGGTTCAAGCGATTCTCCTCCCTCAGCCTCCCAAATAGCTGTGACTACAGGTGTGTGCCACCACACCTGGCTAATTTTTGTGTTTTTAGTAGTGACGGGGTTTCACCATCTTGGCCAGGCTGGTCTTGAACTCTTGACCTTGTGATCCACCAACCTCGGCCTCCCAAAGTGCTGGGATTACAGGTGTGAGCCACCGCACCCAGCCATGCATTTCCTTCTGACCTTGGGCATCTTTTGTGCCAGAAAGTTCAGGGTCCTTGTGAGAGGGGACAGGAGAGAAAACAGTGAATGTGACAGAGTCCTCCGGTGTTCAGCAGTGTTCATGCAGCAGGGGGAGGGTGCAGATGCCTCTGTGTTCAGGGGTCTTTGGGGAGTTGTAGGGGGGTGTCCCCTCTCCCTGCCTAGCTCTGACAGCCAGAAGGTCCGGGCAGGGAAGTGGTGGCTTTGACAGCTGCCCATGAAGTCTCTACCTGGTTTCCTGATCCCTGAATCTCCAAGACTCACCCTCCCGTGTCTCTCTCTCTCCCAGAGTTCCTCGTGGGGGACCTTGTTGTCACCCAGAACACTTCCCTACCCTGGCCCAGCTCCTATCTCACTAAGACCGTCCTGAAAGTCTCCTTCCTCCTCCACGACCCGAGCAACTTCCTCAAGACCGCCTTGTTTCTCTACAGCTGGGACTTCGGGGACGGGTAGGTCCTTACCCCTCTGCAGGCCCTACAGCTGTCACTGGTGCCCCACTGTCCCGCGCACTGTGCAGGGTACTCCGAATCTCTTCACCTTTAATTTTTTTTTTTTTTTTGAGATGCAGTCTTGTTCTGTCATCCAGGCTGGAGTGCAGTAGTACCATCTTGGCTCACTGCAACCTCTTCCTCCTGGGTTCAAGTGATTCTCCTGCCTCAGCCTCCCCAGTAACTGGAACTGCAGGCTTGCGCCACCACACCTGGCTAATTTTTGTATTTTTTTTATTTTTATTTTTTTTAGTAGAGATGGGGTTTCACCATGTTGGCCAGGCTAGTCTCAAACTCCTGGCCTCAAGTGATGTGCCTGTCTTGGCCTCCCAAAGTGCTAGGATTACAGGTGTGAGCCACCATGCCTGGCTAATTTTCATATTAAATTTAATTAATTAATTAATTAATTTATTTATTTATATTTTTTAGTAGAGACTGGGTTTCACCATGTTGGCCAGGCTGGTCTTGAACTCCTGACCTCAAGTGATCCTCCCACCTTGGCCTCCCAAAATACTGGGACTACAGGTGTGAACCACTGCACCCACCTGAAGCTCCTCTCCTTTCCCTGCTCACCCTGTCTCCTTTCAAACATCCTTCAAGCACCTCCTCTCTGCCACGACTGGGGGTCCCGGAGAACACTGGTGAATCAGCCACTAGCCCTGCCTTTGTGGTGTCTTCACCTAATAGAGGAGGCCATTGGTGCCCAAAACAGCCATTTAAGGAAGGTAAAGGTACATGAGATTTTTTCCCATTTGACCTCGAAGGGTACCCAGCCAACCCTTGGTGGATACGAGGTAGAACCCAGGTGCTCTGGCTTCGTTTCTCTTTATTGCTCCTTTTTAACTTTTTGTCTTTTTTCCCCTTTTTGGTGGAGGAGAACAGGGTCTTGCTATGTTGCCAAGGCTGGTCTTGAACTCCTGGGCTCAAGTGATCCTCCTGCCTCTGCCTCCCTAAGTGCTGGGGTTACAAGTGGGAGCCACCATGCTTGGCCCTACTCCCTTCCTCCCTCCCTCCCTCCCTCCCTTCCTTTCTTCCTTCTTTTTCTTCCTTTCCTTTCTTTCCTTTCCTTTTTCTTTTTTCTTTCTTCTTTCTCCCTTCCTTTCTTCCTTCCTTCCTTCCTTCCCCCTTCCTCTCCTCTCCCCTCCCTCCCTCTCTCCCTCCCTGTCTTCCTTCCTACCCTCCCCTCCCCTTCCCTCCCTCCCTTCCTCCTCCCAAAGTGTTGGGATTACAGGGGTGAGCCACTGTGCCCAGCAAAACTCAGAATGTGGATTTCCTAACTCTTGGTGACAAAAGCAACCTGTGGTCAGACACTCAGGCTAGAGTACAGTGGTGTGATTATAGATCACTGCCGCCTTGACCTCCCAGCCTCAAGCACTCATCCCACCTCTGCCTCCTGAGTGGCTGGGATTACAGGCATGCACCACTACACCCAGCTAATTTTAAAATATTTTTGTAGAGACAGGATCTTACTATGTTGCCCAGGCTGGTCTCGACCTCCTGGGCTCAAGAGATCCTCCCATCTCAGCTTCTCAAAGCATTGGGATTACAGGTGTGAACCACTGTGCTTGGCTTTCCTCACCCCCCGCCCTCCATTTTTAGAGACAAGGTCTTGCTCTGTCACCCAGGCTAGAGTGCAGTGGCACAAATCTGACTCACTGCAGCCTCAATCTCCTGTGTTCAAGGAATCCTCTTGCCTCGACCTCTCGAGTAGCTGGGACCACAGGCATGTACCACCACATCTGACTATTTTTTAAAATGTTTTGTAGAGATGGGGTCTCACTATGTTGGCCAGGCTGGTCTTGAGCTCCTGGCCTCAAGCCATCCTCCCGCCTCAGCCTCCCAAAGCACTGGGATGACAGGTGTGAGCCACCGTGCCTGGCCAGATCATCTCTTTAGATGCCAAAAAAGCGTTAGTATGAACAGAAACGAACATTCAATGTAATATCAATAAACTAGAAAAAGAAGTTGCTGGAACTAACAACTAACATTATACAGAAATGAACATTCAATGTAATATAAATAAACTAGAAAAAGAAGTTGCTGGAACTAACAACTAACATTATACTGAGTGGAGAACTTAGAATATGTTTTTGTTTTTGGCCGGGTGCAGTAGCTCACTTCTGTAATCCCAGCACTTTGGGAGGCTGAGGTGGATGGATCACTTGAGGTCAGGAGTTTGAGACCAGCCTGGCCAAAATGGCAAAACCCCGTCTGTACTAAAAATGCAAAACAAACAAACAAACAAAAATTAGCCAGGCATGGTGGTGTGCGCCTGTATTCCCAGCTACTTGGGAGGCTGAGGCAGGAGAATCGTTTGAACCGGGTAGGAGGAGGTTGCAGTGAGCTGAGATCATGCCACTGCACTTCAGCCTGGGTGACAGAATGAGACTCCCTCTCAAAAAAAAAAAAAAAAAAAGGATGTGTTTTTGTTTCTGTTTTTGAGACAGGGTCTCGCTCTGTTGCCCAGGCTGGAGTGCAGTGGCGTGATCACTGCTCACTGCAACCTCCGCCTCCTGGCCTCAAGTGATCCTCCCACCTCAGCCTCTTGAATAGCTGGAACCACAGGCCTGTAACATTACGACTGGCTAATTTTTGTATTTTTTGTAGAGACAGGGTTTTGCCAAATTGCCCAGGCTGGTCTCGAACTTCTGGGCTCAAGCAGTCCTCCCACCTTGGCTTCCCAAAGTGTTGGTATTACAGGGGTGAGCCATCGTGCCTGGCAAAACGTGGAATGTGGATTCTCTAACTCTTGGTGACAAAAGTGACCTGTGGTCAAATACCTCTGGGGAGTCGTTGCATTGAGATGTTGGGGGAACCTGGCTCTAGATGCAGGAATAAGACAAGGGTGCTCCTTATCAGGGTCCATCGATATTATCCTGAAAGTTCTAACTTACTTAGGAAAGTCAAGAAAATAAGTGCGGGCCTATGGTGGCTCACACCTGTCATTCCAGTGCTTTGAGAGGCCAAGAGGGTGGGGAAAGCTTGAGCCCAGGAATTCGAGACTAGGGTGGGTAACATAGTGATACCTCGTCTCTACAAAGAATACAAAAATTAGCCAGGGATGGTGGCACGTGCCTGTAGTCCCAGCTACTCGGGAGGCTGAGGTGGGAGGACTGCTTGAGCCTAAGAGTTCAGAGACTGCAGTGAGCTATGATTGCACCACAGCACTCCAGCCAGGGCAACAGAGCAGAACCTTATCTCTAAAAAGGAAAATAAAAAATAAAAAAAAAAGGGAGAGAGAGATAAAAAGTACAGTATAAATATTGGAAAGCAGACAATTTGCAGGAAAGACCATTTACTTGAAAAATCTGGATGGCAGCTTTGTCCAACAGAACCCTCGGCTTGGCTGGCACAGTGGCTCATGCCTATAATCCCAGCACTTTAGGAGGCTGAGGTCAGAGGATCACTTGAGCGCAGGAGTTCAAGACCAGCCTGGGCAACATAGTAAGACCTTGTCTCTACAAAAAATCATGTATTAGCCTGGCACAGTGGTACACGCCTGTGATCCCTGCTACTTGGGAGGCTGACACAGGTGGACTGCTCAAGCCCAGGAATTCAAGGCTGCAGTGAGCCATGATTGTGCCACTGGGTGACAGAGTGAGACCCTGTCTCAAAAAACAAAAACAACAAAAACAAAAAATTTTTGACAAAAAATTCTTCTGTCTTCACCACGTGGGGCTGTTGAGCCCTTGAACTTTGGCTAATGTGAGAAATTTGTAATTTTCCTGAATTTTAGGCCTTCTCTGGCCTCGGTTTGCTCATCTGGAAAATGGGCCAGCTGACCTGGAGCCCTGGCTGGCTCTAGGCTGTGATGACAGGTGTGCTCACTGGTAGCTGGGAGTATCACTGTACAGCCTCCCCTGACTCTGGCAAGTCCCATGAATCACTTCTGAGTTACAGGAAGGGGAAGCAACCGTCTGCTGTCTTCCTCCTCTCTCCTCCCTGTCTCCTAACAGGACCCAGATGGTGACTGAAGACTCCGTGGTCTATTATAACTATTCCATCATCGGGACCTTCACCGTGAAGCTCAAAGTGGTGGCGGAGTGGGAAGAGGTGGAGCCGGATGCCACGAGGGCTGTGAAGCAGAAGACCGGGGACTTCTCCGCCTCGCTGAAGCTGCAGGGTGGGTGTCCAGGCAGGCTGATGCAGTCTGGGCGTTCCAGAGTGGGGTCACCGTACGCACAGATCACAGTGGCTCTGGGCTGGACTCACGCCCTGTCTTCTGGAGCCCCACAGACCTCTGAGGAGCGTCTATCATTAACCCTGCTTCAGACAGAGCGCTGCAGGCCACGGATGGGATCATGTGGCTGTGCAGTGGCTGAGCGGCCCTTGTGCCCCGGGCTGCCTGCTCCCAGAGCCTGAGCCGGTGACCAGGTGTCTGCTGTGAATTGGCCAGTCCATGCCATTCCCTGTTCCCCGGCCCCATCGGCCTCCCACCGAGGCTCACCCTGGGGTGGGAGGGTCTCTATCTCTCCCTGGCTTTGGTGAGAGGGAGCCCTTGGGCAGCTGCAGAAGATGTCTTGGTTCTTGCTGACGGGATGGTGCTCTCCTGTGTGACACAGACGATGACTTGGCAATGGGCAGGACAATTGTGTGTTTGCCTGCCTTTCCTACTTTCCTCCCTCTGAGCAGGCTTCAGCACCTGCCACTGACAGGGGAGGGCAGGACCCAGAGGAACCCCGCACAGACCTGTGGCCTGCTCTTAGGAGAGGGACGGAGGGGAGGACAGGGTGGCAGTCGCACCACCCTGTGCCCTGGGAGCCTCGACAGCAATCCTTAGCCACCAGGTCTAACGGGGTTCTCTCTGCCTTACAGAAACCCTTCGAGGCATCCAAGTGTTGGGGCCCACCCTAATTCAGACCTTCCAAAAGATGACCGTGACCTTGAACTTCCTGGGGAGGTAAGTGAGCTCCAGAGCGCACTGGGGGTGCCCCGTGGGCTCTGCACATCCCCCTTCACGATGACCCCAAGTCTGTTCTGCTCTGTGACAGGCCTCAGGTCTGGGACCTCATGGAAGGGCAGTGCCACTTTGTCTTGAGGCTGGGCCATGGGGAGAGCATGGGCTCAGCTCCAGTATTTTATTTTATTATTTATTTATTTATTTGAGACGGAGTCTCGCTCTTTCGCCCAGGCTGGAGTGCAGTGGCGCAATCTTGGCTCACTGCGACCTCTGCCTCCCTGGTTCAAGCGATTATCCTGACTCAGCCTCCCGACTAGCTGGGATTACAGGTGCACTCCACGATGCCCGGCTAATTTTTGTATTTTTAGTAGAGATGGGGTTTCACCATGTTGCCCAGGCTGGTCTCCAACTCCTGACCTCAAGTGATCCATCCGCCTTGGCCTCCTAAAGTGCTGAGATTACAGGTGTGAGCCACTGCGTCTGGCCTTTATTTGCATTTTTTAGAGACAGAGTTTCACCCTGTCACCCAGGTTGGAGTGCAGTGGCACCATCACAGCTCAATGTAGCCTTGACCTCCTGGGCTTAAATGATTCTCCTGCCTCAGCCTCCTGGGTGGCTGGAACTACAGGTGGGCACCACCATGCCTGGCCAATTTTTAATTTTTGTAGAGATGGGTTCTCACTATGTTGCTCAAGCTAGTCTCAGTCTCCTGAGCTCAAGTGATCCTCCCAGCTTGGCCTCCCCAAGTGCTGGGATTACAGGCATGAGCCACCACACCTAGCCCTCAGCTCAATTCTTGAGGTCCCAGGGAGGGAGGACCTGCCTTTTGGGGCTGTATTCACCATGGGCATGGAGACAAAGGTTGGGAGGGATCCCTCCTGTTGAGAAGCCCTCTGTGTATGACGTGGCCTATTTTCCAGCCCCCAGATCTTTGCCCATGTGGTTCTTTCAGGGTTCTCTTCTCTCCCTTCACATGTCCAGATGTTTCTTATTCTTCTAAGCCCCTTGGAATGCCTGCCTTCAAAAGCCTTTTCTGAGGCCGGGTGCTGTGACTCATGCCTGTAATTCGAGCTACTCGGGAGGCTGAGGCAGGGGAATTGCTTGAACCTGGGAGATGGAGGTTGCAGTGAGCCGAGATCCCGCCATTGCACTCCAGCCTGGGCGACAGAGCAAGACTCTGTCCAAAAAAAAAAAAAACAAAAAAAAACCAAAAAACAAAAAAAGCAAATCTGTTCTGCCCTCCAGTCTGCACAGGGGAGCTTGCACCAGCAGGCAAAAGTTGCTTGAGCATCTGCTTTGGACAAGATGCTATTCTGGAAGCTTCTAGACCAGAGTAGACAAGATTTCCAAGGATTCTGTGTGCAGGGTGGGGCACCCCGCATGACACGGAAGCAGATCATTCCAGGGGATTCTCATCAGTCAGTCTAATCAAGGCAGCCTGACCCAGGCTCCTGGCAAGAACAGCATCAGGCTGAGTGTTTAGTAGGTGAGGAGACACAGATGCCGAGTGCATTCTGTCCATGAGGATGCCCCTCCCTGGGGCCACTGGGATGGATAGAGCCGCAGACATCAGTGGTCAGGGCCCAGGCGTTAAAGGACTCTTTCTTTTTTTCAGACAGAGACTCGCTTTGTTGCCCAGGCTTGAGTGCAGTGGTGCAATCTCAGCTCACTGCAACCTCCGCCTCCCGGGTTCAAGCGATTCTCCTGCCTCAGCCTCCCGAGTAGCTGGGATTACAGGTGCGTGCCACCACGCTGGGCTAATTTTTGTATTTTTTGTAAAGACAGGGTTTCATCATGTCGGCCAGGCTGGTTTCAAACTCCTGACCTCAAGTGATCCACCCACCTCGGCCTCCCAAAGTGCTGGTATTACAGGCGTGAGCCACCGTGCCCGACCCGCCCTTGAAGGACTCTTGTGCCCACACAGAGACACATGAGAGGGATGCTAGGCCAGACAGAGAGTGAGCAATGCAGGCCAGGGGAAGAGGAAGATGAACTGTGAATAATTTAGGGGTTGGAGGTAGTTTTCACGGGGCTTTGGAGGCAGGAGCTTAGCATGGGGAGAATGGGAAGCCCTGTGGGTTTAGCAGCCCTGATATTTGAGGTGGCATGAGTGCATGGCTTTTCCTGCGGACCTAGTGTTGTGTGGAATTGGAATGCTCATTTCACATTCCTTGGATGGACCTGCATTTTCCAGCTTCTGAGCCTATGCTTGTGGAATGTGGATAACTTGGAATGCCCTTATCCTTTCTCACCCATCAAACGTTCATTTATCCATTCAGATCTGCTCAAATGCCACCTCCTCCAGGAAGCCTTCTCTGGCTACCTCATTAAGAATGCTCTCATGGTCAGGGACGGTAGCTCATGTCTGCAATCCTAGCACTTTCAGAGGCTGAGGTGGGTGGATCACTTGAGGTCAGGAGTTAAAGATTAGCCTGGCCAACATGGTGAAACCCTGGTCTCTACCAAAAAATACAAAAATTAGCCAGGCACGGTGGTGCATGCCTGTAATCCCAGCTACTTGGGAGGCTGAGGTGGAAGACTCACTTGAACCCAGGAGGCAAAGGTTGCAGTGAGCGGAGATCGCACCACTGCACTCCAGCCTGGGTGACAGAGTGAGACTCTGTCAAAAAAACCCCACAAAAACAAAAACAAAACAAACAAACAAAAAACAACTCTCTCATGCTGGTTGCAGTGGCTCATGCCTGTAATCCCAGCACTTCAGGAGGCTGGGGCAGGAGAATACTTGAGGCTAGGAGTTGGAGACCACCCTGGGCAATATAGTCCCATCGCTATTAAAAAATTAAAAAATTGGCCAGGCGCAGTGGCTCACGCCTGTAATACCAGCACTTTGGGAGGCCGAGGCGGGCGGGTCACCTGAGGTCAGGAGTTTGAGACCAGCCTAGCCAACATGGCGAAACCCTGTCTTTACTAAAAATACAAAAATTAGCCAGGCATGGTTGTGTGTGCCTGTAGTCCCAGTTACTTGGGAGGCTGAGGCTCGAACCCGGGAGGTGAAGGTTGCAGTGAGTCAAGATCGCGCCATTGCACTCCAGCCTGGGCAACAGAGTGAGACACCATCTCTAAATAAATAATTAATAAAAAATTAAATTAAATTAAATTAAAAAATTAGTTGGGCATGGTGGCTGGTGCCTGTAGCCCCAGCTACTCGGGAGGCTGAGGCAGGAAGATCGCTTGAGCTCAGGAGCTGGAGGCTGCAGTGAGCTATGATTGAGCCACTGCACTTCAGCCTGGGTAATAGAGTGAGTCCCTGTCTCGTAAAATGCAAAACACAAAAAGGGGGATGTGCTTATTATTCCCCTGGGCTTCTATGGTACACCATGTGTGCCATCAGACCGCTCATCCTGCCTCCAGTGAGCAGTCTATGCGTATCTCTGTTGGCCTTATTCACTTGGAATTCTCTTGGGGGTCCGGGACCATCTCTTTTGCACCATAGTGTCCCCTGGTCTGGAATGCATGAAGCTGAGTCCAGGACGGCTTGATGTCCTGTCCTGGAAAGGACACTGAAGTTCCTGCCCACCTGGCCTGTCTTGGACTTGGTCTGTGCTGACATGCTTTGCTGAGCCTTTTCTTAAAAACCGCCCCCATTTCCCTGCAGCCCTCCTCTGACTGTGTGCTGGCGTCTCAAGCCTGAGTGCCTCCCGCTGGAGGAAGGGGAGTGCCACCCTGTGTCCGTGGCCAGCACAGCGTACAACCTGACCCACACCTTCAGGGACCCTGGGGACTACTGCTTCAGCATCCGGGCCGAGAATATCATCAGCAAGACACATCAGTACCACAAGATCCAGGTGTGGCCCTCCAGTAAGTGACACCTCGCCTTCTGCTCCAGTGCCACATGGGCAGCACAAGCCTGTCCATCCTGCCACCACCACCAATACGCTCCTACCAGCCAGCCTTACCAAGGTCCTCAGCAACAAAGCCCGCTAGCATCAGCACCATCCATAACCCCACTGACTCCAGTGACCGCCAACATCAGCGCTGGCCAACTGCCAATACCACCACCACCAAACTCTCCAATCCCACCAGCAACCAACTCTGTCAACCCCAATATGGCACCCATCGATTCTACCAGCACCACCATCAACACCAGCACCACTAACAACTGTAACCAACTCAGCTACCACCATTACCATATGCTTTCCTGACAACTCTTCCAGGACCACCATTGCCACCACTAACGACTCTATAAGCATTCTCACCAAGTCACCTCAATGACCCCGACCCTACCCACATCTATAAGCCCATGCCACCACCTGCCCCAATGCCAGCTTTGTGGACCGAAAGCAACCATGCCAATGTCTTCTCCCACATATTTCCAAGACCACACGTCCCCAGCACAAACACTTTTGCGCCAAATGAGCCACCATGATTGCAGTGTTCCCTCCCTCATCACCATCACCCCTGCCCCAGCAGTTGCCACTGCTAAAACCAGCATCCCCAACAGTAACTCTACTCAACTCACAGTGTTGTAGTGAGTCTTGCAGGGAGAAGGCATTGCATATTGTTAATAAGGATGCCTGGGCTAGGCATGGTGGCTCCCAGGACTCTGGGAGGCTGAGGCGGGTGGACTGATTGAACCCAGGAGTCTGAGACCAGCCTGGGCAACGTGGCAAAACTCTGTCTCTACAAAAGATATAAAAATAGGACAGATGCGGTGGCTCGTGCCTGTAATTGCAGCACTTTGAGAGGCCGAGGTGGGTGGATCACTTGAGGCCAAGAGTTTGAGACCAGCCTGGCCAACATGGCAAAACCTGTCTCTACTAAAAATACCAAAAAGTTAGCTGGGTGTGGTGGTGGGAGTCTGTAATCCCAGCTACGCAGGAGGTGGAGGCATGAGAATCCCTTGAACCTGGGAGGTGGAGGTTGCAGTGAGCTGAGATTGAGCTGCTGCACTCCAGCCTGGGCCACAGAGAGGCTCTTGTCTCAAAAAATTAAAAAAAAAAAAAAATATATATATATATATATATATATGAGAGAGACAGAGAGAGAGAGAGGGATTGAGAGAGAGAGAGAGTGGCGTGTGCCTGTAGGTCTCTGCTATGCTACTCGGGAAGCTGATGTGGTAGATCACTTGAGCCCAGGAGGTTGAGGCTGCAATGAGCCAAGATCACACCACAGCACTCCAGCCTGAGCGACAGAGTGAGACCCTGTCTCCAGAAAAATAAATAAAAAATAAAAAAGAGAAAAGGATGCCCAACCTTCTTTCTTGAAATACCTTTCCAAAACTATCATCGGCCCAGCCCCTGGCTTACGATTGTGGGCTTTGCTGATGACAGCATTGGGTTCTACACTTCATTTTTATGGAGGACTCTGGGAGCCCCAGAGAAGTACTTCCTTACATAGAGTAGGATCTCAGGTCCTGAAGGCACTGTCTTTCAGATGCCCAACCTACTTCTACCTTTGATGCTACAAAAGGGGAAACTAAGGCACAGGGAGGCAACAAGACTGGATGTCAGCCTGAGCCTGAGCCAGGGTTTCAGATTCCTGGTCCTGGGGTAGGAGTTAGTTCTTCCCAGTGCTCCCAAGCTCATGCCAAACCCTGCCAGCTGCACTTGTCTTCAAGGTTGGTCCTATGGATGCACCTGAAGCTGTCACTGTCCCCTCCAGTTTCCCCAATCCCACTCTGGGCCCCTGAGAGGATGCTACACTCAATCTTGGCCCTGGCTTACTTTGTGGGCATCATCAGGTCACTTGAGCCCTGCATCTCTCAGCACCCTCTGGGGACCAAGTTCCAATCAGGAACCCCCTGAATTCTGCAGAGAAGACAGCAGTACAGGTAATCAATGACAACTTTTCTTTGGAAACAGACCCTCATGGCAGAGGGTGAGGGAAAAGGGAGAGGGAACCCACACTTCCTGATCACCTACCACATGCCACACACATCAACACCCCTCTTCTTGTTGCATCTCCTTAGCAGTCTTGCAGGTCAGCATTAGCATGAGGTAGCCTATTCAGAGCTAGGATTTGAACCCAGGACTGTTCAACTTCAGACACTGGACTCTTTCTACCATACCATTTCATAGCAACAGGTTTATTGGGTGAGCCTGCAGTTGCCAGAGCGTGAGAAGCTGAAGCAGGGGACACAGTGCTGATTGGGTGACCTCACAACATGGCTGCCCTTCCCAAAAGTGTGTCACCCGAGAGAGCAAAGAGGGAGCTGTGGTGTCTCTTATGGCTTAGACTCAGGAGTCATGCACTGTCACTCCTTTCATCTGCTGTACACTAGGAGCTGGTCGCTGAGTCCAGCCCTCACTCAAGGTGTGAGGAATTTAGCTGCCCCTCTTGGAAGTTGCTACCAAGTAACTTGTGGATGTATGCTGAAAGCCCCCTACCCAGACCCCAGTTTATTTTTTGTGAAGTCCTGGATTTACCTATTGGGGTTGCCCAGTTGGGATGCATGTACATGAGGGTAAAAAAAATCACTGGTGGGGCTTGACCATTCCCTCCTTTGTTGTGCTTGCTTCCTGAGAACCAGCACTGTAGTACCAGCTACCCAGTCCTGTAATGTTACTTCTTTCATTCCCAGGAATCCAGCCGGCTGTCTTTGCTTTCCCATGTGCTACACTTATCACTGTGATGTTGGCCTTCATCATGTACATGACCCTGCGGAATGCCACTCAGCAAAAGGACATGGTGGAGGTGGGTACTCAGTGGGGTGGGGGCTGGACTACTGGGCCTTGCCTAGAGAGGATGTTTAGAGAGGGTATGGGGGCCAGGCCAGGATGCCTGGAGGGGGTCTTGATATTACAGCGAGGCTCCGGGACTTGGGGTGATGTGCCCAAGAGGCATCTGTAGACCAGGAAAAATTGCTAAGTTGGTGTCCCATCTGATTTATCTCCTATATCCATCTCTTGCATCTGTGTGGTGCCAGAAAGGTGTTTCTGTGCACTCTGCCACCAGGCAGCTGAGCTCATAAGGCCACCTGATGGGGCTCCTGGTGGGTGGGTGATTGACCCGTGGGATTTTGTTCATCATAGGTGGCTGATTTTGACTTTTCCCCCATGTCTGACAAGAACCCGGAGCCACCCTCTGGGGTCAGGTGCTGCTGCCAGATGTGCTGTGGGCCTTTCTTGCTGGAGACTCCATCTGAGTACCTGGAAATTGTTCGTGAGAACCACGGGCTGCTCCCGCCCCTCTATAAGTCTGTCAAAACTTACACCGTGTGAGCACTCCCCCTCCCCACCCCATCTCAGTGTTAACTGACTGCTGACTTGGAGTTTCCAGCAGGGTGGTGTGCACCACTGACCAGGAGGGGTTCATTTGCGTGGGGCTGTTGGCCTGGATCATCCATCCATCTGTACAGTTCAGCCACTGCCACAAGCCCCTCCCTCTCTGTCACCCCTGACCCCAGCCATTCACCCATCTGTACAGTCCAGCCACTGACATAAGCCCCACTCGGTTACCACCCCCTTGACCCCCTACCTTTGAAGAGGCTTCGTGCAGGACTTTGATGCTTGGGGTGTTCCGTGTTGACTCCCAGGTGGGCCTGGCTGCCCACTGCCCATTCCTCTCATATTGGCACATCTGCTGTCCATTGGGGGTTCTCAGTTTCCTCCCCCAGACAGCCCTACCTGTGCCAGAGAGCTAGAAAGAAGGTCATAAAGGGTTAAAAATCCATAACTAAAGGTTGTACACATAGATGGGCACACTCACAGAGAGAAGTGTGCATGTACACACACCACACACACACACACACACACACACACACACACACACAGAAATATAAACACATGCGTCACATGGGCATTTCAGATGATCAGCTCTGTATCTGGTTAAGTCGGTTGCTGGGATGCACCCTGCACTAGAGCTGAAAGGAAATTTGACCTCCAAGCAGCCCTGACAGGTTCTGGGCCCGGGCCCTCCCTTTGTGCTTTGTCTCTGCAGTTCTTGCGCCCTTTATAAGGCCATCCTAGTCCCTGCTGGCTGGCAGGGGGCTGGATGGGGGGCAGGACTAATACTGAGTGATTGCAGAGTGCTTTATAAATATCACCTTATTTTATCGAAACCCATCTGTGAAACTTTCACTGAGGAAAAGGCCTTGCAGCGGTAGAAGAGGTTGAGTCAAGGCCGGGCGCGGTGGCTCACGCCTGTAATCCCAGCACTTTGGGAGGCCGAGGCGGGTGGATCACGAGATCAGGAGATCGAGACCACCCTGGCTAACACGGTGAAACCCCGTCTCTACTAAAAAAATACAAAAAGTTAGCCGGGCGTGGTGGTGGGTGCCTGTAGTCCCAGCTACTCGGGAGGCTGAGGCAGGAGAATGGTGCGAACCCGGGAGGCGGAGCTTGCAGTGAGCCCAGATGGCGCCACTGCACTCCAGCCTGAGTGACAGAGCGAGACTCTGTCTCCAAAAAAAAAAAAAGAAGAGGTTGAGTCAGCAGGGACTTGGGTTCCCTGTGTGTGAGGGGGGCATTCTTGCCTGCCAGCTGCTCCCGAGGTGGCCTTGAGAAGGAAGAAGCAGGATGACAGAGCCTGAGCAGCGGAACCAGCCTGCACCCTCCCTTCTGGCCCAGCGACCTGGGCTGTGGCTGAGACAATAATGAGGCCAGAAGTAGCCGGAGCCTGTCAGGAAGGGCAGGGGAGGACTGTGGGGTCTGGGCTCTGTCGCTGTAACCATCTGCTCCCAGGCTGTGTGCAGAAAATGGCATTTACACTATTGTGCAGCTCATTCTCATGAAATACTGCCATTGTTGCTAAATAAAGCTTGTGTGCTCTGAATATAGCCAAGCATAGACGGTGTGGCCAGAGTCTCTCTTTTGTGCATGGACGTTTTTGCCTTGCAGACAGCAACGGCAGTGCTGTGACGCAGCAGGACATCCCACTTGTCCTCTGTGGTGAAGACAACTGAAGGGAGCCAGTTCAGGTCCCTGGAGGTGGGGAGAGCTGTCCCCAGGTGACTTGGACATGCATCCCTGTCTGAGACCTCAGGGGGATTCTAGAGCCAGAGGAGGAACGTGGACCACACCTGGGGACGTGTTGGAAATGCAGACCCTTGGGCTCGACCTGATACCTGAAGCAGTGCCTGGGTAGGGGGGCAGCCACCTGTTTTCACAAGCCCTCTGCGATTCTGGTGCATATCAGGTATGAGAACCACTAGTCTCTAGCAGGCTTCTTAAACTTTGAGGTTCATGAGAATTGCTAGAGATCTTGGTAAACAAGAATTTTCATTTTGGAGGTCTGGAGTGGGGCCTGGGATTCTGCGTTTCTTTTATTTCTTTTTATTAATTTATTTTGAGATGGAGTCTCACTCTGTCGCCAGGCTGGAGTGCGGTGGCGTGATCTCGGCTCACTGCAACCTCTGACTCCCTAGTTCAAGCAATTCTCCTGCCTCAGCCTCTCAAGTAGCGGGGATTACAAGCACGTGCCACCATGCCCGGCTAATTTTTGTATGTTTAGTAGAGATGGGGTTTCACCATCTTTGGCCAGGATGGTCTTGATCTCCTGACCTTGTGATCTGCCCTCCTCGGCCTCCCAAAGTGCTGGGATTACAGGTGTGAGCCACCACACCTGGCCTTATTTATTTTTATTTACTTATTATTTCTTTTAGACAGAGTCTCTCTGTCATCCAGGCTGGAGTGCAGTGGCACGATCATAGCTCACTGCAGCCTCGACCTCCTGGGCTCAAGTGATTCTCCCACCTCAGCCTCCTGAGTAGCTGGGACTATAGGTGCATGCCACCATCCATGGCTAATTTTCTGCTTATTTTTTGTAGAGATGAGGCTCCACTATCTTGCCCAGGCTGGTCTCAAACTCCTGAGCTCAAGTTATCCTCCTGCCTTGGCCTCCCAAAATGTTGGGGTTACAGGCGTGAGCCACCGCACCCAGCCCTGAGTTTTTTGTTTTGTTTTGTTGAGACAGAGTCTTGCTCCAAGGCTGGAGTGCAGTGGCACGATCTCGGCTGTCTACAATCTCTGCCTCCCGGGTTCAAGCGATTCTCCTGCCTCAGCCTCCTGAGTAGTTGAGACTACAGACACCCACCACCCCACCCGGCTAATTTTTGTATTTTTAGTAGAGATGGGGTTTCACCATGTTGGCAAGGCTGGTCTTGAACTCCTGACCTCGCATGATCCACCCGCCTCGGCCTCCCAAAGTGCTGGGATTACAGGTGTGAACCACCGCGCCTGGTCCCGTTGCTGTTGTTTTAAGCCACCTAGTTCGTGGTACTTTGTTTCGGCAGCCCCAGGAAACAGACTTCCCCACGTCATTTTCGGCAGCTCCGTCTCTCACATTTCATATCCATCCTGTGAGAAATCCTTCAACTGAGATCCAGAATCTGACCGCTGCTCCCTCCTCCCCTGCTGCCACCAC
This sequence comes from Homo sapiens, assembly GCF_000001405.40. Classification (NCBI taxonomy): domain Eukaryota; kingdom Metazoa; phylum Chordata; class Mammalia; order Primates; family Hominidae; genus Homo; species Homo sapiens. Next base: position 98,844,913 of record NC_000007.14, on the reverse strand, counting down.
CCTGGTCCCTGGCAGGGCTCTCATAATGCCTGGCAGCTCCTGCTCACCCCTCACTGAGCCAGAAGTTTGTCCACAAAACTGCTCCAAGACCACATCTTCCTCTGCCCCAAACCCTTCAGTGTCTCCCTTCTCAGAGCAAACCCCAAATCCTTCTGGTGGCCTCCCAAATCCCTGTCCAACCTGGCCTGTGACCTTGTCACCCCCAGCCCCTGCTGCTTGTCTGGCTGGGTCTTTCCCGAGTTGTTCCCTTTGCCGGGCAGGATGCTGTTTCCTGGACACGTGTGGGGTTCCCTCTCTGCTCCTTCACGGCTGTTCAAACATCACCTTCATCTGTGAGGTCAACTTGGCACTCTCCTCTCCTACCTGCCCTTATACTCATGGCATATGTCACCTTCTAACATACTATTTATTTATTTATTTATTTTTTTGAGATGGAGTCTTGCTCTGTCGCCCAGGCTGGAGTGCAGTGGTGCGATCTTGGCTCACTGCAACCTCTGCCTCTCAGAGTCAAGTGATTCTCCTGCCTCAGCCTCCCAAGTGGCTGGAATTACAGGCACCCACCACCAGGCCTGGCTAATTTTTTTGTAATTTTAGTAGAGACAGGGTTTTGCCATGTTGGCCAGGCTGGTCTCAAGTGATCTGCCCGCCTCGGCCTCCTAAAGTGCTGGGATTACAGGCATGAGCCACCACGCTTTGCCTAACATACTATTAATTTATTTATTTTAAAATTTATTTGTACTTTTTTTTTTATAGAGACAGGGTCTTACTCTGTCACCCAGGCTGGAGTGCAGTGGTGTAATCATAGCTCACTGCAGCCCCAGCCTCCCTGGCTCAAGCAATCCTCCCATCTCAGCCTCCCAAGTAGCTGAGACCGCAGGAGCCCACCCCCATGCCCAGCTAATTTTCAAAAATTTTTCGTAGAGATGGGGTCTTGCTATGTTGCTGAGGCTAGTCTGGAACCCTTGGTCTCCAGGGATCCTCCTACCTCGGCCTCCCAAAGTGCTGGGATTACAGGCATGACCCACTGCAGCTGGCCTTAACTTATTTATTTAATCTGAGCCTTACATGGTATATAAACTTGAAGAAAGAAAGGATTTTGCCTATTTTGTTCACTATTTCTACTTCTAACACCCAGAATACTACCCAGCACATAGCAGGTGTTCATTAAATATTGTTGAAAGGAAAGAGGGATGGCGTGAGGAAGGGAGAAAGGGTTACTTCCTCACACTTGTGTTGTAACCTCACAATGACTGGAATTAGGGGAGGGAACACAAGACTCTAAGGAACAAACTCAATGTCTGTCCAGACTGTCCAGAAGACCCCATAGGTCAGGACAAATGGCCCGGAAGCCCTGGTGTGAGACGTGGTGATGTCCAGGTGTCAGGAGGCAGGGGCCTCCCTCCCTGAATCCTGGAGAGAGGGACTGCGGTGTGGGCCCCTTCTGGCATGGCGGCCTCTTGGACATCAGATCGGGCAATTATCCATCCTTGGAGCAGAAAGCCACTGGCCTGGCTTCTGAGAGTGGTGCCTTGTTCTGTGTTGAGGAGGAAAGGTCAGAGGCTGGAGGCTGGGAGAGCAGGTGGGCTGTAGACAGTGTGGCAGGGGCTGAGGGAGCAAGCTAAGCTGGGTCCCATGTGGTAGTGGGCCAACGGGCCGAGGAGGCTCCAGGGTCATCAGGCAGGGAATGGGTCAGAGTCTCTTAAACTGAGCTACCCTAATCCCCAAGGGATCCATGGAGAGCATTGAGGTACTTGGATGGGAAAAATTACATCTTTATTTATGTATTTGTTTAGAGACAGGGTCTTGCTCTGTCCCCCAGGCTGGAGTGCAGTAGTGTGATCACAGCTCACTGCAGCCTCGAACTCCTGGGCTCAAGCGATCCTCCCACCTCAGCCTCCCAAGTAGCTGGTACCACAGGTGTCCATTGCCACACCCAGCTGACTTTTAAATTTTCTGTTGAGACGGGGTCTTGCTATGTTGCCCAGGCTGGTCTCAAACTCTTGGCCTCAAGCAATCCTCCTGCCTTGGCCTCTCAAAGTGCTGAGATTATAGGTGGCTAATTTTTTAAGAAAGTTTTTGTAGAGATAGGGGTCTTGCTGTGTTGCCCAGACTGGTCTTGAACTCCTGGCCTCAAGTGATCCTCCTGCCTTGGCCTCCCAAAGTGCTAGGATCACAGGTATAAGTCACCACACCTGGCTAATTAAAAAAAATTTTTTTTGTAAAGATGGGGTCTTGCTGTGTTGCCCAGGTTTGTCTCGAACTCCTGGCCTCAGGTGATCCTCTTGCCTCAGCCTCCTGAAGTGCTGGGATTATAGGTGTGAGCCAGTGTGTCCAGCACTATTTTATATTATGCTTTTGAAAACATTATTCTGAGAAGAGGGCTTGACTTGACTTAAAGGGGTTCATAGTGCCAAAAATTTCATCAGTAGGTGTTTTCCTTTATATAAAATTTCATCAGTAGGTGTTTTCCTTTATATATATATATATGTATGTATGTATGTGTGTGTGTGTATATATATATATATATTTATTTATTTATTTGTTGAGACGGAGTCTTGCTCAGTCACCCAGGCTGGAGCGCAATGGCGCGATCTCAGCTCACTACAACCTCTGCCTCCCGGGTTCAAGAAATTCTCCTGCCTCAACCTCCCAAGTAGCTGGGATTACAGGCACCCGCCACCATGCCCGGCTAATTTTTATATTTTTAGTAGAGACAGGGTTTCACTGTGTTAGCCAGGCTGGTCTTGAACTCCTGAGCTCAGGGTGATCCGCCCGCCTTGGCCTCCCAAAGTGCTGGGATTACAGGCCTCCCAAAGTGCTGAGATTACACCCTGTAAGTGTTTTCTAGAGAGGCCCACATAGGCAATGAGGGGTGATGGAGGACACTACTTTCTGGGGGCCTTAGAAGATCTAGGAGATGAAGTGCCAGGGCCCCAAGCCATCTGCATGCTGTGCCCAGTATGTCCAGCAGGTGGCAGTGTCTGACCGGCTATGCTTTCTGCAGGCTCCCAGCCTCTGCCAGGTGCACCGGGGGGCATGGCGGGCAGAGGGGCATGGATGGGCAGGGTCCTGGCATTGCAGCACCTGCCGACACACCTGCATGAACACACAGGCACACTGTACGCACACACATATACTCACATTCACATTGGTGAAACAGCCAAGCTGGCAACCAACTTCTAGAACCTTCAGCCCCTTCCAGGACAGAAGACATTCCTGGGACTCTGGCCCTTGAGAAATCTTTTCAGAAGAGGAGGTCACTTTTGTTTTGCCTCTTCTTTTTCTTGCCCAATAGCTTTTCCGAGAAATCTACAGGTCAGCATGAGTCAACAGCTACAGCCACAAGATAGTTTGACTGTGGGTTGAGGAAATGGAGATCTGTGTTCCAGCCTGGCTCTGTGACCTTGGGCCAGCCACTGAATCTGTCCAAGCTTTTGTTTTTTCATGTTGTACCATGTGGATAAAGAGGGAACTCGCTGTAATCTCAGCACTTTGAGAGGCCAAAGTGGGAGGATCGTTTGAGGCCAGGAATGTGAGACACAGCCTGGGCAGCACAGCGAGACCCCATCTCTACAAAAAATAAAATTAAAAAAATTAGCTGGGCATGATGGTGGGTGCCTGTAGTCGCAACTACTAGGGAGGCTGAGGTAGGAGGATTGCTTGAGCCCAGGAGTTGGAGGCTGCAGTGACCTAGGATCACACCACCGCACTCCAGCCTAGGTGGCAGAGCAAGACCCTGTGTCTTTAAAAAAAAAGAGAGAGAGAGAGAAAAAGAGGGAAAGGGTGCGTTGGTGTGTTTTTCTAGGCATTCATTCAGGAAACATTGTGGAGGCATCCACAGCTCGCTGCCCTCGGGACCCAGCAGAGCCTAGATACCTGCCCATTTTTTCCCAGCTTGTTGACCATCATGAATCACACAACTCAGCAATTAAAAGATAACCCACTTTAAAAAAAAATGGGCAAAGGACTTGAATAGACATCTAGCCAAAGAAAATATACAAATGGCCAATAAGCCCATGGAAAGATGCACGATGTCATTGGTCATTAAGGAAATGCAAATCCAAACCACAATGAGACACCACTTCATACCTCCTAGGGCTGTTGATTCTATAGGAAGAAGTGTGAAGAGAGACTGAGGGAGCGGCCCACCTCCTCCCTGACCCCCTTTCCAGACTGTGCTGTATTTTCCAGCTGGGAATGGAAGATTCTATAGGAAGAGGTGTGAAGAGAGACTGAGGGAGCTGCCCACCTCCTCCCTGACCCCCTCTCCAGACTGTGCTGTATTTTCCAGCTTCTCACCGGCTCTACATGTGACCCACAGCAACCCTTGCCCTATAGTCTCCCGAGCTGAGCTTCTCACTGGGGAGGGGAAGCTCCTAAGTGAACTCCTCCCTCTGCAGGCATCTTTCTGACCTGTTTTCTGCTGGGCATTGGGGACAGTGGCTCAGAGGCGTGCAAGTCCCGGCTGCCACTCCCTTCCATCAGATGATGGGGATCAGCTGCTTCAGGGCCCCGGAGCAGGGTTGTGGTGGGGAGATGAAGGAGGGAGGGAGCAGAGGCCACCAGCTGGACCCCTGCATGAGATCCTGGGGAGAGCAGGGAGGCCTTTGGGGATCCCGGGTGCATTAACCACTTGGTGCCACTGTCGCCACCTCGGCTCTGGACAGCTGCTCATTCCGGGGCTGCCACCACTGTGGACGGCGTGATCAGTCCACCTGTTTCTCCCGCTTCTACTATCCCCCTGTGTCTGCTCTTCTCTGTAAACTGCACACTGTACATGTATGCATCATGTGTGTGTGCATGAGTGTGTGTACGTGTGTGGGGGCATCTGAATGATAGGTACTTTCCTTCCTTTCTTCCTTTTCCTGAGACAGAGTCTCACTCTGTTGACCAGACTGGAGTGCAGTAGCACCAACATGGCTCACTGCAGCCTCAACCCCATGGGCTCAAGGGATCCTCCCACCTCAGCCTCCTCAGTAGCTGGGACTATAGGCATGCATGACCATGCCGGCTAATTTTTGTATTTTCATAGAGATGGGGTCTCTCTGTGTTGCCCAGGCTGGTCTCAAACTCCTGAAACCAAGCAATCTCTCCACCGCAGCCTCCCAAAATGCTGGGATTACAGGCGTGAGCCACCACACCAGGCTCGTTTTTGTATTTCTGTTTTTTTTTTTTGAGACGGAGTCTCGCTCTGTTGCCCAGGCTGGAGTCCAGTGGCGCGATCTCGGCTCACTGCAAGCTCCGCCCCCCGGGTTCACGCCATTCTCCAGCCTCAGCCTCCTGAGTAGCTGGGACTACAGGTGCCCACCACCACGCCTGGCTAATTTTTTATATTTTTAGTAGAGATGGGGTTTCACCGTGTTAGCCAGGATGGTCTCGATCTCCTGACCTCGTAATCCATCTGCCTCGGCCTCCCAAAGTGCTGGGATTACAGGCGTGAGCCACCGCGCCTGGCCCATTTATGTATTTTTTTTGGAGAGACAGAGTCTCACTGCGCTGCCCAGGCTGGCCTCAAACTCCTGAAACCAAACGATACCCTCAACCACAGCCTCCCAAAGTGCTGGGATCACAGGTGTGAGCCACTGTGCCTGGCTCAATGCTGGGTGCATTTTAAAGTCACGAGAGAGTGTGTGTTGAGTTAACATTTTGGAGACTGTGATCAGCAAACAGTCCCCAGCGCAGACACCCTCTCTGGTGGGGTTTGGGTTTTGCTGCCTTTTAATTTTCTTCCAGCTGCCTCCAAAGCACCTTTGTGCTCCTAGGAACAAGCACTGGGTGTTGGGGGCGGGGTGGGGGGGCGGGGTTGCTATAAGCTCTTCTGAGAGGAAGCCTCAGGGAGCAAGGTCCCAATGGCCAGGCTTCCCTTTAAGACAAGGTTGTCCTGCTGAAACCAGGTCCTCAACTCCTAGGTCCCCAAAGGGCATTTGACCCGACACTGGGCTGCTGCAGGCTTGGTCCTGGGGGAGACTGGGGGTGTGTAGCAGGAAGTGCTTCTCTCAAGCAGAGACCACAGCTTGTGTCTCTGGGCCACACACTGGAGCGTTATTTTCCAAACTGCCGCTGGGTCAGCTCACTCTCCCACTCCAAACCCTCAGGGATTCCCCATAACATTGAGCCCCAGGTCCAAACACTTAAGGATTATCATCCCAGCTGCTACCCTCCAGCTCATTTGCTACATCTTTCACACTTTGCTTGTTTGTTTGTTTTGTTTTTGTTTTTGAGACAAGATCTAGCTTTGTTGCCCAGGCTGGAGTGCAGTGGCATGATCATAGCTCACTGCAGCCCCCAACTTCTGGGCTCAAGTGATCCTCCCACCTCAGCCTCCCAAGTAGCTGGGACCACAGGCGTGCACCACCACGCCCAGCTAGTTTTAAAATTTTCTGTCGAGATGGGGTCTCACTATGTTGCCCAGGCTGGTCTCAAACTCCTGGCCTCAAGTCATCCTCCCCCCTTGGCCTCCCAAAATGCTGGGCTCACAGGCATGAACGACAGTGGCATCTGGTCCCCCGATTCTGCCTTTGTTTATTCCTTTCTATTAAAACAATTTTTTTTGCTGGGCGCGGTGGCTCACGCCTGTAATCCCAGCACTCTGGGAGGCCGAGGTGTGTGGATCACAAGGTCAGGAGATCGAGACCATCCTGGCTAACACGGTGAAACCCCGTCTCTACTAAAAATACAAAAAATTAGCCGGGCATGGTGGTGGGTGCCTGTAGTCCCAGCTACTAGGGAGGCTGAGGCAGGAGAACGGTGTGAACCCGGGAGGTGGAGCTTGCAGTGAGCCGAGATTGCACCACTGCACTCCAGCCTGGGCGACAGAGCGAGACTCCGTATCAAAAAAAAAAAAAAATTTACTATTGAGCAGCTTGCAGACTTTAAGATCAGAGTGTTGTCTCTCTTGCAATAAATGCTTTCCTCCTTTTTTTTTTTTTTTTTTTGAGATGGGGTCTTGCTCTGTCACCAGGCTGGAGTACAGTGGCACAATCATAGCCCACTATAGCCTCAACTTCTTAGGCTCAGGGGATCCGCCTGCTTCAGCCTTCCAAGTAGCTAGGACTACAGGTGTGTGCCATCGCACCTGGCTAATTAAACTTTTTTTTTTTTTGTAGAGATGGGGGTCGCCCTATGTTGCCCAGGCTGGTCTTGAACTCTTGGGCTCAAGGGGTCCTCCTGTTTTGGCCTCCCAAATTACTGGGATTACAGGCATGAGCCTCCACACGCGGCACCTTTTCCTCCTTTGCAATAGCCCTTTTGAAGAAAGTCTCTCCTTACTAAGCCTGGATTTATTTTTATTTGACACTCTTGAGAGATGGTTGTTAGTGACTGGGCTCAAATTTCAGGAGACTCAGCAGGAAGCCTTCCCTCCTGTTCCCTGGGATGTGTGGGCCCTACCGGAGGCTCTAAACAGGGCCCCACAATTGGTGGGGAAAATGCTTTCATGTGCGAAGGAGCAAAACCACACGATTTTAGCCCCAAGTCTATTACAACACACAGACAGGGTTAGACTCCCCCAGCCACCCTCTCCCCACACAGCCCAGCGTCATCCCCCACTAGTTCAGCATTCACAATAAAAGCCAGGAAACAAAAGACGGTCTCATGCAAAGACCTGGAGACCTGATCTGTTCTTGGAACCAGGAAGGGGAAAATGCACCAAGAACAAAACAGAAATTAATCTCTCAGTGATTCCTCCTACCTGAGCACCTCACCGAGGTCACAGAGCTGGGGGCCGCAGAGCTGGGATTTGAGGTCCTGGGCTGCTGGATGGATCACCACCCTCCTGGGCATCTCAGCAGGTGCTTCTTAGACTTTCTGACAGCTGACCTGCCCGAGGCCCACCTATCCCAGAGTGACCAGGTGGAGGTTGGACCAGGAAGATGGGAGCTGAGCCGCAGGAGTTGCTGTGACCATCAGGGGGCGCCCAGACTCCAGAGGAACAGGAGGAGTTTAGGGCCCAACTCAGAGGGTTCAAGACCCTGTCTGGCTCAAATCCTTGCAAGCTGCATGATAGAAATAAGCAGAAAATAAGCTGGCTTTTCTGAGTCTCATTTTCCTTATCTCAATTGAGGGAAATAATAGCACCCACCTAGGGAACCCTGTGCCATGTGCTGCATAGGGAGGACTTAGAAAATATTAACTACACGACCACTGTCAACCCCAATCTACAGTTGGGAAATCGGAGCCCAGAGAGCTGGGGCTACTTGCACATAAAAACTAGAGAAATGTCCCCACCCAGTTCTTAATAAAAATCCAGTTGAGGCCGGGCACGGTGGCTCACGCCTGTAATCCCAGCACTTTGGGAGGCAGAGGCGGGCAGATCACTTGAGGCCAGGAGTTCGAGACCAGCCTGGTCAACATGGTGAAACTCTGTCTCTACTAAAAATACAAAAATTAGCCGCACATGGTGAAGTGCACCTGTAATCCCAGCTACTCGGGAGGCTGAGGCAGGAGAATCGCTTGAACCTGGGAGGTGGAGGCTGCAGTGAGCCGAGAGCATGCCACTGCACTTCAGCCTGGGAGACAGAGCAAGACTCCGTCTCAAAAAAAAAATGAAGTTGGCAGCATGGCTCAGGCATGCCTTCACACCAGGTTCCAGAATCTTCTAGTGCCCCTGGAACAGAGATCTTTATTTTTGTTGTTGTTTTTGTTTTTTGAGACAGAGACTATTCTGTTATCCAGGCTGGAGAGCAGTGGCATGATCTTGGCTCATTGCAACCTCCACCTCCTGGGTTCAAGTGATTCCCGTGCCTCAGCCTCCTGTGTAGCTGGGATTACAGGCATGCGCCACCACACCTGGCTAATTTTTGTGTTTCTAGTAGAGACGGAGTTTCATCATGTTGGCCAGGCTGGTCTCAGCCTCCTGGCCTCAAGTGATCCGCCCGTCTCTGTCTCCCAAAGTGCTGGGATTACAGGCGTGAGCCACTGCGCCCGGCTGTAACATAGATTTGTATTGGAATAGGTAGCTCCCTGCAGTGGATAATGCTGGGACCACCATGGGGACAGAGAGAGCCCCAGGTCTGAGCCCCAGCTTGGCCACAGGCAGCCACACTGACCTCTTTGAGCCTCAGTTTCCCCCAGAGATAATGCTTGGAAGTGGTTGGAAATTAGGTGTGGGGATGTTGTGGAAATGCTTTGTTTCCAGGAAAATTGGCCCCAGTTTGGAACCCCTTGAGGGCAGGGTCGGTGGCCAACCGCTTCCCGGTGAGGATACCAGGGACGAGGGGACCAAGGCTAAAGGATCACAAAATCTCTCCGCCTAAGGGACCGGGCTAGGGCCACTGCAGAGGATGGAGGGACACCATTGTCCTGAGTGTCCTGGGGTAGCCAGGGAAGGAGAGCTTGTCCCAGGAGCCTTGTCCACCGCCTGGGTCTTCTGACTGCGGAATATTTGTCCACGGGGCACCTCACCAACAATGGATTTTTCCCTCAATGCCCTGACCTTGAGGAGAGCACTCTCTGTGATTTTCCTCACAGCCTAGCCTGCAGCTCCATCTTTAAAAATAGTTGCAGAAAAACCCATTGCTTATTCAATGAGCTCTTTTGTTAAAAAAAAGAATACCCTGCAGCTTCAGTTTGTTTAGTTCCTAAAAAACACACTGCAGTTATCAAAGAGCTGGCTCATTAAAGAAAATAGGATGATGGGAAGGAGGAAGAGGGGGTAGGGCTGGGGACGGCGTTGGAGCAGAGCTGGGCTGGGCTGGGCCATGGCTGGAGGGCCAGGCTCAGACGCAAACTTCCAGTCCCTTCTGCAAATCTGGGACAATCATTCTACCTCTTTGGGCCTCAGTTTTCTCATCTGTATGTTGGGGATAATAATGATGATGATGATGATGATAGGGGCCAGGTGCGTGGTGGCTGTTTTCCCAGCACTTTGGGAAGCTGAGGTAGGAGGATCGCTTGAGCCCAGGAGGTCAAGACCAGCCTGGGCGACATAGCGAGACCCTCGTCTCTACAAAAAATTTAAAGAAAAATTAGCCAGGCCTGGTGACACACACCTGTAGTGCCAGCTACTTGGGAGGTTGAGGCGGGAGGACCACTTGAGCCCAGGAGTCGGAGGCTACAGTGAGCTATGATTGCACCACTGTACTTCAGCCAGGATGACAGAGTGAGACCCTGACTCTAATAATAATGATGATGATGATGTTGGGTGCCGGAATTCAGGGCTGAGTAGGGCACTGTTCCTCCTTCCACTTCCCCTCGCCTCCCCAGGCAAACTTCTGGAGAGAATGACTCCTTCCTGTCTGCCCACTGCTCAATGGGACCTGGCCTCTTCACTCCTGTCTCCTCGGAAATTGCTGTTAACAAAGATATCGAGAATGTTCACGTGGCCGAATCCACCTTATTCAAGAAATAGGCCAGGCGCAGTGGCTCACTCCTGTAATCCCAGCACTTTGGGAGGCTGAGGCAGGTGGATTACTTGAGGTCAGGAGTTTGAGATCAGCCTGGCCAACATGAAGAAACCCCATCTCTACTAAAAATACAAAAATCAGCCAGGTGTGGTGGTGCATGCCTGTAATCCCAGCTACTCAGGAGGCTGAGGCAGGAGAATCACTTGAACCCGGGAGGCGGAGGTTGCAGTGAGCTGGGATCGTGCCATTGCTTTCCAGCCTGGGTGAGAGAGTGAGACTCCATATCAAAAAAAAAAAAAAAAAAAAAAAAAAAAGAAAGAAAAGAAAGAAAGAAAAAAAAAGAAAAGAAAATAAATATGTGTTGATCACCTCCTGTAAGCCAGGGAGTGATCTCTACAAAAATTTGTTTGTAGAGACAGGGGTCTCACTATGTTGCCCAGGCTGGTCCTACACAGCTTCCAGCCTCATCCTGCCTGGAGCTTGGAGGGGTGCTAGGTCCTGGGCCCCAGCCCTTCCCTCCAAAACCCTGTGTTCTCCTGGTTTCCCTTCTGCCCGCTAGTCGGGGTTTCCCTCCTTTTTCCTGACTTTCTCTCTAATGTTGTATCTCAGAGCTCAGTGCTGGGAACCCTGCTGTGTCACCTGTCCCTAAAGGATCTCTCTCTCTCCAGGAGGTCACCTTGCCAGTAAGCAGCTCAGGAGAGCTGCGGCCACCTCTCACCTCCACAGCAGAGCTCTCTGAGGTGGCACCTGTCCATGTCTCGGCTGTCGGTCCCTCCAAGACTCAGAGCCACCTACCCAGAACCCACTGTGCCATGCCTGAGCTTACTCATCATTCACTCTCCCTAGGATAGGGTCCTAATTTTGTCCCGGAGAGCCATGGACCCAACTAAACTATATTTTCCAGTCCCCCATATGGCTAGGGGTGGCTGATGAGATTAAAGCAGAAGTTTTGGGTGAAATTTCTATGAAATTTCCTTAAAAGACAGGCAGCTTTTTCCATCCCTGGCACCTGTAGTGCCAGCTACCTGAGGCTGAGGCAGGAGGACTGCTTGAACCCAGGAGTTGGGGGCTACAGTGAGCTATGGTCACACCACTGTACTCCAGTCTGACAATAGAGTGAGACCCTGTCTTTAATAATAATGATGATAATGATGTTGGGGCCACCATCCTAACCCAAGCCCCTCTCTTGTCTGGTGAGCTTGATGACAATGGTTTCCCAACTGGCTTCCCTCCTCCCTCCATCCTCCCCAAAGCTGCCAGAGGCATAAGTATCTGACTTTCCAGGCATAAGTATCCAGGCATAAATACTTTCCAGGCATAAGCGTCTGACCCTGTCATTGCCGTGCTCCAACACCTGCTGTGGCTCCCCATTACCCAGGAAGAAGTTCAAGCTCCCCATTGAGTTTATGAGAATTCCAGACCTCTCCATGTCCCTTTCTGCCCTCTTCCTCCCCATCTAAGCCCTAGTCCCATCCTGTTCCATAGAAATATAATGTGAGCCACATATGTAATTTTTTTTTGAGATGGAGCTTCACTCTGTTGCCCAGTCTGGAGTGCAGTGGTGTGATCTTGGCTCACTGCAACCTCCAACTCCTGGGCTCTAGCGATTTTCCTGCCTCAGCCTCCTGAGAAGCTGGGATTACAGGCCTGCATCATCATACCCAGCTAATTTTGTATTTTTAGTAGAGATGGACTTCCACCATGTTGGCCAGGCTGGTCTTGACCTCCTGACCTCAAGTGATCTGCCTGCCTTGGCCTCCCAAAGTGCTAGGATTACAGGCATGAGCCACCACGCCAGGCCCCACATTTTAATAATATATTTTTAGTACACTCCTTCTAAAATATTATCATCTCACTATGCAATCAATATAACATTTAGTAATAACATATTTTACCTTCTTTTTTTCTTTGTTCTATGTCTTCACCGTCTGGTGTGCGTACTTTCCTTTTATAGAGCATTTCAACATGATCTGTGTTTAGATTTTGTAAAATGTACAGTTTAAAAAATAGATATACATATTCGAGTTGTACCAAACATAATTAAAAGTCTTCCAGTGACTGAATTAAAGATCCGTGTTTAAATTTTAATTTTAACTAATTAAAATAAAATAAAATTTAAAATTCAGCTCCTTGGTGGCACTAGCCTATTTCAAGTGCCCAGCAGCCGCCTGTGGCTGGTGGCTGTGGCATTGGATGGCACAGCTCGGCCTCTTGACCGGCACTGACCACGCTTACCTTTCCTCGATGATGGAAGCCTTCTGTGCTTGCATCGCGCAATGGTGTGTGGCGTTTGAGCACTGAGGAACTTAATTTTTAATTCTGTTTACTTTTCACTGATTTAAATTTAGGCTGGGTATGGTGGCTCATGCCTTTAATCCTGGCACTTTGCAAGGCCTAGATGGGAGGATAGCCTGAGCCCAGGAGTTTGAGAGCAGCCTGGGGAACACAGCGAGACCCTGTCTCTACAAAACAACAACAACAACAACAACAACAACAACAAAACCAAGTTAGCTGGGTGTGGTGGTGGGGACCTGTAGTCCCTGCTACTTAGGAGGCTGAGGCAGGAGGATTGTTTGAGCCCAGGAAGTTGAGGCCGCAGTGAGTGGTGATTGCACCACTGCACTCTAGCCTGGGCAACACAACAAGATCCTGCCTCTGAAAACAAAGAAAGAAAGAAATGAAATAAAATGAAAATCAGCTTAAATGGCCACATCTGGTCAGTGGCGCCCCCTGCTGGAGAGAGCAGGCCTTGTCATACTGAGCTTCTGGCATTCCCCACACACGTAGTGGCCCTCTCGCCTCTGACCGAAACATTCGAACCTCACCCTAGTCTTTCTCTTGGCTGAGTCGCAAACATCAATTAGCTGTTAGGGGATGGCCCAGCTTGCCTCTGTAGTTCCCCATTCCAATAATTACATGTTTATTATAATAAATTGTTTAATTTATCTTCCCAGGTAGAGGGTGAGCGCCGTGAGGGCACAGACCAAGGCCATCTTGTTTATCACTGTCTCTCCAGTGTTTTGGGAGGAGTACACAGTGGGCATTCCAGAAGACTTATTGAATGAATGAATGAATGAGTGAATAGCCATGAATGGACAAATGAATATTCATAAAGGAATACATATTCATGAATGATCAAATGAATATCCATGAAGAAATGAATAATCATGAATGAGTGAATGAATGTGAATGAATGAATGAATGTGAATGAATGAATGTTCATGAATGAATGAAGTGCCACACTGCCTGGGACCCCACTGTGAGACAGTGTTCTTTGTGGTTGAGCATTGCCTTTCTCTTCTTTCTCTTCTTCCTCCCTTTTCAGGCCAGCAAATTCCCAACACCATAGTGATAGCTGCTATTTATGGAGCACTTAGAATGTGCTAGGAGCAATGTTTAGAACACTTGATGTCCATTAGCTTATTTCATCCCCATATCAATCCTGTAATGAGGGTAGGATTATTCACGGCATTTTAAAGGTGAAGGAGCTGAGGCACAGAGAGGTTTAGTAACTTGTTCAAGGTCACACACCCAATAATTGACAGAACCAGAGCTAGGCAACCTGGCTCCAGAGGCCACGGTCAAACCAACTACAAGAAGTGATTTTCCAGCTGTTTGGATCATACAGTAAGAAGTACGTTTTACATTCAGCACATTACCTCCCCACCCACGCCTGAAAAAAGTTTATAAAGTATTGCTTACATTATCACATGGAAAGAATCCTGGTGTGTTCTATTCTAGACTGTTCTTTTTTAAAAAAAAAAAATTATAGATGGGATCTCACTATGTGGCCCAGGCTGGAGTGCAGTGCTGTGATCATAGCTCACTGCAGCCCCAACCTGCTGGGCTTAAGCCATCCTCCCACCTCAGCCTCCTGAGTAGCTGGGACTACAGGTGCACGCCACCATGATCGACTAATCTTTAAAATTGTCTATAGAGATGTGGGGGGTGGGTGGGGGGGGTCTTGCTATGTTGCCCAGGCAGGTCTCGAACTTCTGGCCTCAAACGATCCTCCTGCCTTGGCCTTCCAAAGTTCTGGGATTACAGGCATGAGTCACCACACCGGACTTAGATGGTTCTATTTTATTCTATCTCATTTAAGAAGATGCTGGTTCTGACCCCACCAAAGCTATTTCATGACCCATTCCACTATACTATTTTTACAAACCTTCTAGTAGAGAACATTTCAAACACACAAACGTGGAGGGAAAATAGAGGCCTCCTCCCATGTGACCTTATCACTCACCAGCAATTTTCAGCATGTTTTTGTTTTTTGTTTGTTTTTTGAGATGGAGTCTTGCTCTGTCACCCAGGCTGGAGTGCAATGGCGCGATCTCGGCTCACTGCAACCTCCGCCTCCCGGGTTCAAGCGATTCTCCTGCCTCACCCTCCCAAGTAGCTGGGATTACAGGTGTGCACCACCATGCTCGGCTGATTTTTGTATTTTTAGTAGAGATGGGGTTTCACCATGTTGGCTAGGCTAGTCTCACACTCCTGACCGCAAGTGATCCGCCCGACTCAGCCTCCCAAAGTGTTGGGATTACAGGGGTGAGCCAACTTGCCCTGCCAATTTTCAGCTTGTGGTCAATCCTGTTTCTTGCTAACCCTGCACACTTCCCCACCTGTGAGTTTTGCAGCATCTCCCAGACTTGATATCATTGAATCTGTAAATGTTTCAATCCTTGTCTTAGTGTGCAGGAACTGCCGTAACAAAATACCATAGACTGGGCAGCTTAAAAAGCAAACACTTGGCCGGGTGTGGTGGCTCACGCTTGTAATCCCCGGCATTTTGGGAGGCCAAGGCGGGTGGATCACAAGTTCAGAAGTTTGAGACCAGCCTGGCCAACACAGTGAAAGCTCATCTCTACTAAAAACACAAAAATCAGCTGGGTGTGGTGGTGGGCGCCTGCAATCCCAGCTACGCGGGAGGCTGAGGCAGGAGAATTGCTTGAACCTGGGAGGCGGAGGTTGCAGTGAGCTGCGATTGCACCACTGCACTCCAGCCTGGGTGATAGAAATAGACTCCATATCAAAAAAAAAAAAAAAAAAAGGCAGACACTTATCTTCTCACAGTTCTGGAGGCTGGACATCCAAGATCAAGGTTCTGCTAAGACTGATTTCTTTTTTTTTTTTTTTTGAGACAGAGTCTTGCTCTTGTTGCCCAGGCTGGAGTTCAGTGGCACCATCTTGGCTCACTGCAACCTCTGCCTCCTGGGTTCAAGTGATTCTCCTGCCTTAGCCTCCCGAGTAGCTGGGATTACAGGCACGTGCCACCACGCCAGCCTTTTTGTATTTTTAGTAGAAATGGGGTTTTGCCGTGTTGGCCAGGCTGGTCTTGAACTCCTGACCTCAAGTGATCCATCCACCTTGGCCCCCGAAAAAGAGCTGGGATTACAGGCATGAGCCACTGAGCCCAGCCCTTCTAGGGTTGATTTTTCTTTCCCTTCCCCACTTCCACCTCCCCTCCCCTTCCCTCTCCTCCCCTCCCCTTTCTCCCTTCTTTTAGGAGACAGGGTCTTGCTCTGTCACCCAGGCTGGAGTGCAGAGGCACAATCATAGCTTACTGCAGCCTCAACTTCCCAAGCTCAAGGGCCGCTTCTCGCTATGTCCTCACACGACTTTCCTTGGTGCCTGTGTGCAGAGGCGCACTGGCATCCTCTTCCTTTTATAAGGACACCAATCCTATCAGATCAGGACCCCACACTCATGACCTCATTTACCTGAATTACCTCCTTATAGATCTCATCTCCGAATACAGCCACACTAGGGGTCAGGCTTCAACATATGAATTCAACTTACTGAATGTCTGGACACAAACATTCAGCCTGTAATGGTCTGTACCAGTTTTAGCAAAGATGTCCTCCCTCAGTGGGGAGAAGATGGGGATATCAGGTACTTAGAGGGCTGGAGTGAAGAGGACAGACAGAAAGGTGCTAGGGTCTGGCCATGCATGGTGGCTTATGCCTGTCATCCCAGCACTTTCGGAGGCTGAGATAGGAGGATCGCTTCAAGCAAGGAATTTGAGACCAGACTGGGCAACATAGTCAGACCCCATGTCTACAAAAAGTTTAAAAATAAGCCGAGGACGGGCTCGGTGGCTCACACCTGTAGTCCCAGCACTTTGGGAGGCCGAGGTGGGTGGATCACGAGGTCAAGAGATAGAGACCATCCTGGCCAACATGGTGAAACCCGGTCTCTACTAAAAATACAAAAATTAGCTGGGCATGGTGGCGCATGCCTGTAGTCCCAGCTACTCAGGAGGCTGAGGCAGGAGAACCGCTTGAACGCAGGAGGCAGAGGTTGCCGAAAGCGTCGTGCCACTGCACTCCAGCCTGGCAACAGAGTGAGACTCCGTCTAAAAAAAAAAAAAAAAAAGCCGGGCATAGTGGCATGCACCTGTAGTCCCACCTACTAAGGAGGCTGAGGCGGGAGGATCACTTGAGTCCAGGAGTTCCAGGCTGTAGTGAGCTATGATCGCACCAGTGCACTGCAGCCTGGGCTACAGAGTAAGACCCTGTCTCTAAAAGAAAAAAGGTGCTAAGGTCTGCTCACGAAGGTCTGGTACACCTGGAGAGGAGGAGAGGGAGGCAGGGGAGGTAACAGGCCCTGTCTGTAACGCCAGCTGTAACAGAGAGCTGTCTGCGGAGCATTCTGGGGTGTTAAGGGCCCCTGTGCTTTGTGCCTGAGAGGGACTGTACTCATGGGCTGGAATGAAGACCTCAGGAGACCTGAGCTCCTGTTCCCCAGGATCACCACATGGCTTAGGCAAGCTGATTGTCTTTCTGACCTCAGTTTCCCCTCCGTAAAACCAGAAGTTTCAGATCAGCATGCCCAGCTCATCGATTCCTGGATTTCCACCACTGCGGCTCAAGATCAGGGCTTGCACACAGGCAAATGCCAGCAGGTCTCTCCAGGTTGTGCGTTTTTATTTTTTTAGAGACAGTACCTCACTGCAGCCTTGACCTCCCAGCCTCAAGGGATCCTCCTGCCTTAGCCTCCCAAGTAGCTAGGACTACAGGTGCATGCAACGATGTCTGGGTACATTTATTTTTCTTTTTTGTAGAGATGGGTGGGGGAGGGTCTCACTATGTTGCCCAGGCTGGTCTTGAACTCTTGGCCTCAAATGATCCTTCTGCCTTGGCCTCCCAAAGCACTGGGATTATAGGCATGAGCCATTATGCCAGGCCCTCTGGGTTGTTTCTGGGAGGATGGAGGGATCCAGTGTCTTAGGGGAGGAAGTTGAGGGCCACCTGGAGCAGGGCTGGAAGGGGGCATAGTCCTTGCTGATGGGGAAGATTACGTTAGAGATGGGGGTGGGGAGTGGGGGAGGGGGTTAGCAACCCCCTGATGGGCCATTCTGATGAAAAGTGGAGTGTTAAGACCAGGTCCTGAGGGGGTAGGAGAAGGGGTCAGGGACAGCTCTCAGAGGCAGGATTGGCTGAGGGACGTCCAGGGCCAGGTGGCCTTGTTTCAGTTTAAAGGTGTCCAGGGCTGTGCTGGAGCCCGGAAAAAGCCGCCTACAGGCAGCGTTGAGTCCCTGAAGCTCTGTGGATGTGACGTCTGGCCGAGAAGGACGGCTGGCACAGGGCACTCCCTGTAGCAGGGCAGATGGAGAATTCAGCGAGAGCCAGAACTGAGTGCCAGATGGGCCTGGAGCCGTGTCAGCCTGCTGAGAATCCCCGGAGAGCCGACGGGCACCAAGCCCAGTGTTGTTGAAATGTGGCAGGACAAGGTGACCCCAGATGGCCGGCAGGCTTGAGGGTGAGGAAGAGGCTGGCAGATGGGCCAATGGTGGGAGAAAGTCTGTGCTGTGATTTCAGCTGGGTTCCCCAAACTCGCCCCCGTGCTTGCACACGGCCAGCAGGTACGCACACCTGTGTAGGTGTGCACACCACGGTGCGACCGCAGACACGCAGACACCTGGGGCGGCAGGCCTGCCTCCGCCTCCAGCTCTCACCACCGACATCCTCTGTTCCTAGAGGTGTGTTGTCCTAGAAATCCCTTTGCCGTTCGAGGATTTCTTGGATGCTGCGGCCAATTTTCATTCCTGCCACGAAGCTTCTCCGCAGACCCTGCCAGGAACATCTCTTTTTCATTTATTTCGGGCACAGGAGAAGCAGCAAGAGGAAGAACCCTGCAGACGTCTCCGTGGTATTTTCATCAACACGGCAGCCTCCTGAGCACGTACACCCTGAAGCCAGGGCCTGGCTCCAAAGAGCGGTGGGACCAGAGCCCCTCGCGGGGAGGCAGGGAAGCTGTGTGGAGGGGAGCACACCTCCCTCCCTCCCTCTCTCCTTCCCTCCCTCCCAGATCTGGCCCTTAGCACCTGCCTGACTCCCATGTCTTCTGTCCTGTGGGGGCAGGGGCCATGACTGGGTGCTCCACCTTTGTAGCTCCAGTGCCTAGGATGGAACCTGGCCCACTGGGTTGTGTTAGTTCAGGTCCTTTGGAATCAGAAGTCAAGAGAGATTTTATTTGGGGAATCACCTATATAGTGAATTAAATAATGTCCTTCTCAAAAGTTTATGTCCACCCAGATCTCAGAATGTAACTATTTGGAAACAGGGTTGTATTAATCCATTCTTCCCCCTACTTTTTTTTTTTTTTTTTTTTTTTTTTTTGAGATGGAATCTTGCTCTGTCACCCAGGCTGGAGTGCGATGGCGCCAACTCGGCTCACTGCAAGCCCTGCCTCCTGGGTTCAAGGGATTCCCTGCCTCAGCCTCCCAAGTAGCTGGGACTACAGGCACCCCCACCACACCCGGCTAGTTTTTTGTATTTTTAGTAGAGACAGGAGTTCACCATCTTGGCCAGGCTGGTCTTGAACTCCTGACCTCGTGATCCACCCACCTCGGCCTCCCAAAGTGCTGGGATTACAGGCATGAGCCACCACGCCTGGCCTGTATTAGTCCATTTTGTTTTGCTATATGGGAATACTTGAGGTTGGGTCATTTATGAAGAAAAGAGGTTTATTTGGCTCACGGCTCTGTGGGTTGTGCAAGCACAGCACTGGTGTCTGCTTCTTGTAAGAACCTCAGGAAGCCTCCAATCATGGCAGAAGGCAAAGTGGGAGCAGCCAGGTCACATGGCGAGAGAGGGAACAAGAGAGTGAGGAGGAGGTGCCAGGCTCTTTTTACCAATCAGATCTCACAGTAATTAATAGAGCAAGAATTCACTCATGACCATAGGGTGGGCACCAAGCCATTCATGAGGAACCCACTCCCACGACCCAAACACCTCCCACCAGGCCCCACCTTCAACATGGGGAATCATGTTTCAACATGAGATTTGGAGGTGACAAACATCCAAACTATACAACGGTCTGTGCAGGTATAATTAGTTAAGAATCTCAAGGTGAAATTATCTTGGATTTAGGGAAGACTCTAAGACCAATGACAGGTGTCCTTAGAAGAAGAGCTTAGAACACTGACATGCACAGAGAACAAAGCCATATGACAAGACAGACAGGGATTGGAGCAATGGGTCAACAAGCCAAAGAACACAAGGATTTGCCAGCAGTCACTAGAAGCTAGAAGAGACAGCCAGGCATGGTGGTGGCACATGCTTGTAGTCCCAGCTACTCGGGAGGCTGAGGCAGGAGAATCTCTGGAACCTGGGAGGCGGAGGTTGCAGTGAGCCGAGATTACACCAAGATTGCACTCCAGCCTGGACATCAAAGCGAGTCTCCATCTCAAAAAATAAAATAAAATAAAATAAATTTAAAAATAGGCCAGGCACGGTGGCTCACGCCTGTGATCCCAGCATTCTGGGAGGCCGAGGCGGGTGGATCACCAGGTCAGGAGATCGAGACCATCCAGGCTAACATGGTGAAACCCCGTCTCTACTAAAAATACAAAAAAACAAAATTAGCCGGGCATGGTGGCGGGCACCTGTAGTCCCAGCTACTCGGGAGGCTGAGGCAGGAGAAAGGCATGAACCCGGGAGGTGGAGCTTGCAGTGAGCCGAGATCACGCCATTGCTCTCCAGCCTGGGCGACAGAGTGAGACTCTGTCTCAAAAAAAAAAAAAAAAAAAATCAGCGCAGGGAAAGGATGCAGGGGGCAGAGTCCAGGAGGATTCAGCACATGGAGTTTCCAGTTGTCCCGTCCTTTGGAGTCATGGCTAGCATTCCCAACAATGATGCGTGACGACGTGCATGGAGTATTGCTAACCAGGGCAGCTCACCTGAGCCTTGGTGTCCAGTTTTTACTGGGGCTTGGTCATATAGACATGGCTGATGCCTGATGTGGCTGACAATCCCCATCCCCTCTGGAGGTCAAGCTGATGCTGTGTAGCCCAAAGCCTCCACCATAAGTCATGTACGTTGTTAGATTGCATAGCCCCAGGCCCCCAGGTAAACGAAGACATTCTTACCAGACAGGATGTTCTAAGGGCTTAGAGCTCACCTCCCGGGAGCTGGTGGTAAAAGCCATACCACTCTTTGGATAAAGTTAATTCTTTTTTTATTTTTATTTTTTATTTTAATTAATTAATTAATTTTTGACACAGAGTCTCGCTCTGTCACCCAGGTTGGAGTGCAGTGGTGCAATCTTGGCTCACTGCAGCCTCCACCTCCCAGGCTTAAGCAATCCTCCCACCTCAGTCTCCTGAGTAGCTGGGATTACAGGCACCCGTGACCACGCCCGGCTAATCTTTGTATTTTTAGTACAGACAGGGTTTCACCCTGTTGACCAGGTTGGTCTCGAACTCCTGGCCTCAAGTGATCCACCTGCCTCGGCCTCCCAAAGTGCTGGGATTACAGGCGTGAGCCACCGTGCCTGGCCATCTTTTATTTTTATTTTTAAATTAATTGTTTATTTTTTGAGATGGAGTCTCACTCTGTCACCCAGGCTGGAGTACAGTGGTGTGATCAGAGCTCACTGCAGCCTCCAACTCCTGGGCTCAAGCAATCCTCCTGCCTCAGCCTCCTGGGTAGCTGGGACTACAGGTCCACCACCATGTCTGACTGATTTTTAAATTTTTTTTGTAGTGATGATATCTTGCTATGTTGCCTAGGCTGGTCTCAAACTCCTGGCCTCAAGTAATCCTCCCACCTTGGCCTCCCAAAATGCTGGGATTCCAGGCGTAAGCCACTGCACCTGGCCTAGGATAAGGTTAATTCTTTACTACACACAAGTCAAGGGACCTCAAACAAGATACTAAAACCTCTCAGCACCTCAGTGTCCACATCTGCAAAATGGGCATGTGAGCACCTTCCTTCTAGTATTGTCAGGAGGGGGATTATGCAAAAGAGCATCTAGGAAAGGTTCCAGTCCAGGGCCTGCCATACAGCAGGCACTCAATGCACTCTTTTTTTTTTTAACGGAGCCTCATTCCGTCGCACAGGCAGGAGTGCAGTGGTGCAATCTCGGTTCACTGCAATCTCTGCCTCCCGGGTTCAAGCGATTCTTGTGCCTCAGCCTCTTGACTAGCTGGGATTACAGCCGCCCACCACCACACCTGGCTTATTTTTGTATTTTTAGTAGAGACATATTTTTGTGATGTTGGCCAGGCTGGTCTTGAACTCCTGACCTCAGGTGATCTGCCCGCCTCGGCCTCCCAAAGTGCTGGGATTACAGGCATGAGACACCACACCCGGCCAATAAACTCTTGTTCAATGAACGAATGAAGGAAGGTAGGGAAGCCCCCAGCCTGGCCCCTTACACAGGCTAGTCCTTTGGAAGGGAAGGCGGCCCCTGGAGAGCAGTGCTGGCTCAGCCTGCTGCCTGATTCACAGGTGACTCATCCCCAGCTTTAGGACAAGATCTAAGGGGCCTTGGCTGGGTGCGGGGTTCTTAAAAGGTGAGCTGACGTCCCAGTTGCAGAGTAAGAACTGAGCTCATTACGTGTGGCCTTTTTGATGAATTATAAAAAGCCTGAGCCTCATGCTGAGAACGCAGAGAAGGGATGTGAGGCCACCAGCAGATGTATACATTTTATTTCTGAAGTGAGAGGAATTCTGGCTTTACTGGGAGAAGTAAACTTTGTGCAGAATGACTGAGCAGGCTGAGGGCTGAGAGGTGCCATGCCACAGTCAGGGCCCCGTCAAGGAGAAGGCAGTGGGGCCAGGTGTCATTGTGCCTTTTAGGAGACAAGTCCAGGGCTGTGTCATCTGCTGGCAGTGAGAAGTCAGCTCTGAGCTCCTCCCCGAAGGTGGTTTTTCCTTTTTCTACTTTGAGAAATGTGCTGGCAGGCATGGATTTTTTTTTTTTTTTCTAGACGGAGTCTCGCTCTGTCACCCAGGCTGGAGTGCAGTGGCATGATCTCAGCTCACTGCAACCTCTGCCTCTCGGGTTCAAGTGATTCTCCTGCCTCAGCCTCCTGAGTAGCTGGGATTACAGGCACGTGCCACCACGCCCGGCTAATTTTTGTGTTTTTAGTAGAGACAGGGTTTTGCCACATTGGCCAGGCTGGTCTCGAACTCCTGACCTCAGGTGCTCTGCCTGCCTCAGCCTCCCAAAGTGCTGGGATTACAGGCGTGAGCCAGCTTGCCCAGCAGGATTCAAAGATTTTCTATTTGTGATTGGTTAAGGAGGCAAGGCTTTGTCTAAAAAATTGTGGACAGGGCCTGACATGGTGGCTCATGCCTATAATCCCAGCACTTTGGGAGGCCGAGGTGGGCAGATCACTTGAGGTCAGGAATTCAAGACCAGCCTAGCCAACGCAGCGAAACCCCATCTCTACTAAAAATACAAAAATTAGCCGGGCGTAGTGGCACGCACCCATAATCCCAACTACTCAGGAGGCTGAGGCAGGAGAATCACTCAAACCCAAGAGGTGGAGGTTGCAGTGAGCCGAGATCACGCCACTGCACCCCAGCCTGGGTGACAGAGCGAGACTCCATCTCAACAACAACAACAAAAAAGAAAATTGGGGAGAGTAGAAAAGAATGTTAGCTCTGGTCTGTGGGTATGACCTTCTCCAGGCCCCTCAGGAAGAAATTTAGAACAAAGAACTGTCAGAGTTCAGTGCTCAGTTCCCCCTTATCTGAGGTCTACCTGCCAGCAGCAGGTCCATTTGGCAGGAGCCCAGGTTTCTGAAAAACTCAAGGACATCTTTGGTTCCCATCAGGAACTAAACATCTTGTGATTTCCTTGGCTATTGCTTTAAGCTACTATTACCTTTTTGGTTATCAAGTTGCTCATTTACTGCTCAGGACTAGCTAGGTGCCTGAACTTTCCCTTGAAGGAACTCAAGATTTTCCTTTATTTCCATGCTTGGAGGGGGAGGGTGCCCACCAGGCCCCTAATAGGGCCTCTGCTTTATCGCATCTTCAGGGAGGGCTTTCTAGTGGGCCCGTAGCCAGGAGGACAGGTCCTCCACGACCCACCCTCAAAGTCCATGCCTGGCCTGGCATGTTAGCTCATGCCTGTAATCCCAGCACTGTGGGAGGCTGAGGCGGGCAGATCACCTGAGGTCAGGAGTTCAAGACCAGCCTGGCCAACATGGCAAAACCCCGTCTCTACTAAAAATACAAAAATTAGCCGGGTGTGGTGGCACATGCCTTTTAATCCCAAGAATTGCTTGAGCCCGGGAGGTGGAGGTTGTAGTGAGCCGAGACTGCGCTACTGCACTTCAGCCTGGGCAACAGAGCAAGACTCTGTCTCAAAAAAAAAAAAAAAAAAAAAGTGAAGGTTGCCAATAGGATTTGTGAATAGATTGAAGGTGAGGTTTGAGAAAACATGAGAGAGGTCGAGAGGTCGAGAGGTCCAGGGTCTCCCTGAGGTTTGGCCTGAGACACCAGAAAAGTGGAGTTGCCATCAACAGAGATGGGAAGGCTGGAATGAGGAGGTGCGAGGGAACAAAGCTGGAAGACCAGTGGGTCCACAGGTGCCTATGGGGAGACGTTTCAGGAAATAGGAAGAGGAAGTGGAAGATCCAGTGATCACCACCACCCACTGCCCACTACCATCCTTCTCTGAGCTTGTCTTGTTACCAAACCAAATTGAGATCCTCTCACCCAGCACAGTAACGCTAAACATCCACACCACAGTTTGCAGTGGGAGAAGTGAAGGCATTCATTGCGGGGCTCCAAGCAAGGAGAGGGAGGTTACAGTCAAAGCTGTCAATCAATACATGGAAGTTATACCTTGGTTTCACCTAAAAAGGTGAGACATCTCAAAGCAGGAGCCCACAGGCCATAGGAGGATTCAAAGATCTTCTTTTTTTTTGTTTTTTCTTTTTTGAGCTGGAGTCTCACTCTGTCACCCATGCTGGAGTGCAGTGACGCGATCTCAGCTCACTGCAACATCCGGCTCCCAGGTTCAAGTGATTCTCCTGCCTCAGCTTCCTGAGTAGCTGGGATTACAGGCCCACCACCACGGCTGGCTAATTTTTGTATTTTTAGTAGAGATGGGGTTTCATCATGTTGGCCAGGCTGGTCTCAAACTCCTGACCTCAGGTGATCCGGCAGCCTTGGCCTCCCAAAGTGCTGGGATTCCAGGCGTGAGCCACCACGCCCAGCCAACCTTCACAATTTATCCAGAATCTACTCATTTTTTTCCACCTCTACTGCTCTCACCTGGTCTGAGTCATCACCATCTCTTGCCTGAATGATTGCTGTTGTTTCTGCCCTTGTGCTCACCGTCTAGTTTCAGCACAGCAGCCTATTAAGACCTAGGTTGATTAGGCCACACCCCTGCCCCAAATCCTCCAGGTCTCCCAGTCTCACTTAAGGTCCCTGACCTGCTCCTGTCCGACTCCTTGACTTCACTGCTTGTTCACTGTGGCAAGGGGACCTTATAGGCAGCAGGGGGTCCAGAATGTGGGAAGTCCTGTCATGCTAGAGATGCCCATCCTGAAATCAGACGCCAGAGTAGGGATCTGGGCTTGAGGTACAAGGTGGTGTGGGATATAATGAGGTTTCTCGTCAAATAATCTGATCAATCTTTTATCCTTTATCCATAGTACCCGCCCCCCCCCCCACCTTTTTCTCCTTTTTTTCCTTTTTGCCTTTGTTAGATGTCCAGGCAGGCCACAGTACCAGGCGTTATCAGTACCAGCTCACATTCCTTTCCTTATTTGGAAAGAAGACTAACTTTCTTTTCTTTTTTTTTTTTTTTTTTTTGAGATGGAGTCTCGCTGTCGCCCAGGCTGGAGTGCAGTGGCGCGATCTCGGCTCACTGCAAGCTCCGCCTCCCGGGTTCACGCCATTCTCCTGCTTCAGCCTCCTGAGTAGCTGGGACTACAGGCGCCTGCAACCACACCCACCCGGCTAATTTTTTTCTATTTTTAGTAGAGACGGGGTTTCACTGTGTTAGCCAGGATGGTGTCGATCTCCTGACCTCGTGATCCGCTCGCCTCGGCCTCCCAAAGTGCTGGAATTACAGAGTGAGCCGCCGCGCCCGGCCAAAAAAGACTAACTTTCCAGATCATTACAGACACCTCTTCCCCTTCCTGTCCACTTTCTTTTACGTGCCCACCTTATCCAGAAAAAAAAAAAAAATCAAATGTCTAGTCAACCGGGATTAGTTTAGATTGTACGACCCAACCCCGGCCAATGGCAAAAGGGTGCAGGGGCAGGACTTGCCTCAGGAATAAAGGCTCTCGTGCCCCTTTGTTCAGGTGCGCTCTCGTGGCGACTGGCCAAGGAGGCACCCCTCTGCACAAAAGCAAAATTGCTTTGCTAAGGATCCTTTGTTCGAGTGTTCAATTTCCTTAAGATTTTGAGCGTTATTCCTAACAGTGGGACTCCACTCCGGAGGCGGGGCTCAAACACCACACCAAATTGAGGACTAGCTAAAAAAGGACTTCGGTGGAAGCAGCTTTCCATAAGACACGCCCACCAGTGTGCTATGTCAGTTTACCATTGCTGTGGCAACGCTCAGAAGTTACCGCTCCTGGCCGGGCGCGGTGGCTCACGCCTGTAATCCCAGCACTTTGGGAGGCCGAGGCGGGCGGATCACGAGGTCAGGAGATCGAGACCATCTTGGCTAACACGGTGAAACCCTGTCTCTAATAAAAAAATACAAAAAGATTAGCTGGGCGTGGTGGCGGGCACTTGTAGTCCCAGCTACTCAGGAGGCTGAGGCAGGACAATGGCGTGAATCCAGGAGGCAGAGCTTGCAGTGAGCCGAGTTCGCGCCACTGCACTCCAGCCTGGGCGACAGAGCAAGACTCCATCTCAAAAAAAAAAAAAAAAAGAAGTTACCGCTCCTTTCCGTGGCAATGACCCAATGATCCACAAGTTAGCACCCTTTTCCTAGAAATTTCTGCATAAACTGCTCCTTAATTTGCCTATAATTAAACGTGGGTGGTATAAATATGACTGCGGAATTGCCTCCAGGCTGCTGCTCTGGGTTCACCGCCTAAGGGTAGCCCTGCTTTGCAAGGAGCAATACCTCTGCTGCTGGCTGTGCACTGCCACTTTAATAAAAGTTGTTGTCTAGGCCAGGTGCAGTGGCTCATGTCTGTAATCCCAGTACTTTGGGAGGCTGAGGCTGGCGGATCACCTGAGGTCAGGAGTTCGAGACCAGCCTGGCCATGGTGAAACCCTGTCTCTACTAAAAATACAAAAATTAGCCAGGCGTGGTGGTGCACGCCTGTAGTCCCAGCCACTTGGGAGGCTGAGGCAGAAGAATTGCTTGAACCTGGGAGGTGAAGGTTGCAGTGAGCTGAGATCACACTACTGCACTCCAGCCTGGGCAACAGAGTGAGACTCCACCTCAAAAAAAAAAAAAAAAAAGTTGCTGTCTAACACCAGCGACTTGCCCTCGAATTCTTTCCTGAAGGAAGCCATGAACTATCCCAGACTAAGCCCCAATTTGGGGGCTTTCCTGTACTGCATTAGGCTCAGGAGGTGAGCAGGCTCCACCACTGCCAGTGCAGGAAACTCCCTATGAATAACTAGAGATCTTCCCATGGGAAATATAACACCACCATCTTGTTTCATGATGGCAGCCAGAAGCCCAAAGAAAACCCTCCCTGAATATGCATGCATGTGTGCACACACACACAGACACACACAAACACACACACACAGAGACATACACACACAGACATACACACACAGACACAGACACACAGACACACACACATACACAGACACACAGACACACACAGACACAGACACAGACATACACACACAGAGAGACACACACACACACACACATACAGACACACACAGACATACACACACAGACATACACACAGACACGCAGACACACACAGACACACACACAGACATACACACATAGACATGGACACACAGACAACACACACAGACACACACAGACACACACACACAAACACACCCACATACCCACAGACAGACAGACACACACAGACATACACAGAGACACACACACAGACACACACACACACACACTCACTGACTCCATTCGGCTCTAGGTCTTTAAATGAGATTTGATTCATTTAATCCTTACAATGACCCAGGAGACAGGTTACTACTATTATTTCCAGATGTGTGGGGTTTTATTATATTCTTTTTTGCAACATTGCAATTATTGTCAACAACAGTTCATTATTTGAAAATTCTTCCTGGGACAGGCAGACAAATGTGAAACCCAAGACAGTTGGGATGGAACAGAACTCCTGGTTTGTTTGGTGAATAGGAGCTCGGTAGGAATGAGCTTGGAAGAGTTGATGTCTCATTCTTTTTACTCCAGTTGAGTGTGGTGTGGAACCATTGGCAACTCTACAAGCCCTAACATTTGGCCATCGTGGGAGACTATGTTAATTCTAATACTAAAGCCAATGTGAGTTCTGTTCCCACCATGTACCAGGCCCCTTGAGGAATGCTTTGTTCACCCTGTCAATAACCCAGCATCATGGAGGGTGGGGACTTCATTGTACAAATGAGGAGACTGAGGCTCAGAGAGGCTAAGTAACTTGCTCCTCAGCAAAGCTGTGTAGCCAGCTCCAATCCCGGGAGATTCACTTTGATCTCTGTTTCCACTGGTCTCCACGAGGGCCTTCTATCCATGGCAGAGAAGACATGCAAACTCATGGGTAAGTCAGGGATGTTTCCTACCTCTCTCTGTGCCTGGTGAGAGGCACAGACTCTCTTCTCTGGGACTCTTGGCTGCTTAGCAACTCTCACTGTGTCTGGCCTCTTGTTCTCTTCTCATTTATACTTTTCACCAACTGCCAAGCCCTGTGCTCCCAGAGCCGCCTGTCATAATATTCCGGCAGCCTGGCCACCCCTTATCCAGACTCTCCAGGCTGTACCCAGGGACTGGTTTCCAAAAATACACATTGGCTTCAGCACGAGGCTGAAGGGCAGGGCAGCCGGGAATTGGGGGGGCTGGCACTGCAAGAGAGTCAGCCAGTAGCACTCTGGGATGGAAAATTTTACCCAAACTCATGGGGATATGGCAAGGATCAACTCTAGACTCTGGGGCTTATGAATGAGAATGGGCATCTTTGACATCAGGCATCCCAGTGTCTCACCTGCAACCTCTATTGGGCCTGAGCGGTGATGAGGAGGCTCTTTGCCATTGTGTAGGCACATCTGTGCATGGGGCCATAAAACCTAACGCATTTGCCTGCTGAGAAGACATTTTAATAAGGGCCACTGTGCACCGTTTTCAAGACAGGCTTCTCTGATGAATAGCTTAGATGAGCCTAATAAAGTTATAGGTGAATGGAAATTAGGTCTTTAATAGGTCCAGTGGCAGCTGGGGATTGTTCACATTGCCTTGTTTTATGAGATCAGGATAGAACATCCCCACCCCGGCCTTTCATTCCTTCAATCCCACCTTGGAGCAAAGGTCCTCATGGCTGAGACCTGTTCTGTTAACCTCTCCCAATCCTCTGATCTTCCATCTCCTATCTATCTATCTGTCTGTCTGTCTGTCTGTCTATCTATCTATCATCTATCTCTGTCTGTCTCTATCATCTATCTATCTATCTCTGTCTGTCTCTATCTATCTATCATCTATCTCTGTCTCTATTATCTATCTATCATCTATCATCTGTCTCTGTCTATCATCTATCTTTCTGCCTGCCCATCTTATCTATTTATCTATCTATCATCTATCATCTGTCTGCCTGCCTTATCTATCTATGTATCTATCTATCTATCATCTGTCTTTCTGCCTGCCTGCCTGTTTTCTACCTATCTATCTATCTATCTAATATCTGTCTCTATTATCTATCTATCTATCTATCTATCTATCTATCTATCTGTATCTTTTGTTAAAGACTGGGTCTTCCTTTGTCGCCCAGGCTGGAGTGCAGTGGTCTAACCACAGGTCACTGCAGCCTTGAACTCCTGGGCTCAAGTGATCCTCCTGCCTCAGCTTCCCAAGTAGCTGGAACCACAGGCATGTGTTACCATGCCTGGCTAATTTTTTTTTTAATTTATTTTTCGTAGAGAACTGAGTCTTTCTATGTTGCCCAGGCTGTTCAAACTCTTGACCTCAAGCAATCCCTCAGCCTTGGCCTCCCAAAGTGTTGGGATTACAGGCATGAGCCACCGTGCCTGGCCATCCATATCTTTTTGGACCAGATGGGCCAAGGGAGGTGTAGGTTGTCCCAGTCTGCCTCCGACCTGGGTAGAACAGAGACCTAGCTTTGCACCCACAGCATCTACTAGTGGTAACCAAACCAGGAATGAGACAAGAGTGGGCCTGCCTAGTGCAAAGGAGGGGCAAATCTGCATCTGTGAGAGCTGATTCCACTTGACAAATTTGTCCTGAGTTGGACTCAAACTTGTCTGGGGACAAACTTGTCCCCCATGTTCCTGGCTGGGCCACACATTCCAAGACAGACACTTGGGGAAAAGACACAGGACTGATGGACACAGCGAGGCAAGAGGGTGAGGGTTCCATTGTGGACTTCAGAGCCACAACCATCACCACCATCAGGTGACAGCTCCGAGGCAGGTCCAAGAGGATCTCCAGCACCAATATGGAAGACGCCATCTGTTTTCAAAAAGCTCCCAGTGCAACGTTGATCCCAGCTGGGCTTTCCATATTACAATCCAGCCCCTCCATGCTCTCTTCATCCTCCTCCATGCCTCCTTCTTCCACAGAAGGCAGGCCTGGGTCATGCACTATGTTTGCAAATGTCCTGGACAGTGGAGCCTCTTGCACCATCATGGAGTCCCCTTCAGTGGCTGCTGTCTGCACTGTGTCCCCCAAGTAGCACACGAAGTTTATTGCACGTGGAGATTCATCAGATCCCAGGCAGCTCTGAAGAAGGATGGGTGTCTGTGTGTATGCTGAGGGGTTGCTCCAAGCCATAGATCCAGTAAGTCGCACAATCAGAGTTGGGAACTCAAGTTTTCCGCCCTCTGCATCCCTTCCCCAACATTGCTGCACATCACGTCTTGGAATAATTTTTTCTTTTTTTTGAAATGGAGTCTCTCTGTGTCACCCAGGCTGGAGTGCAGTGGCACGATATCGGCTTACTGCAGCCTCTGCCTCCTGGGTTCAAGCAATTCTCCTGCCTCAGCCTCCCGAGTAGCTAGAATTAGAGGCATGCGCCACCATGCCCGGCTAATTTTTGTATTTTTAGTATAGACAGGGTTTCATCAGATAGGCCAGGCTGGTTTTGAACTCCTGACCTCAAGTGATCTGCCCACCTCGGCCTCCCAAAGTGCTGGGATTACAGGCGTGAGCCACCGCACCCAGACTGGAATAAGTTTGTTTTGATGATAGGAGCCCTGTTGCTGCCTTCAGGAATTTATACATCCTTTGAGTCATAGCATAGAAATCTGTGGTGTTGGGTGGCATTGTGGCTGTTTACTGTCTTTTGAAGACCCATACACATTTTGTGTAAATTAGGATAAAGAATAGTGGTGGAAATTTTTCCTAAAATGAAGGTCACTACAAACAACTTTTCCGAGTGCAAATGTCCACAGGGCTTCGCTTCTCCCAAAGGCAGAGGGTTTCAAAGCTTCTTCAACTGTGATGTAAGATGGTCAGGATGAATGAACGTCACAATGAATCAAAGCTCTCAGTAGCGATGTCTCAGCCTGTCACATTCATTTCTCAAGTTCATCTGATTGTCATTCTCATAACTGCTGCTGGCTCAGGCAAGCTGCAGTATTCATCCATCCTCCAGGAACGCATGCTGGGGACTCTGGTTTTGAGGATGAGTTAGACGTGGAGTTCACAGCCAAGGGTGGGAGGAAGAGGTGACACGAACTCAGATACTCTGGGCCTGGGAACTCAGGACCCAGGATGAGGAGTACAGCCAGGAGGGGACCTGGGCAGCACAGAGCAGAGAGATGAAACCTACAGGGGGATCTGGGTTGAGCAGGAGGTGACTTGGCAAAGGCTGCTCAGAAGGGCAACATTGGATATTCTCTCCACTCATTGAAAATGGATCATTTAGATTTGACCTTGGAACCCTCTATGAAGAGACAGTCTGCCAAGCAAGTGATTGGTAGAGACAAGGTTGCAGGGAGAAGGTTCATAAATTACATATTTGTATTTCACCAGTGTAGCTAAAACTGGATGCAATTTCCTCCTTTCTCCATTTTTTTGGCTTAATGAATATCAATCATTCAATATATATATTTTATATATTTTATATATATATACAGACAAACGTGTCATACTGACTAAGATTCATTAAGCCTATATATGATATATAATTGATATATACATGATACATACAATGATATATACATTGATATATGTACATGATATATACAATGTCTATATCACTGCCTATACATATATATAGGCAATGAAAGACAGGGCATTTGGGAGGCCCTGTGTATATGTATACTATATATATATATAGCCTATACAGGTATGCATATACATACATACAAACATATATACATATATAGGCTATATATATACACACACACATACATACATAATTTTTAGAGATGAGATCTCGCTCTGTTGCTCAGGCTGGAGTGCGGTGGCCCACTCATAGCTCACTGCAGCCTTGAATTCTTGGGCTCAAGCGATCCTCTGCCTTAGTTTACTGAGTAGCTGGGACTGCAGGCGTACACCACCACACCTGGCTAATTTTAAAATTTTTTTGGAGAGGTGGGGTCTCACTATGTTGCCCAGGATTGGTCTTGAACTCCTGGAGTTAAGCGATCCTCCTACCCTGGCTTTCCAAAGTGTTGGGATTACAGGCATGAGCCACCGTGCCTAGCTGAAATCTTTATACTATATGTTCTACCTCTTAAGAATAAATGTGGGCTGGGTGTGGTGGCTCACGCCTGTAATCCCAGCACTTTGGGAGGCCGAGGTGGGAGGATCACAAGGTCAGGAGATCAAGACCATCCTGGCTAACACAGTGAAACCCTGTCTCTACTAAAAATACAAAAATTAGCCGGGCTTGGTGGCGGGCGCCTGTAGTCCCAGCTACCTGGGAGGCTGAGGCAGGAGAATGGTGTGAACCCGAGAGGTGGAGCTTGCAGTGAGCCGAGGTTGCGCCACTGCACTCCATCCAGCCTGGGCGACAGAGCGAGACTCTGTCTCAAAAAAAAAAAAAAAAAAAGAAAAAGAAAAAGAAAGAACAAATGTGGCCGGGCATGGTGGCTCATGCCTGTAATTCCAGAACTTTGGGAAGCCGAGGTGGGCAGATTGTTTGAGGCCAGGAGTTCAACACCAGCCTGGACAACATGGTGAAAACCTGTCTCTACTAAAAATACAAAAATTAGCTGGGCGTGGTGGCACGAACCTGTAATCCCACCTACTCTGGAGGCCGAGGCAGGAGAATCGCTTGAACCCAGGAGGTGGAGGTTGCAGTGAGCTGACATTGAGCCACTGTACTCCAGCCTGGGCAACAGAGCAGGACTCCATCTCAAAAATAAATAAATAAATAAATGTACATTGAATCTTAATGTTTAAAAAATCAGTTTTCAAATACCATCAGGAATTTTTGAAGCAGATAAATCAAGCTGGCCAGGGAGTGGGTCAGCAATGACCAGGAGGCAGCACAGCAGCCCTGACTGCCCAGCAGAATCCCCTGGACTTCGCCAAAACCTCAGTGCTGCAGCCACCACCACCAACACCACCATTACCAACCACCACCACCACCACCACCACCACCACCACCACCACCACCAACCATCACCACCATCACCACCACCACCACCACCCACTACCATCACCACCACCATCACCACTACCAACCACTACCACCACCACCACCATTACCACTATCACCACTACCAACCACCACCACTACCACCATCACCACTATCACCACTACCAACCACCACCACTACCACCATCACCACTACCAACCACCACCACTACCACCACCACCACCATCACCACCACTACTACCACCACCACCACCATCACCACCACCACTACCACCACCACCACCACCATCACCATCACCACCACCACCACCACCACTATCACCACCACCATCACCACTACCAACCACTACCAACCACTACCACCACCACCACCATTACCACTATCACCACTATCAACCACCACCACTACCACCATCACCGTCACCACCACCACCACTATCACCACTACCAACCACCACCACCACCACCACTACCACCATCACCACTACCAACAACCACCACCACCGCCACCTCCACCACCTCTGCCAACCACCACCACCTCCACCACCCACCACCACCAGCCACCACCACCACCCACCACCACACCACCACCACCACTGCCAGACACTCTGATTTCTTTGGTGTTGGGTGAGACCTGGGCAGGGGGATTTAAGAAAATCTCACTAGATGATTTCACTGGAAAAGTAACAGTAGGCTGGTCTGGAAGTTAGGACAGCTGAATCTGCCTCCAGCTCTGCCCTGCCTTGTTGGGTGACATTGAAGCCACCTGGTTTCCTTTCTGAGCCTCAGTTTCTCTATATTTTCCTGCCTGGAGGCAGAGCTCCATACACTATAATCTGTTCCGCATTGTTACGGATGCTGGTGGTCAGTCACCCCTGGTTAGCAGAGATAGGCATTCACGTCTGCAGAAAAGCCACCCAGGAGGCAAGGATTCCTTTCTTTCTTTCTCCACCCTGGAGACGGCATCCCCCACAGCTCTCTGGGATCCTCTTGTCTGCTCCTGGCTCCCACAGCTTACAGCTGTTTTCACACAAAGCCTAAGACCTCCTTAGGCTTCTGGTCCTTGCAAGAGCCTTTTGTGGTGCATTGGGAAGTGGGAGAGGAGGCAGAGGGTGTACAGATGGGATGCGTACGCTTTGGCCTATTTTCCCAGCTTTCTCTGGCTCTGGCTGCTCCCCAGGGGCCTAGGGAGCTTGTGATCCATTTGGTGCCACAAGCCACGTTTTTGGCCTGTGTCCCAGTTTCTCCAGCCTGTGGGTTTCAGCTGTTCTCCTGCGGCCTGTAAAGCTGGAATTCACTGACCCCCCTCTCTGGGGGGTGGGTTTGGTTGCCATGGAGATGATTTGCCTCTCAGCATCTTACATCTTCCCAGGATGGGGCAGAGATCTGCGTTCAGATGTGGTCTCTGCAGGGAAGGGAGTCCAGCACAGCAACAATAGCATTAATAGCCGCAGTGACCCAAACGGGTTGAGTGCTTCCCCCAGCCCAGGCTCTCTGTGGCACCAGCCCTGAGCAGTCACTGCTGTGGACAGCCGTGGGGTATGGTGCTTGAGCACATTCAACAACCCAAGTGATGTTTTGTGTCTTTTTCTGTTTTCTGTGGCTATAACAGAAAACACAGACTGGGTGATTTACAAAGAAAAGATGTTTATTTAGCTCATGGTTCTGAAGGCTGGGAATTCCAAGAGCATGGCACCAGCATCTGGTGAGGACCTTCCTGCTGCATCATGACATGGTGAAAGGTGTCACATTGGGAGAGGGCAAGAGTGTGTCAGCTCAGGTTTCTCTTCCTCCTAGAAAGCCACCAGTTCCATCACGGGGGCCCCTCACCCTGATGGTATTATCTAATCCTATTGAGACAGGGTCTTGCTCAGCTGTCACCCAGGCTGGAGGGCAGTGGCGCAATCTTGGCTCACTGCAATCTCCGCCTCCCAGGTTCAAGTGATTCTCCTGCCTCAACCTCTCAAGTAGCTGGGATTACAGCTGCCTGCCACCACACCTGGCTAATTTTTTTTTATTTTTAGTAGAGGCAGGGTTTCACCATGTTGTCCAGGCTGGTCTCGAACTCCTGACCTCAAGTGATCCACCTGCCTCGGCCTCCCAAAGTGCTGGGGTTACAGGCATGAGCCACTGTACCTGGACCCCAGCACATTTTGAGCCTTTGCCACGCTTGCATTGGCTCACATTCCCCTTGGCAGGGTCACCTGGCTGAGCCCAACATCAATGGGGCTGGAGAGTTGTAAGTACATGCTCAATAACCCAACTGAGCCCAGCCACTTAGCAGTTGGGCAGACTGGGGCACATCCCCTGCTGTCTGCCATCCTCAGCTCCTGCCTCCCTAAAGTGGGAAAACATGCACAGCACCTGCTGGCTGTGAACATGAGTGCAGGTAAGGCCCAGTGCGTGACTGTGACCAGTCACCTGGGCCAGGTGTCACAGAGGGCAGTGCTGATGCTCTGTAAATCCCAGGATTTCTGTTCTCAGCTTGAGTGGGGAGACTTTCTTCTCCACGTTCTAAACAATTAGATATCAGCGTGGCCACCTAAAGCCCTGGTGGTCCACTCAGGCTTGCAACTGGGACACAGGCCAAGTCCTGACAGTAAGCATTTCCAAGGGGGACAAGAGGGATTTTCCTGGTTTGCTCCCCTGAGAGTTGTTCCTTGCTTTTATGTCCTTTCCGTGATGACTGTAATGAATCCTGACTCTGGTTTATATATTGTTTTTCTTTGTTTGTTTTTTGTAGAAACATGATCTCGCTATGTTGCCCAGGCTGGTCTCAAACTCCTGGCCTCAAGCGATCCTCCTGCCTCAGCCTCCCAGAGTGCTGGGATTATAGACCACTGGTTTATATTTACCGAGGACTGAGTTCTCTATTCTCTGCTCTTGTGCAGAAATTCCACGTGCAGGTAACGTCCGTTGCAACAATTTCAATCACCACAGTCGATCCTTACTGCCCCACACATCGCAACCCCCACAAAACTCACCTGTTCCTGATACTTCCACAGGACCTTCTTCCTCTTTCAAGAGCACTGGGAGGAAGGTATTGATCCACCTGGTGTTATTCTACACATATTTGCAGCTCAAAACCTACAGACACCATTGGATGCTTGCTGTGTATCAAGTCCTGGCTAGGTACTGGGGACCCAGCATTATCTGACGTGTCCCCAGTCAGGTGGGGGACACCTGGCTGTTGAGGGACTGACCTAACCTGTATCATGTCATTGGAATGATCTGTATATATTTCCTTTCTTTTCTTTTTTTTTTTTTTTTTTTTTTGAGACGGAGTCCAGCTGTCGCCCAGGCTGGAGTGCAATGGTGAGATCTCGGCTCACTGCAACCTCCGCCTCCCAGGTTCAAGTGATTCTCCTGCCTCAGCCTCCCAAGTAGCTAGGATTACAGGCGTGCACCACCATGCCTGGCTAATTTTTGTATTTTTAGTAGAGACGGGGTTTTGCCATGTTGACCAGGCTGGTCTTGAACTCCTGACCTCAAGTGATCCGCCCGCCTTGGCCTCCCAAAGTGCTGGTATTACAGGCATGAGCCACCATGCCTGGTCTCTGTATATATTTCTGCCTCCCCGGCCAGTGGGTAGGGCCCACATCGCACCCAACCTTCTCATATCCTTGGTAAACAGTTGACATCAGTGAGGGATGCAGGCTGGGGCTGAGTTGCAGTTTTCCTACAACATCACTGCTGCCTCCAGGGAAAGTTCTGGGTCCTTGGCAGCCTCCTCAGCATGCCCAGAAAACCTCCGTTTCATAACCAGAGTGGTCACCAGGAACCTCATGCCCTATGGGCCTCAGTCTTCCGTGGGCTGGAAAACC
Source organism: Homo sapiens (assembly GCF_000001405.40). Lineage (NCBI taxonomy): Eukaryota > Metazoa > Chordata > Mammalia > Primates > Hominidae > Homo > Homo sapiens. The sequence continues at coordinate 98,807,761 of NC_000007.14, read as the reverse complement.
AGAAGTCTGCTTTTTTTTTTTTTTTTAAAGTTCTGCTGACAGCCCAAGAATCTTGTGATTTATACGATTAATATGAGAAGCAACATCATTATTCTGTTAATATATTATTCATTTCACTAGTGATCTATTGTCTCCACACCCAGCTCCATGAGTCAACTTTCCCTCCCTGCTATTTTAACAGAGCTGCATTTTAAATGGCGAGAACAGTACATTAAACATGTATAAGATGTAATCTCATTTGGAATGCGCTCTTCCAGCTGATCTGCCTCATAAGCATAAAAACAACAATGCTGCCTGGTGTTATCGGGCCCCACACGGCTGGGCAGCTGAGAACAAAATCAGGCTCTAATTAAGGAATATGTTAAAACTTCTGATTTGCACCTTCTCTTTGCCGGTAAGAGGAGGCAGCTCTGTCCCCATGCTGCCTAGTTTTCAGAGGCCCCAATCTTGAAGTGCCCCTGCTATTCCCCATCCTTGCTAACCACACCCCTGATAAAGCACATGTGGGGAAAGAGCAAAGGTGGGGCTGCTCTCTGTACAGTGGTGCACTCCTGTAATCCCAGTGCTTTGGGAGGCCGAGGCAGGAGGCTCACTTGAGGCCAGGAGTTCCAGACCAGCCTGGGCAACATGGTGAGACCCCCCTCTCTACAAAAAATAAAAAATTGGCTGGGCATGGTGGTGCATGCCTGTAGTGCCAGCTACTCAGCAGGCTGAGGCAGGAGGATTGCTTGAGCCCAGGAGTTGGAGGCTGCAGTGAGCTATGATCATGCCACTGCACTCCAGCCTGGGCAGCAGAGTGAGACCCTGTCTTAAAAAAAAAAAAAAAAGAAGCAACAGGTAATGGTTGAGATTAAATGATTGTCTCAGAGGAGGATGAGAGCTTATCTCAGTTTGGGTTGCCCAAGAAGTAGACCCTGAGACAAGGAGTCAGAGGCACATAGTTTATTTGGAGGTGGCCTTCTCCAGGAAGAGGGGGGATGGAGTGAGGCTGGACATAGAAAGCAGCCAATAAAGAGCAAATTATCAAGGAAGTTACTGCTATGGGCAGCTGGAGCTCAAAGCTGCCAGGAAGCTCTGGGAGACAGCATAGACACACACTTCAGAGTTATCTACTCCAGGGGTGAGGGAGCTGGGGTACTGATACTCCAACAGTCTCAGCCAGCATTGATTGAGGACAAAAAAACAAACAAACAAAAACAATATATAAACCTGAATCAGGATTTGTTAGAGTCATCATGGAGAGGACATAAAAGCAAGGAATAGTTCTTAGGGGAGCAAACCAGGAAAATCCCTCTTGTCCCCCTTGGAAATGCTTACTCTCAGGACTTGGCCTGTGTCCCAATTGCAACTGATACTCCAACACCCCTTGAGGGCTTTTGGGCAGTCATGTGTTCAAGCACAGGCAAGCAGGCACTGGTGGTCAGAGAAAGCCATCAGGCCACAAGGTATGCAGGCTGGCAGTTGGAAGCCCAGTGGCCTGCATGGAAGTGGTAAGGCCAAAGGGAATATGAATGTGATTCCGGCAGCATCTGCCATGAAGCTTCATCCATCTGAAGGAAGTACAAGTGCATGGCCACGAAGATGGAACCTCAGACATGAGCTGGGGGTGCATGTTCGGCCCTGTCCAGTCCTGTCTGTGGCTTGGCTACTACAAAACTCTTTTCCTCTGGGGACTGGCCCAGCACAACTGGCCAGGATGACACATCTCTCTCCCCTCTGATTCCAACTCCCACTGCCTCCTTTGATCATTCATTCAGCTTGCCAGGAGGCTCCATTCCAGGAAAGGGGGTCCCAGATAGTAAACATGAGTATTGGGTCTGTGGGAAAAGATAATGCTTGTGAACCACCTGGAGATGTTTCCCATCTTCCTCCCATGAGTCAGCTTCCAAGAGATGTGGTTTGCTCTGTGCCCCAATAGTTCCCAGTATTTGGGTCACATTCTGGGGACCAGCCAGGCTGCTTTCTGAAAGATGCCTCGCTGCTCCCTTTCAGGCAGCAGCAGACTTAGGGCTGCCTCATCTTCCTCTTAGTTCTCCCTTTCTCTGTCTGCTGCCTTCACTGGCATGAGCTCCTTGGAGCATGGACTGTGCATAAGAAGTTCTGGTGAGCACCATAGGACAGGGTGAGAAAAAATGAATGAAAAAGAAGGTTCTGGTTTCAGTGCTCAGCCCAGGGGCCCATCATGGAGCATCAAATGAGCAATGGCTGGTGGCCTCCCCCCAAGATGCAACCCCATGCATTGACTAGACCACATATTCTCAATGGAGGTGACATTACCCCAAGGGGCCAAAATTGGTTCTTGGAGGAGGTGCTGAAAAAGTCTTAGCTATTATGGCCAGGTGTGATGGCTCATGCCTGTAATCCCAGCACTTTGGAAGGCCGAGGAGGGCAGATGACATGAGGCCAGGAGTTGGAGACCAGCCTGGTCAACATGGTGAAACCCCATCTGTACTAAAAATACAAAAATTAGCTGGGTGTGGTAGTACACATCTGTGATCCCAGCTACTTGGGAGGCTAAGGCAGGAAAATTGCTTGAACCTGAGAGGCAGAGGTTGCAGTGAGCCAAGATTGCGCCACTGCACTCCAGCCTGGGCGACAGAATAAGACTGTTTCAAAAACAAAACAAAACAAAAAATAAAAACAAATAAAAAACACAAACCACCACCACCACCAACAAAGTCTTAGCTATTACAATGATTTGTGGTCATGCAAAGTTTAACACTATCGAACTCAGTCTTATTCCTTAGTATTTAATTTCATGAGCAGTGGAGAGATTAGTTTAAAAATGTCCACAAATTCACAGAAATACTGGACGAAATGGAAGACGGCATTAATGAAATCAGCTCATCTTTTTTGTTTTTTTTTTGAGGTGGAGTCTTGTTCTGTCGCCCAGGCTGGAGTGCAGTGGCGCTATCTAGGCTCACTGCAAGCTCTGCCTCTCAGGTTCAAGCAATTCTCCTGCCTCAGCCTCCTGACTAGCTGGGACTACAGGCGCCCGCCACCATGCCCAGCTAATTTTTTGTATTTTTAGTAGAGACGGGGTTTCACCGTGTTAGCCAGCATGGTCTCAATCTCCTGACCTCGTGATCCGCCCGCCTCAGCCTCCCAAAGTGCTGGGATTACAGGCGTGAGCCACCGTGCCCGGCCGAAATCAGCTCATCTTTTTAGCTCATTTGTAATTCCATGTGGCTCAGACTCATGTGACTTTGAAGACCAGCTGGTGCTGGGGCCCAGACCTGTGGGATGGGTCTGTGGCAGAGGGGAGGAGGGGGGCTTGCGCCTCCCAAGAAGATTCTGATTCCAGGACCCCAGCATTGGAATGAATGGGTCCCCCAGGCCCAGGGGTGGCCTCCACAGCTCCAGGGAAGAGCTACTGAAGCCACTGAGTTCTTGACAGATGTGGCTCTGGGTTTATTAATTCCTCCATCAAAGACCACAACCCCCAGCCACGAGGGTGAGCAGGTTAGAATCCACTCTCCTTCCAACCATCTCCCAGTGAGTGGCGCTTTGTTCTTCTTGCTTGGGATGTTGGAAGACCAGTGTTAACTATGCTACCAGGGGAGCAGCATGTCATGTTCAGAGACATTGTCATATCTCGGCAATATGAATGTTTCATCCAACTTTTTGTTGCTTGCTAGCAAGCCAGCATGAAGGACCAGCTGCATGGCTCTATCTTAAAGTGAGGACACAGCTGCCCCTGTCCCCAGTTTTCATGGCCCTCGCTCCTTCCCCAACTCCAGACCTCAGGAATTGCGTGGCGGAGAGAAGGGGTTGGCCTGGGATCACTGAGGCAGCATCGTCTCCAGCAGCTGCCCCCATGCCGGATCTGTGAGGGCAGGCATCAGGGCTTCCCCAAGATGACTCCACCACCTGTCCTGTGCTCAGTGGAAGAGTGGCCAATGAGGCTGTTCGGCAATCTCAAAATATCCTCAGTTCAGAGCCCAGTTTTCCCTTCTGTGTGGCCTTTGCAAGGCACCTTGTCTCCCAAAGGCTGTTTTCTATTGTACAAAATGGGACCGCTTAGGACATGATATCTGCCTCCGAGGACTGTTTGAGGGCTGAATGAGGTATGTGCAGCAGGTAATGGAGACCGGAGCCCAGAATATGGCCCAGCTTGAGTGTGATCAGTGAAGACGTCAGGGTGACATGCACTGACAGTCCCTCATCTCTGGTTCCTGGCTTGCATGTCTGCAGACAGCAGCTACAGTTTGGCAATGTAGGCAAGAAGGATGGGTCTCCCTGGGGTATAGCCTCTCAATTTATTTTCTTTCTTCCTTCCTTCCTTCCTTCCTTCCTTTCTTTCTTTTCTTTCTTTCTTTCTTTCTTTCTTTCTTTCTTTCTTTCTTTCTTTCTTTCTTTCTTTCTTTCTTTCCTTCCTTCTCTTTTCTTACTCTTTTTTTCGTTTTTCTTTTTTTTGAGATGGAGTCTCACTTTGTTGCCCAGGCTGGAGTGCAGTGGCATGATCTCAGCTCACTGCAACCTCCACCTCCCGGGTTCAAGCGATTCTCATGTCTCACCCTCCCAAGTAGCTGGGATTACAGGCATGCACCACCATACCCAACCAAATTTTTTGTATTTTTTTTTTTGAGACAGTTTTCACCATTTTGGCCAGGCTGGTCTCGAACTCCTGACCTCAAGTGATCCGCCCGCCTCGGCCTCCCAAAGTGCTGGAATTACAGGCATGAACCACTGCACCTGGCTGAGCCTCTCAATTTTCAAGGAAAGTCAGACTCTGTGCAGAAGGGAACCCCACAGGATGTGGTAACGAAGTTTGCATGGGCTAGCCTGGGAACCTGACTGTTTGCATGAGCTAGCCTGGGAACCTGACTGTCCACATGCTGTGAAACCAGCAACTCACTCAATCTGCAAGAAGACCTGGGGGTGGGATTGTTCTCTGCTGGGCTCAGGCCACATCAGGGGCTCTTATCCAACCTTGCCTGCCCAGCCAATGGATGACAGTGAGCTGGGAGGAAGCTCATTGACTAGGAAAGGGTCTCCACCTCTTGCCTTCCTGGCCTCCATATGGACCCACTGTGTGACCCTGACCAAGTCCCCAAATCTCCCTTGAGTGCTGGGATGAATAAAGCTGTGCTGGGTGGCCTCCCAGGCTGCAGCCCAGATCCAGAGGCTCCATGATCTCCCACTATCACCAAAAGGTAACATCTGTGGGGCCCAGCTTGGGGCTCTGGTCTCCTGGGAAGTTTGGTCTTTTGGGTTCAGGAACTGACTCCAAAGACCAAACTTGGTTTGGCTCAAATTTGGCTGCTTAGCAGGGGAGATCCCTTGGCTCTTGTGGTCTGGGCTTGGCAGCCCTAAGCTGTTCCCCGAGCCATGTCATTACTCTCACTTCCTCCTCCCCTTTCCTCCCACCCCACCCCCATTCTACTCCCTCCCTGCCACCCACACACTCCCCTCTCTTAATGAGTCCCAGGGAGATGCTGCCTGCCTTACATCACCTTCCCCGTTGGCAGAAGAGAGGCCCCGAGAGCCCCTGGCATGCTTGGCTCTGCTAAGCGCGGCCCTGACTCAGGGTTTCCATGGTAATAGCACTCGCAACAACAGCCTTGGCTTGTTTCCAGGGCAGATGACAACCATGACAGCCAGTCAGACTGCGTCCAGCTGTGCCTGCAGCCAGAGGGGACAGGGATGCTGAGTAGGGGTGGCTCTCCTGCCCCTCTCTCTAGAGCCCGCCCAGGTTCTACCCTGGACTATCCTACTTGCCTGGACAAGGACAAGCTCAGCATGGATGTTAGGATGCAGGAGGAGCCCTGGATGGGGACCCAGGACCTAGGAACAGGCCAGGCCATATGGTTGTCTTGCTGTGCAAATTGGGCAGGACTGTGCCTTCTGTGGGCCTCTACTATACTAGAAGGCTGGGCTAGACCATGGAGCTTCAGGGCTGTCTGATTCTCCCAGGAGAAGATTCTTGGTATTGGGGGATAGTTTCCCCTCATTGCAGGGGCCAGCATTGTCCCTGCCTGGAGCCTTTCCTTCCCTATCTTCCAAGGCTAAGTGTGGGGTCTAGGCCCTTCTCTGTGGCCTGGAGGGGGCCTGGATCCAGGTGATTGGGCTAAGTGGTCTCTCTGTGAGATCACTGGCTCTAACCAGGGAGCTACCCCTCCTCGGAGAAGGCTCACTGTTGTTCTGATGCAGCCCTGTGTTCCTGTAGACTCTCATCAGAAGGGGATGCACTGTGTTGCAAGGGTTGCCCTGGAACCCCCAATATTGTGACCTCTTTGGGCTGTGCTGCTTCCAACAGTTCCACAATTCTTAGTTCCAAATATTACAGAAGAAAAAGTAAACTAGAGATGGTTAGAAAGGGGAGCCTCCCAAAAGAGCCTCCTACACTCGTGCCATATCATGGCAGTCACTTAAACACACGTTTCTCAAGATCATCTCCTGTTGACATTCCACATTAGGCCATTTTGCAGATTTCAGCCCTCAGGGAGGTAAAGCATGAGCTACTGCTATTTCACTTACCAATTGCCGTGTAGCAAAACTACCTCCAAAGAGCCATATTATGATCTCTCATAGTCCTGTGGGTTGGCTGGGCTCAGCAAGGCAGTTCTTCTGGTCCCACTAAAGCTTTTCGTGTGTTCTAGTTAAATAGTGGTTGGGCTAGTGTCATCCATAGACTGCTCACTGTAGTGCCAAGATCTCACTTCTCTATGTGGTCTTCCTGGAGAGCACCTGGACTTTTTAGATGATGGCTCATAGCTTCCAAAAATTTAGAATCTAAGAGGGAAGACGTGGAAACTCACAGTCCTCCTAGCTCTAAAAGCTGAGCCCCAGTTGTGCCTTTTCTGCTACCCTGCAGACATAAAGCTGGTTCAAAGTGGGAAAGAACCTATTTCTGAATAAGGTCACACCCTGAGCTTCCAGGTGGACATGAATTTTGGGTGGGTGCTACCTCTGTCAGTCCGTTCTCACACTGCTGTAAAGAAATATCTGAAAGTCAAAAAATAACACATGCTGACAAGGTTGCAGAGAAAAGGGAACACTTATATACTGTTGGTGGAAGCGTAAATTAGTCCAACCATTGTGGAAAGCAGTATGGTGATTCCTCAAAGAGCTAAAAGCAGCACTACCATTCAACTCAGCAATCTCATTACTGGGTATATAACCAGAGAAATATAAATCATTGTATCATAAAGACACATGCACATGAATGTTCATTGCAGAACCATTCACCATAGCAAAGACAGGGAATCAACCTAAATGTCCATCAGTGACAACCAGATAAAGAAAATGTGGTACATATACACCATGGAATACTATGCAGCCACAAAAAAAGAATGAGATAATGTCTTTTGCGAGAACATGGATGAAGCTGGAGGCTATTATTCTCAGCAAACTAATGCAGGAACAGAAGACCAAATACTGCAAGTTCTCACTTATAAGTGGGAGCTAAATGATGAGAACTCATGAACACAAAGAAGGGAACAACACACACTGGAGTCTACTTGAGGGTGGAGGGCAGGAGGAGGGAGAGGAGCAGAGAAATAACAATTGGGTATGGGCTTAATACCTGGTTGATGAAATAATCTATACAACAAACCCTGATGACGCGAGTTTACCTATGCAACAAACCTTCACTTGTGCCCTTGAACCTAAAATAAAAGTTAAAACAAAGGAAATGCCTGAGATTGGCTAATTCATAAAGAAAAGAGGTTTAATTGGATCATGGTTCTATAAGCTATACAGGAAACACAGCAGCTTCTGCTTCTGGGGAGGCCTCAGTAAGCTTCCAATCATGGTGGAAGGTGAATGAGGATCAAAGTATCTTACATGGCTGGAGCAGGAGGGAGACAGTGAGTGGGGAGGTGCTATGCACTTTTTTTTTTTTTTTTTTGAGATGGAGTCTTACTCTGTCACCCAGGCTGGAATGCAGTGGCGTGATCTTGGCTCACCACAACCTCTACCTCCTGGGTTCAAGTGATTCTCCTGCCTCAGCCTCCTGAGTAGCTGGGATTACAGGCATGCACCACCACGCCCAGCTAATTTTTGTATTTTTAGTAGAGGTGACATTTTGCCAAGTTGGTCAGGCTGGTCTCGAACTCCTGACCTCATGATCCACCCACCTTGGCTTCCCAAAGTGTTGGGATTACAGGCGTGTAATCCTGGCCAGCTACACACTTTTAGACAAGCAGATCTCACCAGCACTTACTCATTATGGTTAGGACAGCACCAAGAGAGAAATCTGCCCCCATAATCCAATCAGCTCCTACCAGGTCCCACCTCCAGCATTGGGGATTACAACTGAATATGAGATCTGGTGGGGGCACAGATCCAAACCATATCACTATCCAACCCACTGCAGGAGATAACAACCTAGGCTCATGGAGATGCTGGAGGCCAGAATCCAATTGTGCAAAGAGCATGCTTAGTATGGGACCGGCAACAGAAGGGGTGCTCAATACATGCAGGTCGTTATTGTTACACACAAACAAGAGATGCAAAAAACACTGCCCTGCGCCTTCCCAACAAACACTCCTCCAGGGGAAACCAGGAATCAGAGCTGAGTAAATGTGGAAATGTACTTTTGCAGACTCCACAAAGCTAAACTCCAATTTGTCTTTTTTTGAGATGGAGTTTCACTCTTTTTTTTTTCCCCAGGCTAGAGTGCAATGGCATGATCTCGGCTCACTGCAACCTCCACTTCCTGGGTTCAAGTGATTCTCCTGCCTCAGCCTCCTGAGTAGCTGGGATTACAGGCATGCGCCACCACACCTGGCTAATTTTGTATTTTTAGTAGAGATGAGGTTTCACCATGTTGGCCAGGCTGGTCTTGAACTCCTGACCTCAAGTGATCTGCCCGTGTTGGCCTCCCAAAGTGCTAAGATTACAGGTGTGAGCCACCGCGCCTGGCTCAAGCTCCAATTTGATTTAGATCCGTGCATTTCGGGCTTAAGGAATTTATATTTACATAGTTGCATCATCATCTTCAGCATTCAAGCACATGTTATCTGGCAGAAACCGTGCAAAGTATCTTCCATGAGTGATCTAATTTAATCCTTACAAAGAAGGTTCAATTATTATCCCTATAAAAATGGAGAAGAGGGGCCGGGCGCGGTGGCTCATGCCTGTAATCCCAGCACTTTGGGAGGCTGAGGCGGGCGGATCACGAGGTCAGGAGATTGAGACCATCCTGGCTAACATGGTGAAACCCTGTCTCTACTAAAAAATACAAAAAATTAGCTGGGCGTGGTGGCAGGTGCCTGTAGTCCCAGCTACTCAGGAGGCTGAGGCAGGAGAATGGCGTGAACCTGGGAGGCAGAGCTTGCAGTGAGCTGAGATTGCGTCACTGCATTCCAGCCTGGGTGACAGAGCTAGACTCCGTCTCAAAAAAAAAAAAAAAAAAAAATAGAGATGAGAGAAATGACACCCAGAGATGTGATTGCCCACCCCAGGTTACACAGTGGGCAAGATGGGTGCTGGGACTTGAATCCTCTAAGTCCAGGGCCCCTGCCCTTCACCAGAATGAAAAGAGCCTTCTCTCTCCTGCTCTTCCTGGCAGAAGCATTTGTCCTCAGAAAGGATAAAGACTTGGTCTATGCTGGGTGCGGTGGCTTATGCCTGTTATCCCAGCACTTTGGGAGGCTGAGATGGGAGGATTGCTGGACCCCAGGAGTTCGAGACCAGCCTGGGCAACATAGAGAGACTCCATTTCTTTTCTATTTTTTTTGAGACGGAGTCTCCCTCTGTCACCCAGGCTGGAGTGCAGTGGTGCAATCTCAGCTCACTGCAATCTCTGCCTCCCAGGTTCAAGCGATTCTCATGCCTCAGCCTCACAAGCAGCCTGGAACTACACACACCACCACGCCTGGCTAATTTTTGTATTTTTAGTAGAGATAGGGCTTTGCCATGTTGCCCAGGCTGGTCTCGAACTCCTGAGCTCAAGTGATCCGCCCACCTCGGCCTCCCAAAGTGCTGGGATTACAGGTGTGAGCCACCGCGGCCGGCCAGGAGACACTCTATTTCTACAAAAAATAAAAAAAAATTAGCCAGGCGTGGTGGTGTGCACCTGTGGTCCCAGCTACTCTGGAGACTGAGGTGGGAGGATCACTCGAGCCCAGGAGCAGGAGGCTGCAGTGAGCTATAATGGCGCCACTGCACTCCAGCCTGGGGCACAGAGCAAGACCTTGTCTCCAAAAAAGTTAAAAATAATTGTTTAAAAAGACTTCATGGACAAGAAGCTGCTCTGTCTGTCCATTTGGCCACATCCAGTCCTCAGGGCTCTCAACTCAGGCCCAGCATCCCTTGCTCTGCCCCATCTGCAAATGTGCAGTGACAGCATCTATACTCCTGAAACCCTCCGTCGGCCTCTGACACAGCGGAACACGAAGAACACCCTTGAGCTCCTTGGCCTCCTGCGTGGCATCAGCCCCATGCCTCCCAAGGGCCCCATTATCTAAATTTAATCTCATGTGACAGGTGCCCAGAGCTGTTTCTGCCTGGTGATTTATGGAGACAAAGTGGGCCCCCTTCCAGACCGAGGGTAGTCTGCCCCAGCACCAAGATATGTGGGAGAACTGGTTCCAGGTTTGCCAGGCACCCAGGGCGACACCCACTTGTCCGTTCTGCCCATCCTGGGGACAGCAAAGTCCCTGGGCTACTTTGGAGTGGCTTTTTTATTTTTAAGTGCAAATACTTTTATATTCAGCCCCTGTAAAGCTATCGGATATTTGAAAAAATTGTGTATTTTTGTTGTTTTCTTTTTGAGACGACGCCTTACTCTGTTGCCCAGCCTGGAGTGCAGGGGCATGATCACAGCTCACTGCGGCCTGAAGGTCCTGGGCTTAAGTGATCCTCCGGCCTCAGCCTCCCGAGTACCTGGGACTACAGGTGCACGCCACCATGCCTTGTTGCTTTTTAATTTTTTTTTTTTCTTTTGTAGGGACAGGGTCTCACTATGTTGCTTAGGCTGGTCTTGAACTCCTGGTCTCAAGCAATTCTCCTGCCTCAGCCTCTCAAAGTTCTGGGATTATAGTGTGAATCACTGCACCCAGCCATAAAAACTTTTTTTGTTGGTTTGTTTTTGAGACAGAGTCTCACTCTGTTGCCCAGGCTGGAGGGCAGTGGCATGATCTCGGCTCACTGCGACCTCCACCTCCCAGGTCCAAGCAATTCTCCTGCCTCAGCCTCCTGAGTAGCTGGGACTACAGGTGTGGGCCACCACGCCCAGCTAAATTTTTTTGTATTTTTTTAGTAGAGACAGGGTTTCACCATGTTGGCCAGTCTGGTCTTGAACTCCTGACCTCTAATGATCCACCTGCCTTGACCTCCCAAAATGCTAGGATTATAGGCATGAGCCACCACGCCCAGTTGAAAGTTTTTAAATGTGAACCAAAGAATCTAGTTTTAAGAACTTAGCTAGGAACAAGTGAGTTCTTACTCACATAATGGAGTTCTCCAAATGAGTAACAGGAAGTGTAAAATGAAAGGCACGTCCCTTAGAGATTTGAAATTCTTCTGTGGCACAGTCCTGGCTGTGCTCTTTATTGAAGAAGTCTGCAGTCATTTTCAGAATTCACTCTAGAAGCTGACTTTTTAATTTGGGCATCCATAAACTAGTCATGGCAAAAGACACACAAACAAAAACACCATCACGCCAAAAAGGATGAAGAGCCAGGGATCCAACCAGTAGGAGAGCTCGGGAAGCGCGTTTGCTCTGGACTGAGGCCTGGCCACTTCTGGGGACCATCCTAGCCATCTGCCACGCGCCCACCTCCACCTCCTTCCTGAAGACCCGCCGCAACCCTAGCACTTGAAAAAGCCCTACTTATTCATTTTTGTTGTGGTAGAATAAACACTATGAAATTTACCATTTTAACCATTTTGAGTGTACAGTTGACCAGGTGTGGTGACTCATGCCTGTAACCCCAGCACTTTGGTAGGGCGAGGCAGGAGGATCGCTTGAGGCCAGGAGTTTGAGATCAGCCTGGGCAACATGGTGAGATCCCATCTCTATTTAAAATACAAAAATTAGCCAGTGTGCTGGTGCTTGCCTGTAGTCTCAGCTACTGGGGAAGTTGAGGCACAAGAATTGCTTGAACCCAGAAGGTGGAGGTTGCAGTGAGCTGAGATTGCACCACTGCACTCAGCCTGGGAGACTGAGTGAGATCCGTCTTTAAAAAAAAACAACAAAAAAGTTAGCCAGGTGTGGTGGTGCATCCCAGCTACTCGGGAGGCTGAAGCAGGAGGATTGCTTTGGCCAGGGAAGTCAAGGCTGCAGTGAGCTGAAATCGCACCACTGTACTCCAGTGTGGGTGGTAGGGTGAGACTCTATCTCAAAAAAAAAAAATATAAAAAAGTAGTTCAGTAGTGTTAAGTATATTCACATTGGCCAGGCACGTTCGCTCATGTCTGTAACCCCAGCACTTTGGGAGGCCGAGGTGGGTGGATCACCTGAGGTCAGGAGTTCAAGACCAGCCTGGCCAACATGGTGAAACCCTGTCTCTACCAAAAAAAAAAAAAAAATTAGCTGGGTATGATGGTGGGTGTCTGTAATCCCAGCTACTCGGGAGGCTGAGGCAGGAGAATTGCTTGAACCCAGGAGATGGACGTTGCAGTGAGCCAAGATGGTGCCACTGCACTCCAGCCTGGGCAACAGCGCGAGACTCTGTCTCAAGAAAAAAAGTATATTCACATTGTTGTGTAAGGAATTTCCAGAACATTTTTTATCTTGTAAAACTGAAACTCTATCCATTAAATACTAACTCCCCATTTCCCTCCTCCAGCCTCTGGTAACCCCCATTCTAGTTTCTGTCTCTATGAATTAGCTTGCTCTAGGTGCCCCATTTAAGTGGAATCATTCAATATCTGTCTTTTTATGACTGGTTTATTTCACTGAGCATACTGTTCCCATGTTTTATTATGTTGTGCCATGTGATAGAATTTCCATCTTTTTTATGGCTGAATAATATTCCATGGCATGGTGCTTGCTTTGGCAGCACATATACTAAAATTGGAAAGATACAGAGAAGATTAGCATGGCCCCTGCGTAAGGATGACATGCAAATTCGTGAAGCATTCCATATTTTTTTTCACAATAGCGAAGACTTGGAATCAACCCAAATTCCCATCACTGATAGACTGGATAAAGAAAATGTGGCATATATACACCATGGAACACTATGCAGCCATAAAAAAGGATGAGTTCATGTCCTTTGCAGGGACATCGATGAAGCTGGAAACCATCATTCTTAGCAAACTAACACAAGAACAGAAGACCAGACACCATGTGTTCTCACTCATAAGTGGGAGTTTAACAGTGAGAACCCATGGACACAGGGAAGGGAACATCACACACCAGGGCCTGTAGGGTGGTAGGAGGATAGAGGAAGGATAGCATTAGGAAAAATATCTAATGTAGATGACGGGTTGATGGGTGCAGCAAACCACCATGGCATGTGTATAACTATATAACAAACCTGCACGTTCTGCACATATATCCCAGAACTTAAAGTATAACAAAAAAAAATTTCATGGCACGAACGTATCACACTGTGTTTATCAATTTATCTGTTGATGGACACCTGGGTTGCTTCTACCCTTTGGCTATTGTAAATAATGCTGCTATAAAATTGGTTATGGATTAGCAGGGCATGGTGGTGCATGCCTGTAGTACCAGATCCTCAGGAGGCTGAGGCAGGAGAATCGCTTGAACCTGGGAGGTGGAGGTTGCAGTGAGTGGAGATTGTGCCACTGCCTTCCAGCCTGGGTGACAGAATAAGACTCTGTTTCAAAAAAAAAAATTGGTTATTCAAATGTCTCCTTGGGCCCCTGATTTCGCTTCCTTGGGGTACAAGGCCAGAAGTGCAACTGCTGGATCTGTTTTTAAGTTTTCGAGGAACTTTGTTCATTTCTTGTGTGCACTGCTGTCTATGAATCTTCAGAGGAGCGAGGTGCATGCAGGGAAAAGTCTAACATTTCCTCCTGAAGGCACTACCGGCGTGGCATGGGGGTTGTGGCAGTGGGTGAGGACTATTGCCCCTCTCTCTTTCTTCAGGAATCGCTGATGAAAGCCGCCACTTGGATCTCGTCAAATTTTCAAGAGAAAGAAAAAAGGGGTTTTGATGGAAGGCAAGATGACTTCAGGGCTCCTCTGGAGAAATTTTGTGATTTGAGGAGGGAGGGAGCTGGAGGGGGTTGCTTTTACTCTGTTCTGCACAATTCAGGTCCTGGAGCTTGATCGCAAATGCTGGTTTTGCAGTTATCAGGATCCACCAGACAGGAAAAAAGTTTCCCATGTTCAAAAGTGTGGACTAGCAGGGGCAAGAGCCCAGTTTGGTGCATAGTGAACAAATGCTGGTGATTGTACTGCATTTCACAATGCACAGGCCACATCTTTGTAAATGCATCAGCTAAAACTCTCTGGACTTGAAATAACTGCTCTCCTACACATAGGTCCCCAGGGGGAAAATGTCTACTGTAATCCAGTTTTTAAATGGAAAAGGAGAAAGAAAAAGCCCTGGTGGCATTTCTGCTGCAGGAAATTATCAGCAACTTGCTCACGGTTTTGGAGAAAATCTTCCAATTGATACAACATGTATCAATCTTCCAATCGATACAACATTCTAATCTTCCAATTGATACAACAATCTTCCAATTGAGACAACAATCCAATTGATACAACCATCTTCCAACTGATACAACATTCCAATCTTCCAATTGACACAACAATCTTCCAATTGATACAACAATCCAATTGATACAACCATCTTCCAACTGATACAACATTCCAGTCTTCCAACTGATACAACAATCTTCCAATTGATACAACAATCTTCCAATTGATACAACATTCCAATCTTCCAATTGATACAACATGTCAAAATTTCAGGGAAGACATCAAGAGCAGTTTGCATGAGGTAGGGAGTAGAGTTAGCAAAAGCAGAGAAGGCCTTAGACACAACCGGCATGGAAAAGGCCATTTGGGGCCAGGTGCGATGGCTCATGCCTGTAATCCCAGCACTTTGGGAGGCCGAGGTGGGCAGATCACCTGAGGTCAGGAGTTCGAGACCAGCCTGGGCAACATGGTGAAACCCCATCTCTAGTAAAAAATACAAAAATTAGCCAGGCGTCATGGCATGTGCCTGTAATCCCAGCTACTCGGGAGGGTGAGGTAGGGAGAATTGCTCGAACTCGGGAGACAGAGGTTGCAGTGAGCCCAGATCGCACCACTGCACTCCAGCCTGGGCAACAGAGCGAGACTCCGTTTCAAAACAAACAAACAAACAAAAAACCGAAAAACAAAAAATAAAAGGCTGTTTGGGGGTTAGGGAAGGATTTTTTAAATTGGTAGGAAGCATGGGAAACTATCGGAAATTGCTTTTATTTTACTTTATTTATTTATTTATTTTTTAGAGACAGGGTCTTTCTCTGTCACCCAGATTGAAGTGCAGTGGCACGAACACAGCTCACTGCAGCCTCCAATCCTTAGGCTCAAGCAATTCTCCCACCTCAGCCTCTCCAGTAGCTGGGACCATAGGTCCACTCAACCATGCCTGGCCCATTTTAAAATGTTTTGTAGGGCCAGGCAAGGTGGCCCACGCCTGTAATCCCAGCACTTTGGGAGGCCAAGGCAGGAAGATCACTTGAGGTCAGATGTTCAAGACCAGCCTGGGCAACATGGCAAAACCCTATCTCTACTAAAAATACAAATACAAATAATAATAATAATAATTAGCTGGGGATGGTGGTGTGTGCCTGTAATCTCAGCTACTCAAGAGGCTGAGGCAGGAGAATTGCTTAAACCTGGGAGGTGGAGGTTGCAGTGAGTCAAGATTACACCATTGCACTCCAGCCTGGGTGACAGAGCGAGACTCCATCTCAAAAAAATAAATAAATACAAATACAAATAAAAAATTAATAAATAATAAATAAGAATAATAGAATAAAAAACCTTTTTGTAGACACAAGGTCTCACTATGTTGCCCAGGGTGGTCTTGAACTCTTGCCCAGAGAGGTCCTCAAGCGATCCTCCCACAGGAGTCTCCCAAAATGCTGAGATTATAGGCGTGAGACACAGCACCTGGCCTAGAGAATGCTTTTAAATCCCAGAAGATGCTTTTCAATCACTTCTTGCCTTGCAATGAATCTGACACCTCTCTCTTCTGATCCCTCTCTCAGGCTGTCAGGAGCTCCTGTTCCTGGGTCCTCGCCGGTCTCTGGAGGACCTGCCTCCTGTTTTCAGGGCTGTGTCTTTCCCAGGTAGATGGACCCCAGGGCCTCTGAGGATGTTCCAGGAGGAATTCTCACCAAGAGGCTCAGGTCAGCAAAAGAAAAATGTCAGGGGGCAGAAATCACTCCCCTGCCCCAAGTCCAATGGAATCAGCTGTAGGAAGGAATTCTAAACACATCCCTGCCTGAGCTCTGTTCCTTCCCAGCCAAATGATGTCTGCATGGGGCAGTGTGGAGGCAGCAACACCAGGACCCCTGACGTGGGCTGCAGGCTCTCCAGGCACTCCTGGGCTGGCACCGGATGTTGGCTGGAGCTGTGGGCACAGCAGCCCCGGGATTCCTGCCCAAGGCTCACTTTGCCCATCATTGGAGGCTTGAGGGAGATTGTGAACCAGCTCAGAGCAGCCGAGTCATAAATCCAGGCTTGCACAGGGTGCAACAGAATTACTTCCTCTCTGGAAGAACTCACTGCAGTCATTCAGGAGGGTTTGCTGGTGGAGAGAAGGGTTGACTGTGGAAAGACACCAGAATTCTGGTGTTTTCTCCATGTCGTCTTGCCTTCTCAGTCACTCTGAAGAAAGAACTCATGCTTGCCACCACTTAATAACCACCTCTTATGGATCTGGCCATCTCTGTGCAGCATCTCATCTCTCATTTTTTTTTTTTTTTTTTTTTGAGACGAAGTCTCACTCTGTCGCCCAGGCTGGAGTGCAGCAGCACGATCTCGGCTCACTGCAACCTCTGCCTCCCCAGTTCAAGAGATTCTCCTGCCTCAGACTCCCAAGTAACTGGGATTACAGGCGTGCACCACCACACCTGGCTAATTTTTGTACTTTTAGTAGAGAGAGGGTTTCACCATGTTGGCCAGGCTGGTCTCGAACTCCTGACCTTATGATCCGCCTGCCTTGGCCTCCCAAATTGCTGAGGTTACAGGCGTGAGCCACCGCGCCCAGCTTGCATCTCATCTCTTATGGGCTGAATGGTGTCTCTCTAAAATTCATGCATTGAAATTGTACACCCCAGTACTTGAGAATGTGGCTGTGTTTGGAGACAGGGTCTTTAATTAATTAATTAATTAATTAATTAATTTTTTGAGATGGAGTCTCACTCTGTCACCCAGGCTGGAGTACAGTGGCGTGATCTCGACTCACTGCCACATCTGCCCCACCATGTTCAAGTGATTTTCATGTCTCAGCCTCCTGAGTAGCTGGGATTGCAGGTGTGTGCCACTGTGCCTGGCCAATTTTTGTATTTCTAGTAGAGACGGGGTTTCACCATGTAGGCCAGGCTGGTCTTGAACTCCTGACCTCAAGCGATCCACCCACCTCGGCCTCCCAAAGTGTTGGGATTACAGGCGTGAGCCACCATGCTCAGGAGACAGGTCTTCAAAAGTAGTAATTGAGTTGACATGAGGTTGTTAGGGGTGGGCCTTAAGCCAACATGGCTGCTGTCCTTCTAAGAAGAGGAAATTTGGACTCCGTCTCATACAGAGGGAAGACCATACAGGAAGAGGATGCCCTCTACAAGCCAAGGAGAGAGGCTTCAGAAGGAACCCACTGGACTGGGCATGGTGGCTCATCCCTGTAATCCCAGCACTTTGGGAGGCTGAGGCAGGCGGCCCATGAGGTCAGGAGTTCGAGACCAGCCTGACCAACACAGTGAAACCCCGTCTCTACTAAAAATACAAAAATTAGCCAGGCATGATGGTGGGCACCTGTAATCCCAGCTGCTTGTGAGGCTGAGGCAGGAGAATCACTCAAATCTGGGAGACGGAGGTTGCAGTGAGCCTACATCGTGCCATTGCACTCCAGCCTAGGTGACAGAGCAAGACTCCGTCTCAAAAAAATAAATAAACAAACAAATAAATAAATAAAAATACAAAAATTAACCAGGCATGGTGGTGGGCACCTATAATCCCAGTTGCTTGGGAGGCTGAGGCAGGAGAATCACTTGGATCCAGGAGGCAGAGGTTGCAGTGAGCCAAGACTGCACCATTGCACTCCAGCCTAGGAGACCAAGCAATACACTGTCAAAAAAAAAAAAAAAAAAAAAAGGAACCCACTTTCCCAGCACCTTGATCTTGGCCTTCCAGCCTCTAGAATGGTGAGAAAATAAATTCCTGCTGTTTAAGCCTCTCCATGTGGTACTTCGTGTTGGCAGCCCCTGCGAACAAAGGCACATTTTAATTCTCACGACAGGCTTGCCCGAGATTGTTTGAGGCTGGAGAGGCTGCTGCTGGGTTGCTGGGGGTCTCTCTCCACCCTCAACTGTGTCTAAAGCACCGTTTCTTCTGCAGCTCTTCCTGGAAGCGCTGGCTGTGTCCTTGGGACCATTTGGGCTGGATCAGTGCCTTTCCTCCCAATTCATCAGCCCTAGACAACAAGAATGATAGCAGCACAGCCAGCCAGGGTCTGAGCCAACAGCCTTGCTCAGGGCAGGACAGCACCAAGCCAGAGAGTCCCTGGAGAGGGCTGGACTCTTCTTTGTGGTCAGTGGCCTGGCTCAAAAGCTAGAGGCCAGTGCCAGAATAACCATGTCACAGCCAGTGTGTGGGTTTGCACCGCAGGCAGTGATATTATTATGGCACAAATAGTCTGGACCAGGCTGTCTGCTGAGGAATGCCAGACTTCTGGCTGCTTGTGCAATATTTTGAGACAGGGTCTCTGTCCCCCAGGCTGGAGGGCAGTGGATCACAGCTCACTGCAGCCTCGAACTCGACTCAAGCAATCCTTCCACATCAGCCTCCTGAGTAGCTGGGACTACAGGTGCATGCTACCATGCCTGACTAATTTTAACATTTTTTTGTAGAGACGGGGATCTCACTATGTTGCCCAGGCTCTCAAGCAATCCTCCCACCGAGGCCCCCCAAAGAGCTGATATTACAGGCATGAGCCACTGTGCCTGGCCTGCTTGTGCAAGAATGTTTTTCTCCCATCTTATTTCACTTGTTGTAAATAGTAAATATTCCAAATGCTTTACGGCCGTAAGAAGGTGTTTTTTTTTTTTTGTTTTTTTTTTTTTTTGAAATGGAGTCTTGCTCTCTCGCCCAGGCTAGAGTACGGTGATGCGATCTTGGCTTACTGCAACCTCCGCCTCCTGGGTTCAAGTGATTCTTCTGCCTCAGCTTCCCAAGTAGCTGGGATTACAGGCATGTGCCACTAGGTCTGGCTAATTTTCATGTTTTTAGTAAAGACGGGGTTTCATTTTGGCCAGGCTGGTCTTGGACTCCTAACCTCAAGGGATCCTTCTGTCTCGGCCTCCCAGGGTGCTGGGATTACAGGCATGAGCCACTGTGCCTGGCCAGAAGGTTTCTATTGGTATAATTTGTAGCTCACCTTAGTTTTGGGACCTCCAGTAATCGTCTCTGACCAGGATCCAGCATTCTTAACCTGAGTCCTTATCCCCACAATCTCCACCTCCCCAGGAGCCCCAGGTATTTGTGTCTCCTTTCCAGAGAACTTAAAACTCTATTAGTAATCGTTGCTGGGCGTGGTGGCTCACGCCTGTAATCCCAGCACTTTGGGAGGCCGAGGTGGGTGGATTACCTGAGATCAGGAGTTCAAGACCAGCCTGGCCAACATGGTAAAACCCCGTCTTTACTAATAATACAAAAAAATTAGCCGGGTGTGGTGGCAGGCACCCGCAATCCCAGCTACTTGGGAGGCTGAAGGTGGAGAATCACTTGAACCCAGGAGGTGGCGGTTACAGTGAGCAGAGATCATGCCACTGCACTCCATCCTGGGCAAAAAGAGTGAAACTGTCTCAAAAACAAAAACAAAACAAACAACTCTATCAGTAATCAATGCCTTCATGTGCTGGGCAGAAAGCAGGGAAATACTCTCCCTTCTTAGGCTATGTTATTCACTATCTGTTTTTCTAGCTGTTCCCTCTGTTGCCTCCTGGAGACGGTGTCATGATACACACAATCAATATTTGATTTCTTTCCTGGACCCCAGACACCAGTTGGTGAAGTCAGAGATGGTGCAATATCCCCCCTTGGAGAAAAGAGAACTCCCCCGGGAGCGGTGACTCATGTCTGTAATCCCAGCACTTTGGGAGGCCAAGGCAGGTGGATCACCTGAGGTCAGGAGATGGAGACCAGCCTGGCCATCATGGAGAAACCCTGTCTCTACTAAACATACAAAAATTAGCTGGGTGTGGTGGCACATGCCTGTAATCCCAGCTACTTGGGAGGCTGGGGCAGGAGAATCGATTGAGCCTGGGGTTGGGGGTGGGGAGGGGAGGCGAAGGTTGCAGAAAGCTGGGATCACTCCACTGCACTCCAGCCTGGGCAACAAGAGCAAAACTCTGTCTCAAAAAAAAAAAAAAAAAAAAAAAAAAAAGATAGGAGAGAACTCTTGGTTGAGTTGTCCTGAGAATCTGTTGTAATTCATCAGGCACTATTTCCTTGGTGGAGTTTCGGATTGGAAAAAAACTTGCCTACACATTTATATTTCAGTCAAGTGCCGGCTGTACCTTCATCTGTAATATAATCTGCAAATAAAGAAGAGGAGAGCTGGATGTCTCTAACACACATCCCCACAGGCAACAAGGTAATAGAAAATGCAATGGGCTGGGCCTCAGAACTATCCAAGGCTCCCTCACCTACTTGCTGTATGTATAAAATCAACTTGAGGCTGGGAATGGTGGCTCATGCCTGTAATCCCCACATTTTGTGAGGCTGAGGAGGGAGGATCGCTTGAGGCAAGGAGTTCAAGACCAGCCTGGGCAACATAGTGAAACTCTTGTCTCTGCAAAACTTAAAAAAAAAAAATGAGCTGGGTATGGTGGCATGTACCTATAGTCCCAGCTACTTGGGAGGCTGAGGTGAGAGGATCACTTGCGGTCAGCAATTGGAGGCTGTAGTGAGCTATGATTGTGCCACTGCCCTCCAGCCTGGGTGACAAAGCAAGACTCTGTCTCAAAAAAAAAAAAATTAATTTGATCAAAACTGACCTGGGAATTAGCTTGAGTGGGTTTCTTGGAGGGTTATCCCTTCCCCCCATCCCCAGCAAGGCCAGGTGATTGGAAGGCCTAGGCTGGAAGTTGGGGAGGAGGCAAGGGGCTCTGGAGGGCCAGGAATTGAGGACGACTGTGTCCTCAGGAAAGGGCTGGTCCTTTAAGGAACCTTCCACAGCCTTGAGACTTCATTGACGAGACTCAGAGTTGGAGCTGGATAGAAAAGCTGCGTCAGTGTCTACTCTGCTGAGTCAGAGAGGAGAAGGGGAGGATTCGGTTCCACTGGCCCCCACGGTGGGGGAGGTATAGGAAAGGGAAGCATGGCACTGATCTACAAAGAATGGAAGGATGTGGTCACCTGGAGCTCTAATTTAGGGGTTCAGACTCTGGGGTGCACAATCGATCTCAGAAGTTTGCAAAATCCCTAGAACTGCCTGCAACAGTGCACACGCTGAGAAGAGCATCCGTGTGCAGGGAGCAGGGTGCGTCTATCAGAGGAGATGGGCTGTGGCTCTCTTTGAGGGCTCAGAGTGAGTCTGGCACTGGTCCACTCTCCCACAAAAGACTCAGAATCGCACTTGAAACACCTCCACTGTCACCACGGGCCTCCCTGCAGCGTCCCTGTGTGTGGGGTGTCTCTTGCAGTCGCCCCTAGACGGACCTCTCTGCCCTCTCTCTCACCCCAAAACCCCGTTCTCATGGAGAGCAGGCAGAAGAATCTTGGCAAAGTCACAGATCTCATCATCTTGTGTTCCTGTGTGAGAATCTCCCATGCCTCCCCTCGCTCTTTGATCTGGGCTCCAAGATCCAGACCTTCTTCCATGGGCGGCAAGACCCCTGATGATCCTGCTCCATCTCAATTTCTCTCCACCCTTTGCCCTCCACTCTCCACCCCAGGCACAAACCAATCCCCTGGGGGCTCCATCTTGGGAGACCGACCACCCAGGTTGCCTGGCACTGTGGGGGTTTCTCAGGATGTGAGACTTTCTTTCTTTTCTTTTTTCTTTTTTTTTGAGACAGAGTCTCGCTCTGTCGCCCAGGCTGGAGTGCAGTGGTGCAATCTCGGCTCACTGCAAGCTCTGCCTCCTGGGTTCACACCATTCTCCTGCCTCAGCCACCGGAGTAGCTGGGACTACAGGCGCCTGCCACCATGCACAGCTAATTTTTTTGTATTTTTAGTAGAGACGGTGTTTCACTGTGTTAGCCAGGATGGTTGCGATCTCCTGACCTCGTGATCCGCCCGCCTCAGCCTCCCAAAGTGCTGGGATTACAGGCCTGAGCCCTCTCTCCTCCCCCTCCCCTTCCCTCCCATCTCATTTCCTTTCCTTTCTTTCTGATGGAGTCTTGCTTCGTGCCCAGGCTGGAGTGCAGTGGTGCGATCTTGGCTCACTGCAACCTCCACCTCCCAGATTCAAGAGATCCTCCTGCCTCAGCCTCCAGAGTAGCTGGGATTACAGGTGTGTACCACCATGCCCAGCTAATTTTTGTATTTTTAGTAGAGACAGGGTTTTGATATATTGGCCAGGCTGGTCTCAAACTCCTAGCTTCAGGTGATTCGTCCACCTCTGCCTCCCAAAGTGCTGGGATTACAGGCATGAGCCACCACACCCAGCCGGGACATGGAACTGTCAACACTAAAACCAAGATAGTCCCAGGTAAACTGGGACAGCTGGTCACTCTGGCTCTGTCCTCTTCCTGCGCTAGTCAGCTCTGGTCCCTCCTCATCCCTGGCCACCCCCTACACTGACTAGGTGGCCCTCATCTGTGCTCCCACAGTGCCCCGTATCTTCTGTTTTAATACCTACCTGGCTGTGTTGCAATTGCTTTTTTTTTTTTTTTTTTTGGAACGGGAGTCTGGTTCTGTTCCCCAGGCTGGAGTGCAGTGGCGCAATCTCAGCTCACTGCAACCTCTGTCTCCCGGATTCAAGAGATTCTCCTGCCTCAGCCTCCAGGGCAGCTGGGATTACAGACATGCGCCACCATACTTGGCTAATTTTTGTGTTTTTAATAGAGACAGGGTTTCACAACATTGGCCAGACTGGTCTCGATCTCATGACCTCAAGTGATCTGCCCACCTCGGCCTCCCAAAGTGCTGGGACTACAGGCGTGAGTCACCGCGCCCAGCCGCAATTGCTTCTTTAACCATTTCTTTTTCTGCCACCTTGTTTATTGCAGTATCCCTGCAGCAAACATATGATCTAGATGAGCAGAGCAAGGGGCATGGTCAGGAAAAGAGGGTTGGACAATTTCACACTGAACAACCCCAGTGAGTCATGGACTTAGCCCCCTCCCTGCCTGGAGACCTGTATTACAAGGGGCAAGACTGTGGTTCTGGTGTAAGTCAGGCGTATTTGATTGCAAGCAAGAGAAAAAAAAATCTGAATAGTGTACATTAAATCCATCCAAAAATTATTAGGCAGCTCTGGGCATTGTTCACATTGAACAAGGTGAATGTTGAAATGGAGACAGGAGGACTCCGCCCTCATGACCTAATCACCTCCAAAGCCCTCACATCCTAATACCATTGCCTTGGGGTCTCAGTTTCAACAACTAAATTTTTGGGGGGACAAAGACATTCAGACCATGGCAGAGAGTTGATCAGATGCAAACTGCTCAGGCACCTCATTTGTTTTGTGCAGTAATTAAATAGAAGCTGTTTGGAAATATGATTATAGATTGGCCCATCAAAACAAATTAAACCTTTGAAGAGTAATGGCCTCATTAGCTTCAGAATTCTGCCATTCCAAAGATCCAAATGCTCGCTTGTCCTGAACTGGGAAATACTGAAGTCCGGCTGCAAAAAGGCATCAAAGGGACACGAATGTCCAGCATTTGTGGATTTGGAGAGACCAAGGGGCCGCAGGTGTAGACCCATGTGTCAAGATGAACCTGGCTGGCCTGGCTTCTGTTCCTATGAATGAATGAATTAATCCTCCCCGGCGTCCTCTCAGTTCATGTATAACCGATCCAGTCTGGGAATTCTTGCCTCCAGATGCTTCTTGGGTTCCTCCCCACCCTGCCCACTCCTTCCTCTCCCAGCCCAGAAGACTCAGCCTTTTTTACTTTCTATTCCTTTTCAAAACTGAGCCTGTACATCTGCCTTTGTTTCCTCTTCTAAATGAAAAATAAAATCCCAAGCCCCTCCACCCACTGACAGAGCGGACCCTCTGCTTGGCCAACCAAGGGGGATTCCAGAGAAACCCAAAACACTGGGTTCTTGGCCATGGCAGACAGGGAGGTTGAGCTCGCCTTGTTATGCCACACACCCACCCCCACACAGCACTTTTTTCATTTTAGACACAAATGACCAGCATTAAGGTTAAAATAGAGATCCTAAGATGGACAGAACAGACTCTGTGTGGCAATAAGATACCAAATTATAAACAGGACCTGGCCGAGCACGGTGGCTCATGCCTGTAATCCTAGCACTTTGGGAGGCTGAGGCGGGTGGATCATGAGGTCAGGAGCTCGAGACTAGCCTGGCCAACATGGTGAAACCCTGTCTCTACTAAAAATACAAAAATTAACCGGGAGTGATGGCAGGCACTTGTAATTCCAGCTACTTGGGAGGCTGAGGCAGGAGAATCACTTGAACCTGAGAGGCACAGGTTGCAGTGAGCCAAGATGGTGCTACTGCACTCCAGCCTGGGCAACAAGAGTGAAACTCCAGGCCGGGCGTGGTGGCTCACACCTGTAGTCCCAGCACTTTGGGAGGCTGAGGTGGGCGGATCATGACGTCAGGAGATCGAGACCATCCTGGCTAACATGGTAAAACCCCGTCTCTACTAAAAATACAAAAAAACTAGCCAGGTGTGGTGGCGGGCGCCTGCAGTCCCAGCTACTCAGGAGGCTGAGGCAGGAGAATGGCTCCAACCTGGGAGGTGGAGCTTGCAGTAAGCTGAGATCGCGCCACTGCACTCCAGCCTGGGTGACACAGCAAGACCCGTCTCAAAAAAAAAAAAAAAAAAAGACAGAGATCCTAAGACTGACAGAACGACAGAACAGACTCTTTGTGGCAATAAGATACCAAATTATAAACAGGACCTGAGGCTATGCTAGGCAAGGGTTAAATCACTCCCTATAAACCATAAAATCTCAATAAAAGTGTTTTTTTTTCTTTGAGACAAGGTCTTACTCTGACACCCAGGCTGGAGTGCAGTGGTAAGACCGTGGCTCACTGTAGCCTTGACTTCCTGGGCTCAAGTGACCCTCCCACCTCAGCCTCCCGGGTAGCTGGGACTACAGGAGCACACCACCACATATGGCCACTTTTTTATAGAGACGGGGTTTTGCCATGTTGCCCAGGCTGGTCTTAAATGCCTGAGCTTAAGTGATCACCCGCCTCAGCCTCCCAAAATGCTGGGATTATAGGTGTGAGTCACTGCACCTGGCCAGGTTTTAAAAAGAATTTTTTTTATAATCCAGTATAATGTGGCTTACTTTTTTTTGAGACAGAGTCTCGCTCTGTTGCCCAGGCTGGAGTGCAATGTCCTGATCTCAGCTCATTGCAACCTCCACCTCCCAGGTTTAAGCAATTCTCATGCCTTGGCCTCCCAAGTAGCTGGAATTACAGGTATGTGCCACCATGTCTGGCTAATTTTTTGTATTTTTCTAAAGATGGGCTTTCACCAGGGCTTGGCCAAGTTGGTCTTGAACTCCTGACCTCAAGTGATCCGCCCGCCTCGGCCTCCCAAAGTGCTGGGATTATAGGTGTGAGCCACTGCACTGGGTCAGTGTGGCTTACTCTCCAACCTGACTCCTGTATATCATCCCATGACAGATAACAGGAACTTCAGCATTCCTTTCTACGACTTCAAGTCTTTAGAAAAAGCTTAACTCTTCCAGTCAATTACCAACTAGAATATCCCTAAAACTCGCCTATGACTTGTAATCCCCCTGCTTGGAGATGTCCAGCCTCTTCCTGCTGAACCAGTGTAAACCTTCCATGCATTGATTTATGATTTTACCTGCAATTCCTGTTTCCCTAAAATGTATAAAACCAAGCTGTAACCAGACCTCCTTGGGCACACTTTCTCAGGACCGCTTAAGGCTGTTCCCTGGGTTATGGTCACTCAAATATGCTCAGAATAAACCTCTTTAAATATTTTACAGGATTTTTTTTTTCTGTTAACACTCAGCAGTGTTAACAGACTTCCCCTCACCCTAGACCTTGTGCACATTCATAGTTTTTCTGCTGACCTGGGAGATAAGATGGATGAGGTTCTGGAAGGTTCTAGAATCTTCCAGGGGCTCAGGCTCACCCCTGTCCGAGTCATGACTCTGTGGAATGGATGCCTGGAGCACTTTGGGGTTCCTGGGCTCAGCTTCTAGAGGGTGGGGCTCCCAGGGCCCTTTGAGCCTGATTTCCCCAGGGAACCGCCCTCCACTCGGGGTCCCTTCGGACTTGGCTGGTTAACCCCACCCCCTGGCCAATCAGAACATGGATGAGTGATTGGCCATCCATGAGTGATCCAGGCCTGGCCAATCAGAACACTGGATCTCCCTGGGCCGGCCACAGCCCTGCCACAGGTGTTAATGTTGGAGTTGGCGCTGATTACCATCTGCTCCCAGAGATCTTCCTTCTCTCCTGGGTCTCCTGCTGCCTCTTGGGAAGTGAAGGCGCTAGACTTGAGAAGGTTCTTAAGCAAGGTGTGCACCAGAACCACACAGGGAGTTTCTGCAAAACCTGCCCGGGCCTCACCCTCTAAGTGGGGGACTGGGACTGTGCACTTTGTAAAAGCCCCCTGGGTGTGGCCCGCGTCTATTTCGACCCCCAGGGGGGAGTCTTGAGAACCCCCACCCAGGAGAATCTTCTGGTCTCACTCCCAACACACCCACATTCCTTCCTGGCGAGGCAGCTAGAGCCGAGAAGACTTGATGTATTCATCTTGGTTAGGGACAAGCTTTGGGGAAGCAGAGTCGGGGGGAAGATGGGCCGGCAGGCTGGGTTGCAAATGAAAACCAAACACATTCTGAATTATGAAATGCGTACACACACACACACACACACACACACACACACACACACAAACCCGGAAACCAGGCTCTTTCATTCAGATCTGGGGGACCGGATGCTGTATTCTTGGCAATGTAGTTGCAGAAAAATAAGTCTTTCTCCTGCCAGCCAGCCTGGCGTCGCGGTGAGGAGACTTCCACCCTGGGATGGGAGACAGGGCCCTTCTCTTAGGCGCCTGCTCCTTCGCCACCTCCCAATCAACCTTGCTCATGTCTATTGATTTGTAGAGTCGGGAGGGAGGAGGAAAAATTGCCTATTTCAAGAAACTCGCTGGACACAGCGTGAAAAATGCAGACCTGAGGGTCACGTTGATGTAATTTCCAGAACCGTTGCAAACCAATTCCCATTCCTCCATTTCCTTAATATTTTTGATAAATGAGTCCTCTAATTACATTTCCTTTTGAGATGTCCAGCAACAAAAACGCTAAGCTTGGAAGATAAAACCATTGCTTTGTCATAGCATTATGCAAAGGCGGCGAGGGACACGTTCGGGATACATTTAGCTTTACGTTTAATTCACTCCATATTGATTTTCATCAATGTGACTTAAGCAATTACCTCTGAGTTAATTCTTAGTTAAAAAGGAGAAGTTAAAAGTTGCACAACATAGACTTCGAGATCTTGGAGATGGCTGGGCGGAGTGGCTCACGGCTGTAATCCCAGCACTTTGCAAGGCCAAGGTGAGCCGCTCACCTGAGGTCAGGAGTTCAGACCAGCCTGGAAAACATGGTGAAACCCCATCTATACTAAAAATATAAAAAATTAGCCAGGTGTGGTGGCACATACCTGTAGTCCCAGCTACCTGGGAGGCTGAGGCGGGAGAATTGCTTGAACCCGGGAGGCGGAGGTTGCAGTGAGCCGAGATCACGCCACTGCACTTCAGCTTGGGCGACAGAGCGAGATTCCGTCTCAAAAAAAAAAAAAAAAAAAAAAAAAAATCTCAGAGCTTTATAATGGACAGAGCCAGAGCTGTAGGGATCGGGTGTCTAATGTCTACCAGCCACTTGCACCTTTTTTTTTTTTTTTTTTTGAGACGGAGTCTCGCTCGTCACCCAGGCTGGAGTGCAGTGGCGTGATCTCGGCCCACTGCAAGCTCCGTCTCCCAGGTTCACGCCATTCTCCTGCCTCAGCCTCCCAAGTAGCTGGGACTACAGGCGCCCGCCACCATGCCCTGCTAATTTTTTGTATTTTTAGTAGAGACGGGGTTTCACCTTGTTAGCCAGGATGGTCTCGATCTCCTGACCTCATGATCCGCCCACCTCAGCCTCCCAAAGTGCTGGGATTACAGGTGTGAGCCACGGTGCCCGGCCCACTTGCACCCATTTTTAAGAGCAACGAGAAAATAATGTGGCATATGCCATGCAGGCACCACGATCTTCCACAACCACAGTGTGGGGCTGAGATGTGGTTGCTTCATTTTACAGGTGGATACACTGAGGAACTAGCAGGTTAAGTGTCCCCAGATGGGTGGGAGCTGGATCATGTGTCCCCTCTGGGAGAGTTCACAGGCCACCAAGGATGTCGCCAAGTCAGCAGTGAAATGCACTTTCTCTTGGCTGTCATCTGAGATGTTGCTCATTCATTAGCCAGGCATGGTGGTGTGTGCCTGTAGTTCTAGCTACTCGGGAGGCTGAGGCAGGAGGATGGCTTGAGCCCAGGAGTTCAAGGCTGCAGTGAGCTATGATGGTGCCACTGCATTCTAGCCTGGGCAATAGAGTGAGACTCTGTTCTCTAAACCGAAAGAGCAGGTATTCATGAACACCGTCTTGGTATCCAGCCTCACACTGGACATTTACTCCCCGACAGACAGCTCTTCCTTTGCTCTGTCCTTTGGGAGATGTGTTGTGTGTGACGGAGAAGGTTCAAGGGTGAAGGATGAAAGGAGATAAAAGCTGATCAGGAAACAGAAAATGGATTGGTGGATGAGGAAAAGGAGAGCAGTGAAACTGGGTAAGGCAAACCCAGGATGGCCCACCCTGAGGGTGACTCACCTTCCAGGTGGGGCAAAGGTCTCAATCTCAGCTTCTGCTCTCTCAGGACGCCCCTCCTGAGGCGTGGGTTGATGGAGTGTGTCCAGGACACAAGGTTGGGAAATAGTGTTCAGTAGAGTTATGGCCACAGTGGTTAGGAAGAAGAGAGAAGGCATGGAAACTCCAGGGACTGCTTATTCAGCTGTTGGAAAGGCAGTTTTCAACCCCAGCTTGGCCACATAAGAAAGGGCCTTGGCAGCGGGCGTGGTGGCGGGCACCTGTAGTCCTAGCTACTCCGGAGGCTGAGGCAGGAGAATGGCGTGAACCCAGGAGGTGGAGTTTGCAGTGAGCCGAGATCACGCCACTGCACTCCAGACTGGGCGACAGAGCGAGACTCCGTCTCAAAAAAAAAAAAAAAAAAGAAAGGGCCCTGGCAGCTGGACAGCATAGCAAGACCCTGCCTCTAAAAAAAAAAAAAGTTGGAGGGGGAGGTGCTGGGCGTGGTGGCTCACGCCTGTAATCCCAGCAGTTTGGGAGGCCGAGGTGGGCGGATCGCCCAAGGTCAGGAGTTTGAGACCAGCCTGAACAACATGGAGAAAACTCGTCTCTACTAAAAATACAAAATTAGCCGAGCGTGGTGGTGGGCGCCTGTAATCCCAGCTACCTGGGAGGCTGAAGCAGGAGAATCGCTTGAACCTGGGAGGCGGAGGTTGTGGTGAGCCGAGATCGAGCCATTGTACTCCAGCCTGGGCAACAAGAGCGAAATTTTGTCTCTGAAAAAAAAAAAAAAATTAGCTGTGCATGGTGGCGTGCGCCCGTAGTTCCAGCAACTTGGGAGGCTGAGGCAGGAGGATGGCTTGAGCCCAGGAGTTAAAAGGCTGCAGTGAGTTATAATGGTGCCACTACATTCTAGCCTGGGTGACAGAGTGAGATTCTGTCTGTAAACCAAAAGAGTGGGTCTTAGGGCTGGATCACTTCCTTACCAAGAACTAGGGAGCTCACGCAGCCTGTGCTGAGCTTAGCGCCCTGCGTGGAGGTATCGTTCCCTGTTTCAGACTCCACGTGTATTTTGTTCTGCTTCAGCACATGCATACATGGCCCCCAGTTGTCTGTATCTGAGACCCCCCAACCCCATGGGGGAGGGAGAAGGAGGGGTCCTTCCACTGCAGCATGAAGTGGGGTTTGTGCAGCTACACTGCCCATGTCAGCAGTTGAGCGGCTCTGCTGGCCTTGGGGGACTGGCACATTGCAAGGGGCTAGATTGTGAGCGTCCTCTCTTCTCTCGCTGTAAATAAATGTTGCACCACTGGGGCCTGATGCGCGTGTTTTGTCTGTTCTAAGTGACCTCGAATCCTGCACTGTTCTCTTCTCTTCCCTGGAGGACACTTATCTGCCTTTTAACCTTGTCTGCATTCCTATGTGATTCTGTCCTGCGGCACAGCCTGGCCACCCAGTGGATGGTAAAACAAGCCACTGTATGACTGGAGTTTAAGACCTGTTTCCTCGAGCACCGTGGTGGATGGAAGTGCTCCCATTGGTCACATGAGGAAGCTGGGGCTCAGGGAGGGTTGTGGCTTGCTCAGGATAACAGGAGCATGACTTGGACCCTGTGTGTCTGATTTCAAAGCTGTCATCTCTTTAAGAGGGAGACTCAGGTCGGGCATGGTGGCTCATGCCTGTAATCTTAATGCTTTGGGAGGCCAAGATGGGAGGATCGCTTGAGGCCAGGAGTTCAAGACCAGCCTGGGCAACAGAGCAACACCCTGTCTCTACAAAAAATAATTTAAAAATTAGCAAGTAGCTGGGCATGGTGGCTCACACCTGTAATCCCAGCACTTTGGGAGGCCGAAGCAGGTGGATTGCCTGAGGTCAGGAGTTTGAGACCAGCCTGGCCAACAGAGTGAAAACCCGTCTCTACTAAAAATACAAAAAATTAGCTGGTCGTGGTGGCGGGTGCCTGTAATCCTAGCTACTAGGGAGGCTGAGGCAGGAGAGTCGCTTGAATTTGGGAGGCGGAGCTTTCAGTAAGCCGAGATTGCGCCATTGCACTTCAGCCTGGGCAACAAGAGCAAAACTCCATCTCAAAAAAAAAAAAATAATAATAAAATAAAATAGCAGGTGTGGGGGTGCATGCCTCCAGCTACTCAGAAGGCTAAGGTGGGAGGATTGCTTGAGCCCAGGAGTTTGAGGCTGTAGTGAACCCTGATCCTGCCACTGTGCTCCAGCCTGAGCCACAGAGCAAGACCCTGTCTCTAGAAAAGAAAGAGAAGACTTGTGAATGCAGTCAGTGTTGATGAGCCTGAAAGGCAGAAGGGACCTCCATGTAGTGAACAGGCAGGGGCTGAGCTGCCAAGAGGGCTTGCTGAAGCCAGGGGCAGCTGTGGGACTGACTAAGGGAAGGCAGGGCGGGATCCCAGGCCTGTGCCCAGGTCAGGCATTGGACCTTTTTTCTCCTAATGTCCTAATCTCTAAAATACTACAGAGGCTGGGAGGAGCCCAGGTGTGCCAGGGAGGGCCTCTGCTGACCTCCACCCTCTTCCCCCTTCATCAAACATCTGTCTCTCTCTGTAGGAGTCTGATTGGCTGAGCCTGGATCACTTGACCACAGCCCAGTCCCCAGGGAGTGGGGAGAGAGTGGACACTTGCTCCCTCCACTCCTGAACAAAAGTGACATTGCCACACCTGGCCTGGCACCTGCCTGTCTGTAGTAGTGCAGGAAGAGCCCACTGGGGTGGGCTGGCTTTTCTGCTCAAGGAGACAGCTCAGGGCTTTCTTTCCCTCCCTCCCTTCCTTCTTCCCTTCCTCCCTCCCTTCCTTTCTTTCCTTCTTGCTTTTCTTTTCTTTCTTTTTTTTTTGACAGGGTCTTGCTCTGTCACCCACACTGGAGTGCAGTGGCACCATCATAGCTCACTAGCCTCAACCTCCTGGGCTCAAGGGATCCTTCTGCCTCAGCCTCCCAAGTAGCTGAGACCACATGCATGCACCCCCCAATGCTGGCTAATTTTTTGTTTTTTTGTAGAGATGGGGTTTTGCTATATTGCCCAGGCTGGTCTCAAATTTCTGGCCTCAAGCAGTTCTCCTGCCTCAACCTCCTACAGGGCTGGGATTACAGGCGTGAGCCACCATGCCTGACCCGGCATGACTTTCCTTGTCCTCAGGTGTGTCTTCTTGCTGAGAGAGGAGACAGCAAAGTGAGAGATGTTTGTTCTACTGATGCCTTGTGGGCACGGAGGCTGTGGCTTCTTTAAGGCTGAAGAAAAGTTTTGAGACCTGGAAAAAGCAATTATTGGCTGTGAAATGTGGGAAGGAAATTGCATAATCATAATCAATAACAAGTTTAATTAAACATCTACAGAATGTCATGTTATGACTACTAGTCCACGGTGATGTGGTTGGTTATAAATGGTGTTTAATGAGGGACACAGGGTTGCTTAAAGGTGCTGGGGGTGACGTGGAAGAGAACCTGGTATTAGCCTCCTGGGGCTCCTGTATCGAGTTACTGAAGACTGGGTGGGTGAAACAACAGAAGTTTATTCTATCACAGCTCTGGAGACCAGATGTCTGACATCAGGTGTCAGCAGGACATGTGTCCCCCGAGGGGCCTGGGGGAGAATCCTTCCTGCCTCTTCCAGCTTCTAGTGTTGCAGAAAACCCCTGGCATTGCCTGGCTTGTAGCTATGTCACTCTGATCTGTCTCCATCATTACATGGCCCTCCTTCTCTGGGCCTTCTCCTCTTCTATTTTTTATTATTATTATTTTGTCATTTCCTCTTCTATTTATTATTTTTATTATTTCTAGAGATGGGGGTCTTGCTTTCTTGCCCAGGCTGGAGTGCAGTGGTGTGATCATGGCTCACAGCAGCCTTGAACTCCCAGGGTCAAGCCATCCTCCCACCTCAGCCTCCTGAGTAGCTGGGACTATAGGTGCACACCACGACACCTGGCTAATTTTTATTTTTTATTTTTATTTTGGTAGAAATAGGGTCTTGCTATGTGGCCCAGGCTAGTCCCAAACTCCTGGCCTCAAGCCATGCTCCCACCTTGGCTTCCCAAAGGGCTGGGATTACAGGCATGAACCACTGCTCCCAGCTTATCCTAGGTTCTCTTGAAGGTACTAGTAGGGACATGGGCAGCTGTGTACTATTCTAGTGGGAGGTGGTTCTGAAATGACACCTGGCCCTTGTCTAGTAAGAACACTTTAAAATAGCCTGAGGCAAGAATAGCCCCCTACTTCTCCAAGAGTTCATTTGATCCTCTAACCAGTTACCCAAGGCATGAGGGTCCCCGGCAACACCCAGTTTCCTTCCGGTCCTGAACCCTAACACAGCTGAACCCTGCATGAGGGGAGAGGAGGTGCAGTGTGGCAGTATCTGCCACCCCTGCCAACAGGGCGGATCGGGGGCCTGTCCCCAGGTCAGACATTGGGTCTTTGTTCTCCTAATGCCCTGCTAAGAATATGAATTGTGCCACTTTTTTTTTTTTGAGATGGAGTCTCCCTGTGTTGCCCAGGCTGGAGTGCAGTGGCGCGATCTTGGCTCACTGCATCCTCCGCCTCCCTGGTTCAAGCGATTCTCCTGCCTCAGCCTCCTGAGTAGCTGGGATTGTAGGCATGCACCACCACACCTGGCTAATTTTTGTATTTTTAGTATAGACGGGGTTTCACCATGTTAGGGCCAGGCTGGTCTCGAACTCCTGACCTCAAGTGATCCACCCGCCTTGGCCTCCCAAAGTGCTGGGATTACAGGCATGAGCCACTGCACCTTGCCTGTTATGGGTTTTAAAGCACAGAATTCTCCCATCTGCAATAGGATGCTCTAATGATTAATATTGAATGTCAACTTCATTGGATTGAAGGATGCAAAGTACTGATCCTGAGTGTGTCTGTGAGGGTGTGGCCAAAGGAGATTAACATTTGAGTCAGTAGACTGGGAGAGGCAGACCCGCCCTCATTCTGGGTGGGCACTATCAGCTGCCAGTGCCGCTAGAATAAAAGCAGGCGGAGGACTGGGTGCAGTGCTCACGCCTGTAATCCCAGCACTTTGGGTGGCCAAGGCGGGTGGATCATGAGGTCAGAAGATCGAGACCATCCTGGCTAACATGGTGAAACCCCATCTCTACTAAAAATACAAAAAATTAGCTGGGCGTGGTGGCAGGTGCCTATAGTCCCAGCTCTGGAGGCTGAGGCAGGAGAATGGCATGAACCCGGGAGGCAGAGTTTGCAGTGAGCCGAGATAGCGCCACTGCACTGCAGCCTGGGTGACAGAGCGAGACTCTGTCTAAAAAAAAAAAAAAAAAAAAAAAAAAATTGCAGGCAGAGGAACGTGGAAAGACTAGACTGGTTTAGTTTTCTGGCCTCCCTCGTTCTCCTGTGCTGGAGGCTTCCTGCCCTCAAACATCAGACTCTGAGTTCTTTAGCTTTGGGACTCTTGGACCTTTGACCACAGACCGAAGGCTACACCCTTGGCTTCCCTACTTTTAAGGTTTTGGGACTCAGACTAGCTTCTTTGTCCCTCAGCTTGCAGATGGCCTACTGTGGGACCTCACCTTGTGATCGTGTGAGCCAATACTCCTTAATAAACTTCCCTTTGTATATACATCTATCCTGTGAGTTCCATCCCTCTAGAGAACTCTTAATACAGATGCAGATGCAACTGTGAAGCAATCCTCCCATCTCAACCCCCTGAGTAGCTGGGACTACAGGAGGTATTTGACAGAAAAGGAGACTGAGACTTGAAGAAATGAACTTGTTCAAGGTCACATGATTAGTAAGTGGAAGAGTTGGGATTTGAACCCAGAACCCCAGCAGTCTGGCTCCCAAAGCCTGCCAGCATCCTCATGGCCCAACACTGCCTCACCAGGGAGGAAGTGGTGGCAGTGGGTTGGATGGGGCGAGAGAGGATGCCCCATCTCCCAGTGCCTGGGTGGTGGGGTCTCTTGCTGAGATGGAAAATGGTGGAGTGGAGTGGGCTTGGGGTACGGGGAGTTGTTAGGGGGCAGAGAATGAGTCAATTTTGGGCATGTTGAGTAGGAGGGGCCTGTGGGATGGAGCTTGGTCACTTGCGGCACCGCTTTGTAAGTGGCCGGGTCCTTGGGGGATTCAAAGCAGAATTTGCACAGTTTGCTGGGAATTTATAGACAGAGAATCTGAGTAAATCAGAGAAAGAACTCCCCCACCTCCCCCACTGCTCATGCAAGCCCGTACTCTTTCCCTCAACAGCGAGGCCCTCGTTCCTTTTTTTCTGCTTTAATACAACTCCCCTGACAACTCGTTCTTCTCTGCTGGCGTGGACCACAGCAGCAAACGATGACTATTTTAGGACACATTTCACCCTCGTGTTGTTTCTTCTCCCACCGGTTCTATTCGCATCAGTTGTTTGGCACAAGGTTTTGAATTGTTGGTTTTTGCGCTAAATTCATTTCGCAGAAATGTCAAGCATCACCAAGGCCACCGAGAGAGTGGGACACACACGCCGTTCTCTCTCCTTTGTTCCTGGGCTCTTCTTTTCATACGCAAATGCTTTCTTTCATTTGGCAGCTTGCAGAACCCCTGTACCTTGAACTGAGCTGATAGCTGGGGCCTCGCCTGCCAGACAAACAAGGCTGTCTCCCGTTTCACCATCCCTTTGGAAAGAATTGCTGAATATTTGATGCATAGAAAAGGGGGTGGTCGAGGTTCTCAAACCCTCGTTGAATTGTGGAGACACGATACTGGGTCTGCTCAGGCAGACCAAGTCTTCTGCAAAAACAGTCACAGGTCGGTGTGTTGTGGCCTGCGTTCCTCAAACTGGAAGGAATGCAGAGCCCAAAATTGACTCATCCCCTCCTGCTCAGCTGTCCCAGGCAGATCTCAGAGCAATGCACACAGCCCCAGCCTTCTGCTCTGATTCCTTAAGACCCCAGAAGCTGCTGACTCAGCGCACATCTGCTCCTCTGGCGTCCTCTGGAAGTGAAACCCTGCAAACAGTTGTAAACATTACAAGGAGGCTCTGGAGGGTTGAAACTTTTATGATCGCCTCTATAGCAGAGTGTTGAGGCTGCTGGCATTTTAACGGTGAGATCATCTTTGTCTTTGTGGCATTGGTAGTTTTCCTTCATGGCTTCAACCTTTTTCCTAAGTGGTTTGTGCTTCTTCCAAGCTTCTTGGAAGATGCAGTATCAGATCTGTCCCTTGGGGCTGTGGGCCTGGGGAGCTGGGGAACCAGCTGTGATGAAGGGTGGGAGGAAAAATGACTGGTGGGAACCCCTCCACAAGGGATACCCTCAGCTCGGTGGTGAGCCCTGGGGTATTTAAGAGAGTGAAGACCACACCTCAGTATATAATAATAATAAATCACAATAAAAATAACAGCCCAGGAGTTTGAGACCAGCCTGGGCAACATAGTGAGACACCTACTGTACAAAAAATTTAAAAAATGAGCTGGGCATGATGGCACACGCCTGTAGTCCCAGCTACTTGGGAGGCTGAAGTGGGAGGATCACTTGAGCCCAGGAGTTTGAGGCTGCAGTGAGCTATGATTGCACCACAACATTCCAGTCTTAGACACAGAGCAAGACCTCGTCTTAAAAAAAAAAAAATCACCCACATGCTGTGTCCCAGGTCCTGTCATTAATGCTTTATGTGTATTAATAATTAACTGTCACAGTAGTCCTGCTGTTTTCCAGTAATGCTCTTCTCTAAGGCAGGTTGATAGGCAAAGGTTATGAGTTAAATTGGGTCCCCCAAAAGATGTGGAGGTTCTAACCCCCAGTACCTGTAACGAATGACCTTACTTGGAAATAGGGTCTTTGCGGATGATCAAGTAAAATGAGGTCACTAGAATGGATCCTAGTCCAATATGACTGGTGTCCTTATAAAAAAAGGAAAATTTGGACACGGGACACACAGAGGGGAGAGGCTGCAAAGAGACAGAGAGAAGACGGCCATCTGTGAGCCGAGGAGAAAGGCCTGGAACAGATTCTTCCTCACAGACCTGATAAGAAACCAGCCTTGCCAACACCCCCGTTTTTTACTTCTTCTAGAGAGAAGGTCTGTCACCCAGGCTGGGGTGCGGTGGTACGATTGTAGCTCACTGCAGCCTCAAACTCCTGGGCTCAAGTGATCCCCTGCCTCAGCCTCCGGAGTAGCTGGGATTACAGACACGTACCACCATGCCTGGCGAATTTTTGTATGTATGTATGTATGTATGTATGTATGTATGTATGTATGTATATATTTATTTATTTTGAGATGGAGTCTTGCTCTGTTGCCCAGGCATTCAAGCAATTCTTGTGCCTCAGCCTCCCGAGTAGCTGGGATTACAGGCACCCACCACCACGCCTAGCTACTTTTTGTATTTTTAGTAGAGTCAGCATTTCACCATGTTGGCCAGGCTGGTTTTGAACTCCCGACCTCAGGTGATCCAGCTGCCTCAGGTTCCCAAAGTGCTGGGATTACAGATGTGAGCCACCGCACCCAGCCATAATTTTAATATTTTTAGTAGAAACAGTGTCTTGTTATGTTGCCCAGGCTGGTCTCCAACTCCTGGCTTCAAACAGTCCTCTGGCCTCGGCCTCCCAAAGTGCTGAGCTTACAGGCATGAGCCACCACAGCCCCCAACTGCCATCCCCTTGGTTTCAGAACCTCCAGCCTCCAGAATTGTGGGACATTAAATCTTGCTTAAGTCCCAGTGTGTGATGCTTTGTTTTGGCAGCCCTCACAAACAAACAAAGAAAACGGCAAGTGTTTTATTAAGAAAAGGCTCCCATGGGAGATCAGTGAGGATGTGGGGGAAGCAGAAGGGAAGAGGAAGAAAAGAGAGCAAGGTGTGATTTCAGAGTCTTGCTTGGGAAGAGGTGGGTGATGAGGGTATGGGCCCCAGAAACAACCTGTGGCTCATTTTTGTGATATGAAGTTGATCTTAACAGAGCTTACATTGCATAAATTGCGATCAGAGTAGAGACATCTCAGTGGAGGGGAGGACAGATGCTCAGCTTCCTGCCTCTACCCTTATGTCATTCACTCACTCCCTCACTCACTCACTCACTCACTCACTCAAGCATTTATTTATTGAGTGCATATTATGGAATGGGGTTGACAATTAAATAAGCTCGAGGGAATTAAAAAAATTGTATTAACTACTTAAAAAAAAA
Organism: Homo sapiens; assembly: GCF_000001405.40. Classification (NCBI taxonomy): domain Eukaryota; kingdom Metazoa; phylum Chordata; class Mammalia; order Primates; family Hominidae; genus Homo; species Homo sapiens. The sequence continues at coordinate 98,769,502 of NC_000007.14, read as the reverse complement.
TTCTAGCCCGGTGTGATGGTGTGTGCCTGTAGTCACAGCTGCTCGGAAGGCTGAGGCAGGAGGATTGCTTGAGCCCAGGAGGTTGGGGCTGCAATGAGCTATAGTAGTGCCACTGCATTTCACTCTGGGGGACAGAGCCTGACCCTGTCTCTACAAAAAAAAAAAAAAAAGAAAAAAAAAAGAAAGAAAAGACCAGGTGCAGTGGCTCACACCTGTAATCCCAGCACTTTGGGAGGCTGAGGCAGGCGGATCATGAGGTCAGAGATGGAGACCATCCTGGCTAACACGATGAAACCCCGTCTCTACTAAAAATACAAAAAAATTAGCCGGGCGTGGTGGCAGGCGCCTGTAGTCCCAGCTACTCAGGAGGCTGAGGCAGGAGAATGGCGTGAACTCGGGAGGCAGAGCTTGCAGTGAGCTGAGATCGCGCCACTGCACCCCAGCCTGGGCGACAGAACGAGACTCCGCTTCAAAAAAAAAAAAAAAAAAAAAAAAAATCAAACAATTGGTGGCTTGTGCCTGTGGTCCCAGCTACTTGGGAAGCTGAGGGAGGAAGATGGCTTGAGCTCAGGAGTTCGAGGTTGCAGTGAGCTATGATCATACCACTGCACTCCAACCTGGGCAACAGAGTGAGACCCTATCTCAAAATAATAATAAGTATTCTCTCCTATACGGTTATGGTATCCATTTGATATATAGTTAGCTCCATTTATTTATGTTCTTAATGACTTTTAGGCATTTTCCCTCAACCTTATTAATTTTTGATACAAAAGTGATAACTATATAAAAAAGGTGTAGTCAAATACCCCTTCCCTACCCAGCCCCCACAGGTAACTGATTTCATTAATTTGTGTTTTTTTTTCACTCTTGTTGCCCAGGCTGGAGTGCAATGGCGTGATCTCGGCTCACCACAACTTCTGCCTCCCGGGTTCAAGCGATTCTCCTGCCTCAGCCTCCTGAATAGCTGGGATTACAGGCACGTGGCACCATGCCCAGCTAATTTTTTGTATTTTTAGTAGAGACCATGTTGTCCAGGCTAGTCTCGAACTCCTGACCTCAGGTGATCCACCCGCCTTGGCCTCCCAAAGTGCTGGGATTACAGGCATGAGCCACCATGCCTGGCCATGATTTCATTAATTTTAAAGTTATCCTTCTAGTGTTTCTGTTTACAAAAATCAGCAGATGTACTTTTCTTTTTTCTCATACAAAAAATTGCCCCACAGTAAATACTTTTTTATACCTTTTTTTCACTCAACAATGTATCCTGAAAGTCACTCCATATCAGTTCCTAGAGATCTTCATTTTTTTTTTCTTATTAACTGCACAGTATCTTTTGTGTGGATGCACCACCATTTACTCAACTTCCCTCCTGCCGGCGGTGGGGGGAGTGAATTTATCACAGATAACACTGCGATAGCTTAGCACGTGCGTAAATCTACTCAGTATTGTGGGAAATTTATCTTCAGAGTGGATCCCTGACATGAGATTGCTGGGTTAGGGGTAAATACACATCGTTTTGTTGGCTATAATCAAATTTCCCTGCAGAGGAGGGTTGTGCTATTTTATTCTTCCATCAGCAATGTATGAAAATGCCTGTGATTTTTTGGAGGAGGGGAGGTGGCGAATCTAACCAGCAGATCGGCATAGACCCTCATTCTGTGATGTCCCTCTAGCACAGGGAAGTCCATCGAAGGGCAAAGGGAGGGATGAAAAGCCGGTGGATGGATGTTCACGTCATACCTGCAAGAGGTTTCTCCTTGCGGCCAGTCGCGGTGGCTCACGCCTGTAATCTCAGCACTTTGGGAGGCCGAGGCAGGCAGATCACCTGACCTCAGGAGTTCAAGACCAGCCTGGCCAACATGGTGAAACCACATCTCTACTAAAAATACAAAAACTGGCCGGGCGTGGTGGTGCGCGCTGGTAATCCCAGCTACTCGGGGGTGCTGAGGCAGGAGAATCGCTTGAACCCGGGAGGCGGAGGTTGCAGTGAGCCAAGATTGCACCACTGCACTCCAGCCTGGGCGACAGAGCAAGACTCTGGCTCAAAAAAAAAGAGGTCTCTCCTTGTAATTAGGCAGGGCAGGGGCTCCAGAAAAGGGGGAAGTCAAGCAACTCACTAATCTTCTGCACAAGAGACCGTGTTTCTTAGAGACAGGTACTAGGGTAACATCCTCCATCAGCCCACCCACTGTCTGCTGTCCCCTCCTCAGGGGACATGGCTGGGAGGGAAAGTTCATCCATCTACCCTGGCATCCATCCATCTATCCGCTCATTCGCCATTTCTGGTCTGTACCTGCGAGGCCACTGTGCTGGACCCAGGGACCCCAGTGTGACTCAGACCTGGACCCCACTCTTGGTGAGCTCACAACCTAGAGCACAGCTTCCTACAGGATGGTCCCCATCATCAGTGGATGTTAAGTTCTGCCCAACGAGCTGATCAAAGAGAACAGGGAACGCATGGGAGTGGGTTGAGGTAAGATGGCAGTTGGAGGCCGTGGCGCTGTTGAGTGGGCCTGGGGCGGGGATAACCAGGTGAGTCTTCTCATTCCTGAGAGGCAGCATGACTGAGAGACAGTGTTCTGGAGCTGGAGGACCTGGGTTCAAATTCCCACTTCTCCATGAACTCACGGACAGTATTCCCTTGGACAAAAACATACCATCTCTGTTTCTCACTGTCCTCATCTGCAAAGTGGGGGTTCATTCGTTCATTCAAAATTTCACCCGGGTGTGGTGGCTCATGCCTGTAATCCCAGCAGTTTGGGAGGCCAAGGCGGGTGGATCACTTGAGGTCAGGAGTTTGAGACCAGCTTGGCCAAGATGGAGAAACCCCATCTCTACTAAAAATACAAAAACTAGCTGGGCATGATGGTGTGCGCCTGTAATCCCAGCTACTCGGGGGGCTGAGGCAGGAGAATCGCTTGAACCTGGGAGGTGGAGATTGCAGTAAGCCACATCCTGGGCAACAGACTGAGACTCTGCCTCAAAAAAAAAAAAAAAAAATCTACTTACTGAGCACCTACTATGTGCCAGGACCTGTTCTAGGCTGTTGGGATACATCTGAACAACAGAGACAACCATTCCCGTCCCTGTGGAGCCTGGATGATGCTGGGGAGAAACAAACCATAAACAACAATATTGTAAATGGGTAAAAAATATGATAAATAGGTAAATAAATAAATATAGAAATCAATAAGTAAATTAGAAAGTGATGAGTATTATGGGACAAGAAAAAGTAGAGCAGAATAACAAGAATGGGAAAGAACAGTTTAAAGTTTAAAGAAGGCGGTCAACGTTCTATATCTTGGTTTTGGGAGTGGTTCCCTGGATGCATTTGTCAAAACTCATTGAACTACAAGCTTAGAATCTGTGCATGTATGTTATACCTCGATACACTTAAGGCCAGGCAGGGTAGGTCATGCCTGTGATCCCAGCACTTTGGGAGGCCAAGGCAGGAGAATCGCTTGAAGCCAGGAGTTTAAGGCCAGCCTGGGCAACAAAGGGAGACCCCCATCTCTACAAAAGTAAAAATAAAAAAATTAGCCAGGCATGGTGGTACACAACTGTAGTCCCAATTACTTGGGAGGCTGAAGTGGGAGGATTGCTTGAGCCGGGGAAGTCAAGACTGAAGTGAGCTGTGATGGTGCCTCTGCACTCCAGCCTGGGCGACAGAGCAAGACTCTATTTCTAAAAAAAGATAAGACCAGACACAGTGGCTTACACCTGTAATCCTAGCTCTTTAGGAGGCCAAGGCAGACAGACTGCTTGAACTCAGAAGCTCAAGACTAGCCTGGGCAACATGGCAAAAACCCATCTCTACAAAAAATACAAAAATTAGTCGGGTGTGGTGGCACATGCCTGGAGTTCCCGCCACTTGGGAGGCTGAGGTGGGAGGATTGTTTGAGTCTGGGAGGTTGAGGCTGCAGTGAGCCATAATTGTACCACTGCACTCCAGCCTGGGCTACAGAGTGAGACCCTATCTCAAAACAGAAACAAAAACAAAAAAGCAGATAAACCTGGTATTTGAAATACAGCTGCCAGACCTCCTTGAGACAGTGAGGTTTCTACAAACTGAGAAGGGGTGGGGACAGAGCCAAGTGGACCCCTAAGGGAAAGGTGTGCCCAGAACAGGAAGCGGCTGGAGTGGAGGCCTTGAGCATAGAAGAGTCTAGAAAGCCACCTGGTGTTGTGAAGACTGGTCATACCCACTTTGGTTGATGAGCGGGTCAGCTTTGATCAAGGACGACAAAATGATGGCACAGTCTCCTGTCCCTCACCGGGCACAGAGGAGGACATCTGGATTTACCCAGCCCTTTGGTCCAGCTGAAGGTCTGTATCAGTCAGTTTCCGTTGCAATAATGCTGTGTAACAAGCTACCTAAAAAATCTCAGTGACTTACAGCAACACGTATTTATGATTCCTGTACCTGGATTTGCGGGCCAGATGTGTGTGGGCTTAGCTTGGCTCCACTGCGTCTGGTTCCACACCATACGTTGAGCTAAGGTTTTTATTTTTTATTTTAAAAATGTTTTAAATTTTTATTATTACTTTTTTTTTTTTTTTGAGCTGGAGTTTTGTTCTTTTTGCCCAGGCTGGAGTGCAATGGTGCGATCCTCCTGCCTCAGCCTTGTGAGTAGCTGGGATTACAGGTGCGCGCCACCACGCCAGGCTAATTTTGTACTTTTAGTAGAGATGAGGTTTCACCATGTTGGCCAGGCTGGTCTTGAACTCCCGACCTCAGGTGATCTGCCCACCTCAGCCTCCCAAAGTGCTGGGATTACAAGTGTGAGTTACTGCACCTGGCCGAGCTCAGGTTTTTAGCAGGAGCCAGCTCCACGTGTCTTTTTTTGTTCTGGGATCATAAGCACATTTCTGATCTCTGTTTGTATCATATCCGCTGAAGCAAGTCAGGTGACAAGGCCAACGTCAACGGGGCCGGGATGTGTACCTGACTCCCAGCAGGAAGTGCTTTGAGTCACAGGGTAGAGAGTGTAGATGCATTACCCAGTTCCAGGAAGGGACACATTGGGAACAAGAATCTAATTGGCTCCAGGATCTCTGATCAAGGCAGGGAGCTCTGACATCCCCCTCTCCCGCCACCTCCCAGCAAAGAAAAGCCCTCCAAAACCCTTGCCTGAATGAGTGATGGAGAGGCATGCTGGGCACCCCAGTGACTGTTCTTGCTCCTGATAAGGGTGCTGGAGTGGGTGGGAACAGGATTGTGCTACTTTATTTATTTATTTATTTATTTTTTGAGATGGAGTCTCACTCTGTCGCCCAGGCTGGAGTGCAGTGGCGCGATCTCTGCTCACTGCAAGCTCTGCTTCTCAGGTTCACGCCATTCTCCTGCCTCAGCCTCCCTAGTAGTTGGGACTACAGGCGCCCGCCACCATGCCTGTCTAACTTTTTTTGTATTTTTAGTAGAGACAGGGTTTCACCGTGTTAGCGAGGATGGTCTCGATCTCCTGACCTCGTGATCCGCTTGCCTCAGCCTCCCAAAGTGCTGGGATTACATTCGTGAGCCACCGCGCCCGGCCAGGGCTGTGCTACCTTAGAGACATGGCACTACCTTTATCCGCCGCCCTGGGTATGGCCTGGATATTCCAAGAGCCCTTCCTACATTTTCTGGATGTGGAATATTTTATGGACATAAGAGGAAGAAACCTTTATTATGTGATGTTGCGCGATCTGACACAGTGGCTTGGATTTAAGAGTTCTAGCCATATCCCTAGCACAAGCAGCTTTCATTTCTAAGCTTTATTGAGCACTGTTTTTTTTTTTTAATTTTAAATAATGACCCATCTACGACTTCTGAACAAAGTGTAATAAAAGTGACAAATATTGGTACACCGTACACGGATTGTCACCTTGGATTTACTGCCCCCCAACATTTTCTGGGAAGTCACACTAGATTTATGCTTTGGGTTTTAATCCATCACTCTATCTTTTAATGCAATATCTAATCTCACTGCTTCTTTTCTTCCTTTAATACGGTTTCTCTGGAGGTGCATTTGCAGAACTGATTTTTATCATTTGCAACGTGTTTAAAATAACGCATTAGCTATAAATCAGAGGGCTTTATTGGGAAGCTTGAAAAGTTGCTTTAAACACAATAAATTTAGTACCTTTGATTCATTCTGGGAAATCTGACAGTAGGAAAAGGAACTGAGGCCCCTTTTAACTCTGGGGACTGGGGAATCATCCTTTCAAGGTGAAAATGGAATACTTTTTCCAGCAGAAGACTTCTTCAAGCTCAAGACTTCCAACTTTCGAGACCAGAATTCAGGAACCGATGTGCCATGTGGGTTGGTAGAATGTGCTAGGAGCCAGGTAAATCTTTTTTTTTTTTTTTTTTTTTTTGAGACAGAGTCTTGCTCTGTCACCCAGGCTGGAGTGCAGTGGCGCAATCTTGGCTCACTGCAACCTCCACCTCCCAGTTCAAGTGATTCTCCTGCCTCAGGCTCCCAAGTAGCTGGGATTACAGGTGGCTGACATCACGCCCAGCTAATTGTTGTAGCTTTAGTAGAGACAGCATTTTGCCATGTCAGCCAGGCTGGTCTCGAACTCCTGACCTCACATGATCCACTTGCCTCCGCCTCCCAAAGTGCTGAGATTACAGGAGTGAGCCACTGTGCCTGGCCTGGAGCCAGGTAAATCTCAAATCTCAGTTCAGCCACTCCCATGCTGTGTGACTTTTGGCTAGTCACACAGCCTCTCTGAACCTGTTTCCCCTCTGTATGCTGAACTGCTTACCTCCAAGGCTGTTGTAAGAATGAATGAGGAGGCCCAGAATACAATAGGTGTTCAAAACATTTTTGTTTACTGAGGTGGGCCCTCAGGGAATCAATACCTCCCTCCCTATTTGGCCCTGGGACTCGGTTCCTCCTGGAAGGAGGGAGGCAGCCTCATCCTTTTCCCAGGCAGAAGCCTCTGGGGTCTGTGCTGCAGCCCTCGCTCCTCCCATAGCATGGAGGGAGTCCACATTCCACCTCCTGCCACATTTCAGAGCCAGCTGCTAGGGATGGCAGGGCTTCCAGACCCCTGTCCCTGCCGCTGGTGCCTTCCCTAGGATGACCTTAGAACTTCCCGGGGTTTCCAGGGAGGTTCTTGCCACCCCTAGTCTCATCTGGAAGAGAACGCATCCCATGCCCCCAGGGCTGGTTAAAAACCCAGGCTGTCTATGAGACCTGTCTTCCTTCTCCACTTCCGACCTGCAAGGAAACTCGAGAGCATCTCCCGCAACCTCCTTGCTGTACAGAGGAGGAAACTGAGGCCCCCACGCTGGGAGGGAGGGGTGCCTGTGTACAAGGCAGGCAGGTGCCACCAGCCCGAAGTCATCACTAGGGTCCTGATGCCCAGCTCCCGACAGCCTCGTGGGGGACCTGGCCAGACAAAGGCAGGATCCAGAAGCCATCCCCCCTGGTCACAGCACACAGCAGCAGGTGCATTTCAGGTCTACAGCACAATATAGTCACAGTAAAACCTGGGAGGGGGTCTTCCACCCTGCACATGTGACATGTACGTGTGTCTATCCCCTTCCCCTCCCCATCTTTTTTTTTTTTTTTTTTTTTTTTTTTTTGACAGAATCTCCGTCTGTCGCTCAGGCTGGAGTGCAGTGGTGCTATCTCAGCTCACTGCATCCTCTGCCTCCTGGTTCAAGCGATTCTCCTGCCTCAGCCTCCTGAGTAGCTGGGATTACAGGCATGCGCACCATGCCCGGCTAATTTTTGTATTTTTAGTAGCGATGGGGTTTCGCCATGTTGGCCAGGCTGGTCTTGACTCCTGACCTCAAGTGATCCTCCCACCTCTGCCTCCCAAAGTGCTGGGATTACAGACGTGAGTCACTGTGCCCGCTGCCCCCGCTCCACCATCCTTAAGGCTCCTACTATGTGCCAGGCTCTGTGCTGAGAATGACATGGCTCAGACCCAGGACCTGCCACTTCTGCCTCTGGTCTCCTGGCTGTCTGAACACAAGAGGTATGCAGGACCCCGGGACCCTTGCACTGGCTGTTTCCCCTGCTGGACAGTTCTTCTCCTGACACCCACTTGGCAAGGAAGTGTCCAGTCTAGGGGAAGGCCAGTCTGGATACAGATGCTCCCAGCTCAGTGGGGACAAGGCTAGGAGTGTCCATGTTCAGAAGTTGTAGATGAGTCATTATTAAAAAAAAAACAAAACAAAAACAATGCTCAGTAAAGCTTAGAAACAAAAGCTTCTTGTGCTGAGGACACAGGCTAAATCCCTAAATTGAAGCCACTGGGTCAGGTCACAGAGGGTCACATAATAAAGGTTCTTCCCGTTATGTCTGTAAAACACCCCACAGCCAGGAAATGTGAGACGGGCTCTTGGAAGATCCCAGGCTGCATCTGGGCAGGCGGATAAAGGTAGTGCTATGTTTCTAAAGCAGCAGAGCCCTGGGGGTTGGGACAGGTTTGAACTGGCAGAGACAGGGTACGGGGAAGGTGGGTTAAACATGGAAGGTGGCTCCCAACACACATGTGAGCCATTAGATCCCTCCATATTTAATCTGTTCGTATTTAACCCCCATGGGATCCATTAGATCCCACCATGTCTAATCTGTATGGGATCCTTCCCTTTCCCCTACCCTTTCCTTCCTGCCTCTCTCATCTTTTCCATGGAGACATCCCTACAATCCCCTCAGCAGGGGCACCAGCAGCCTCTTGTCACCTTCCCAAAGCCTCTGGTTCTTGGGGACATGCTAATGTCACACCTGCTTTGGGAACTCACTCCCAACTGCCCTGGCCCAGAACCCTCCTTCTGTCCTCTCCAACTGTGAAGTGCAGAGGGCAGCCTTGTGAATGGCTCCATTACTGCAGATCCTTACATCTCTCCTGAGAGCTGTGTCAGCTTCTCACCCTGCCCTGGGCCAGGACAAAGTCCAGGAAGAGGCTCACATGTGGCCGCCTTGCCTCCAGGACCGCTTTTCACACGGGCAGCTGGGAACGAGGCCACGTTAGGCTGGGAGCTCCTTCCAGAAACAACACTGATGAAATTAAGGGGGGTAAATGGATCCCAGCATTGTTACCAGCAAGACATTTGGGGAACATAAATTTCACAGGGAATTAGTCACTCTAAACTGCTTTATTTGGTTTCAACTTAGAATAGCACTTAAATTATTCAGCTAGGGAGGGGGAGGAAGGGGGCAGGAAGGAGTTGCCAGGCCCTGTATCAACCTTAAGGAGTCATGGGCGGAAAAGCAGTGACATCTGTCTGGGGGTGGCCGTTGGTAGCTTGTGGGCCGCCTGGATTCCTTCTGAATTTGGTAAAAGCCCCCAGGATGTGAGACGCAAAGGCACGACTTCGCATCAGTAACACACGAGTTTCGTTTTACTCCACGCCCGTGCAGAAGCTTGGGAGAGGTGATGCTGTTATTCCTCCTGTCTTACGAACCTCTCTCTTGACCCCCTACCTACTCCAGCCACTGCCCCATATACTGTTTTGCTTTGCAAAAAAACTCCTCCCTGGCTCCAACGCTCTCTTGCCCTCCATCCACTGCACCCCCACTCTTAACCCCTCCATGAAGGCTTTGCCTGCCCTACTCCAAGGAAACTGCCCCCCCACCAAGGCCCCGTGACCTCCAAGGTAGATTCTTTGTCCTCAGCCCATTTGACTTGGAAGCCACATTGGGCACAGTTGCTCTCTCTGTCCTCCCAGGAAAACTTTCTTCCCTCGGTTTCCTGGCCCCTAAATCTGCTTTGCCTCCTAACCTGCCGGCTGGTTTCTCCTGATTCCTCCCAGTCCCCACCAACCTTCTATCTTTAGGCCCCAGGGCTCGGACCCTGGACCTCTTGCTCTTTCTACTCTCCCTCTCGTGGGGAGCTCGTATGGTCTGATGGCATTAAAACCATCAATTCACCAATGACCCCTAAACTGATATCTCCAGGGTAGATTCCCCTTAAGCTGCAGACTTGTACATACAACTGCGTTTTGGACTTCTGCACCTGGATGTCTAGTTAGGTATCTGAAACTTACCATCTCCCAGAATATGAATTTCTGGACCTCCTCCCTGTACCTGCAAACCACCCCAAGGGACCTCTTCATCTAGTTAATAGCAACTCCACTCTTTCAGTTGCTATCCTGGGCCCAATCCTGGGTGATCTCTGATTCATCTCTTCCTCCATATCTAATCCACATGGAATTCATTAAATCTCTCCATATCCAACCCACATGGGAGCCATTAGATCCCTCCATATTTAACCCACATGGGAGAATCAGATCCCACCATATCTAATCTGCACGAGATCCATTAGATCTCCTATATCTAAGCCACATGGAATCGATTAGATCCCACCATGTCTATTCTGTATGGGATCCATTGGATCTCCCCATATCTAATCTGCATGGGACCCATTAGATCCCCTACATCTAACCCACATGTAACCCATTAGATCCCCCATATCTAATCCGCATGGAATCCATTAGATCCACCCATATATCTAACCCACGTGGAATCCATTAGATCCCCCCATACCTAACCCACACGGGATCAATTAGATCCCCCATATCTAACCCACATGGAATCAATTAGATCCCCCATATCTAACCCACATGGGATCCATTAGATCCCCCCATATCTAACCCACATGGAATCCATTAGATCCCCCATATCTAACTCACATGGAATCCATTAGATCCCCCCATATCTAACCCACATGGAATCCATTAGATCCCTCCATATCTATCCCACATGGAATCAATTAGATCCCTCCATATCTAACACACATGGAACCATTAGATCCCATCCATGCATAAATACATAATCCATCTGCAAGTCCCATTGGCTCCACTTTCAAAATGTATCTAGAATCCAACCTCCTGTGCTCCCATCCTCATCCAAGCCACCACCACCTGTCCCCTAGATTGCTGCATTAGCACTCCCTACGTCCACCTCGTCCCCACAATCTAATCACAGGAGAATGGCCCAAGGAAAAGCCTATGGGGGGGTGTCGGGTTCGTGTCTCTCCTTCTCTGTTCAAAACCCTCCAGAGACTCATGTCGCAGAGCAAAGTCCTTTCCAGGACTGGCAGCCCCCACTTCTGAACTCTCTCCTCTGTGCTCAAGCCACTTCTCCTGCTGCTGGTCTCCTTGATGTCTAAACACATAGAGGCATGCTCAGCCTCAGGGCCTTTGCACTGCTGTTCTCTCTGCTGGATGAGGCTCCCAGACACCCATGTGGCTCATTCCCTCATCTCCTACAGGTCTTTGCTCATCTGTCACCTTCTCAACGAGGCCTGCTCTGATCATTCCAACTTGAAATTCAGCCTCCAAGCCCTGTACGCTACCCCTCCTACCTCCATCAGGCTTTTAGTAGCACAATCTTCTAATATACCACATAGTTTACCCTAAATATTATGTTTGAAAGTTATCTCTGGCTAAGTGCGGTGGCTCATGCCTGTAATCCCAGCACTTTGGGAGGCCGAGGCAGGTGGATCACCTGAGGTCAGGAGTTTGAGATCAGCCTGGGCGACATGGCGAAAACCCATCTCTATTAAAAATAGAAAAATTAGTCAGGTGTGGTGACGGATGTCTGTAATCCCAGCTACTTGGGAGGCTGAGGCTGGAGAATCTCTTGAACCCGGAGGCAGAGGTTGCAGTGAGCTGAGCTCGCACCATTGCACTCCAGCCTGGGCAACAAGAGCAAAACTCTGTCTCAAAAAAAAAATAAAAAAATGCCAGGCGCAGTGGCTCACACCTGTAATCCCAGCACTTTGGGAGGCTGAGGGGGGCAGATCATGAGGTCAGGAGATCAAGACCATTCTGGCTAACATGGTGGAAACCTCGTCTCTACTAAAAAATAGAAAAAATTAGCCGGGCGTGGTGGCGGGCACCTGTAGTCCCAGCTGCTCGGGAGGCTGAGGCAGGAGAATGGCGTGAACCTGGGAGGCGGAGCTTGCAGTGAGCCAAGGTCACGCCACTGCACTCCAGCCTGGGCAACGGAGCAAGACTCTGTCTCAAAAAAAAAAAAAAGATAAAAATAAAAAAACCGAAAATTATCTCTTTCCTCCACTAGAATATAAGTTCCATGAAGCCAGGGTTTTTTACTTCTTCTTTTGTTCTTTTACTTTTTTAGAGACAGAGTCTTACTCTGTCACTCAAGCTGGAGTAGAGTGGTGTGATCATAGTTCACAGAAGTTTCAAACTCCTGGGCTCAAGTGATCCTCTCACCTCAGCCTCCTGAGCGGCTGGGACTACAGGCATGCACTACCATGTGTGGCTTTATTTTTAGTAGAGATGGGGGTCTCACTACGTTGCCCAGGCTGGTCTCAAACTCCTGGCCTCAAGTGATCCTCCCACCTCGGCCTCCCAAAGCACTGGGACTTCCCAAAGTGCCATCATGCCTGGATGAGTTTTTATTTCCTTGCTCCCTGCTGTGTCGTTGGTTCCTAGAACAGTGCCTGACACATAGTAGATGCTCAATAAACATGTGCTGAATGAAAAATCCATGCCATGAGGTGTTGGATAGACTTTAGAACCTGTGATGTGGTTCTGTCTCCAGCTCTGCAGGCAGGTGGCCATGCGCTAGTTTTTTACCCTCAGGAGCTTCTGTTTGCCATTATCCACAATGGGCGGAGCTCCAACAGGCATCTGCAGGGAGGTGAGATGAAATGGGCAAACTGTCTAGCACTGTGCTTGCTGTGTGGCAATATCTCTAGAAACGTGGGGGCCATGGCAGTGGCACATGTCTGTAATCCCAATGCTTTGGAAGGCCGAGGCAGGAGGACCGCTTGACCCCAGGAGTTTGAGACCAGCCTGGGCAACATAGTGAGACCCTGTCTCTACAAAAAATTTAAAAAATTTGTCAGACATGGTGGCACATGCCTGTGTCTAATCTGTATGGGATCCATTGGATCCCCACATCAAACCCACATGGAATCCATTACATACCCCCATATCTAATCTGCATGGACAGCTACTCAGGAGGCTGAGGTGGGAGGACAGATCTCTTGAGCCCAGGAGGTTGAAGTTGCAGTGAGCCATGATTGCTCCACTGCACTCCAGCCTGGGTGACACAGCGAGACTCCGTCTCAAAAAAAAAAAGTTTGTAAACTGTGAAGTGCTGGACAGTGACATGTGGATGGTGACCATGCAGGTCCTTATTTTGGGAGAATCTGCTTGGGTCTGGGCAAGTGAGCCAGGATTAAACCTGCTGGGGGAGGGGGAGATACAAGGAATGGAGCCTGGGGTCCAGAGCTAAAGTCAGGTCACCCAGTCCCTGTGCTGTTAGGTGGGTACCTCGGGGACCCCTGCATCCAACATCAGCCTGAACACGCTCCCTTTCTCCCTTATGCCTTGGGTGTTACAAATATCCCTGCCCAGATGAGCACTCCTTCTACCAGGAGTCTGCAGCTGGATTTCTTGGTGAAATTAACAGGAGATTCTGGGATGTTCTGAGAACCCCAACCTGGGTCCTCTGTGGGAGTCAGGGATGCCCGGGGGCTGTGGGATCCGGAGCAGCTCCGTGAGGCATTCCCAGCAGGAGGCCTGATCAGACCCTCAAGTTGGAGAGTAATTAACTTGCTTAATTAAAGCATGCAGGCATAGGGCTCCTGCGGGGACGCGCTGGGGGGCTACGTGACATCCACCCTAGAAAGAGTTTCATGTGCTGTGGGTACGGCACCATCAGGGAGTGGTGGGGAAAACTAATTAAGAAGCAGGTTTGGGGAGCACAGCCCTTGGGAACCATAGCCTGGCAGGAGGGCTGGGGGCCCGGATGCTGGTTGGGGCACATGGGAGGGTGCATGTCCCTGGAATGCCCCAGCCATGTGGGTTTGGGGTTGGAAGGGAGACAGGCAGTGCCTGCTGGGCTCTGTGGTAGGCTCTGTGGAGCTGGCAGGCTGTTTGGCATCTGCTTCATCACATTCTGTTCCTTGAAATGCCAGGGCAGCCCTCCTTCCTCCTGAACTACAGGACAAGGCAGCTGAGCTGACTGTGGGAGGTGGAGAAGGTGCCTGGGTATGCCGGAGCCTCAGGGTGTGAGAGTCACTTCCCTGGACCAGGAGGGTGGCTCCAGAGAGAGCCACACAGCAGCCAGCCCCCCACCCAGCACCGGACTCCTGCCACAGGCCACGTGCCCTGCCGGCTCCACCTTGAGACCTTGGTCCCCGCTCGTCCCTTGGGTGGGGACACTCCCTGTGCTCTGCCTGCCCTTCTGCATCTCCACAGAAGCCCTGACCACTGTCCCATGCTGCCATCTGCTGACCCCCAGGGCCCTTCCCTCAATGCTCTGCACGCCAGGGGCTGGGGGGCGGTGACTTCTCATGCAGATTGTAGCCCCTGGGGATGCACCTGCTGAGGCTGGCTGTCAGTCATTCACTCAGCAACTGTCCTGCATCTGCAGTGTACCCAGCTGTCTTGGGTACTGCAGATGGCAGCGAGGAAAACATTGTTTCTCCTCCTGCAGGAACTCCATCCTCATGGGCTGGGAGGGGCGGGAGAGGGGAAAGGGGAAGGTTGTGTCCGGTAGTGCTATGTGCCACATTAGGGTAGGAAGGTGGCATCAGGAGTGGTCAGGGAAGACCATTCTGTGCGGGGGGGGGGGCGGGGGGGGGCGGGGGGGGGCGCGGTTCATGAGCTGAATTGCATCCCTCCCAATTCATAGGTTCAAGTCTTAACCCCCAGTACTTCAGAATGTGGCTGCATTTGCAGATACAATCCTTAAGGGGATAATTAAGTTTCATTGGGGGTCATCAGGGTGGGCTCTAATCCAACAGGACTGGTGTCATTATAAGAGGTGAGGACATAGACACACATAGAGGGATGACCATATGAGGACACAGAGAAGACGGCTGTCCACAAGCCAAGGACAGACACACAAGTCCTGTTGTATCAATCTTGAATTTCTGGCCTCCAGAATGGTGAGACTAAACATTTCTGTTGTTTAAGCCCCGCAGTTTGTAGGACTTTGTAAGGGCGGCCCCAGGAAACCAACACAGGGATCTCTGAGTACAGGCTCTGGGCAATGGGAGAATGAGCCTGGGGGCTGCCTGGGAAGTGTTCCGGGCTAAGGCCTGAGGTGGGAGCTGCTGGGGTGTTCCGGGACCAGCCAGGAGGTGACTGAGGCTGGAGCTGGAGTCAGGCTGCAGGGAGGGGGGTGGAGGCTGTGACCTGCCTGATGGGTTCCTGGCACCTCAGGATTGCAGGGGCCAGGACCCAAGCAGAGGGATGCAGTCCAGCAAGTGGGTGAGGTGGGCGGGGCTCAGACACCAGACCAAATTGAGGACTACCTAAAACAGGTCCTGGGCGGAAGCCGCTTTCTATAAGACATGCCCATCCCTGTGCCATGTCAGTTTACCGTTGCTATGGCAACACCAGGAAGTTACTGCCCCTTTCCATGGCAACAGTCCTGACAACCAGGAAGTTGCCACCCCTTTCCTAGAAATCTCTGCATAAACTGCCCCTTAATTTGCATATAATTAAAAGTGGCTATAAATAGGGCTGCCGCACTGCCTCTGAGCTGCTGCTCTTGGCACACTGCCTATGGGGTAGCTCTGCTCTGCAATAAATGTTGCTGTCTAGGCTGGGCACGGTGGCTCATGCCTGTAATCCCAGCACTTCTGGGAGGCCGAGGTGGGCAGATCACCTGAGGTCAGGAGTTCCAGACCAGCTTGGCCAACATGGCAAAACCCTGTCTCTACTAAAAATACAAAAAAAAAAAAAAAAAGAAAGAAAGAAAGAAATTAGCTGGGCATGGTGGCATGTGCCTGTAATCCCAACTACTCAAGAGGCTAAGGCAGGAGAATCCCTTGAACCCTGGAGGTGGAGGTTGCAGTGAGCCAAGATCACGCCATTGCACTCCAGCCTGGGCGACAGAGCAAGACTCTATCTCAAAAAATAAAAATAAAAAACCCAAACAACAACAACAACAACAAAAGTTGCTGTCTAATGCCACTGTTTTGCCCTTGAATTCTTCCTAGTCCTAGCCAAGAATGTTGTCAGTCATTTACTCAGTAGCCATCTAGCCCCTGCAGGGCACCTGGCTGTCTTGGGTTCTGTGGACGGTAGGGCTAAGCCCCAACTTTGGGGCTCACCTGCCCTGCATCACAAGGAGAATATTCCCGGGAGACCTCCAGCACGAGGCCACTGCTGCATGCCCCAGGTGACTGTGGGTGGTTGAGGCAGCAGTGGCCCTGCCCATGTGAAGCCAGGTTCTGCCCAGAGTGTGTGCCTGCCTACATGTGCACGGCCTCAGCCTCACAAAATCTACCCGCTCACATTCATGGTGAGCCCTATCCAGTGGAAGAGCTGGGCTCCATGGACAGGGAGCTCCTCGGGGGAGGAGCTATGAGAACACAGGCCCAACGTGGGGTACAGGTTGGAGGATTGGGGAGCTGGGCAGAACAGAGCCTGGTACAGGATGGGGTTAGGCCAGCGGGGCCTACAGACAGGTGCTGGTTTAATCAGACTAAACCCTCTCGAGCTGCTTCCTTCCAGCCACAGACTGTTCTGTGTCCACACTGACCTGAGGCCCGGGTTCACCTTCTGGCCATGGTGGGGAGATGCTGGGCGCACCTAGGTCTGCACGGCTGCTGTCTGTGACCATGCCTTCTGAAAAACCCACCTTGAGAATTGTTAGTCCACACTGCACCTTTTTTTTTTTTTTTTGAGGCAGAGTTTTGCTCTTGTCACCCAGGCTGGAGTGCAGTGGTGCGATCTCGGCTCACTACAACCGTTGCCTTCTGGCTTCAAGCGATTCTCCTGCCTCAGCCTCCTGAGTAGCTGGGATTACAGGCACCCGCCACCACGCCTGGCTAAGTTTTTGTATTTTTGGTAGAGATGGGGTTTCACCATGTTGGCCAGGCTGGTCTCAAATTCCTGACCTCATGTGATCCGCTCGCCTCGGCCTCCCATAGTGCTGGGATTACGGGCTGAGCCACTGCACCACCCGGCCCAAACTGTACCATTTTGTAAGCCCCCTGCCATTTCGCAGACTTTGGTCAAAGTGAAACATCTCACGGGGGTTCGGGCGGTGAGGTGAGAAACAGCCCGCCCAGCTGCCTGACTTGATCACATTCTGTTGGGAAAAAGTCCGAGGAACATCACTATCTCATTCTGTGGGAACAAGGGTCAAACTGCCTCATCATGGGAACGTCTTATAAACATCTTCCCAGGCTGCAAGCCACACTGCCCAGACCCCTCCCGTGCATACCTGTAAGTACCGCAGCCTGTAGGTGATGGTAGGCACTGGCATTAAGCCGGTGCCCCACCTCTGTAGGTCTTATGCTGGACATAAAGCCTGCATTTGCTGTAGAGCCTCCACGCTCTTTCTTTAACCCTCACCTTCCCTTCAAAACCTAATAAGAATGATCTCCCAGGATCCTCCCCACCACGCTGGCCTCCTGGTCCCTCTTGTGTGCTGGGCAGTTCTGGGCCTTGGGGTGGTTCAGAGCCCTCCCGATTGGCTAAGCATTTCCCCTAATCTCTATCACATTCTCAACTCCTAAACAGAATCCGGCTTCTCCGGGAAGAATTGGCAACTGGCTGGATGGGAAAACACAGCTCGAGTCTCAGATGCATCTGGGAATCACCTTGTCTGGGGCCTGGCTGTCTCTTCCCTGCCGTTCGTTGGAGCCTGCCCTGGGCTGTTGCCTGGGCTGCAGGGATCCTGAGCGGCTGAACCAGGAGGAAACTCTGTCCGGATCCTCCCTGGGGGCCCTGGTATGCAGCTCTCATCAGCAGCCCCAGCCCCGCTCATCACCACTTCCCTCCAGACACATTGGATCTCCACTTATTTGGTCTTTGGTTTCTCTCAATAATATTTCACAGTGTTCTGAGTAGAAGTCTTATGTCCCTTAGCTCTTAAGAAATTGCCCCCCGTCTCTACTAAAAATACAAAAAATTAGCCGGGCGTGGTGGCGGGTGCCTGTAGTCCCAGCTACTCGGGAGGCTGAGGCAGGAGAATGGCGTGAACCCGGGAGGCGGAGCTTGCAGTGAGCCGAGATTGCGCCACTGCACTCCGGCCTGGGCAAAAGAGCGAGACGAAACTACAATAAGAAATTGCCAAACTATATTCCAAAGTGGCTGTGCTATATTCTGTTCCCACTAGCAGCGAATGGGAGTTAGAAAGGTTCCATATCCTGGCCAGGTGGCTCATGCCTGTAATCCCAGCACTTTGGGAGGCCGAGGCGGGTGGATCACCTGAGGTCAAGAGTTCGAGACCAGCCTGACCAGCATGGTGAAACCCTGTCTCTACTTAAAAAAAAAAAAAAAAAAAAAAAAAAAAAATTAGCCAGGCATGGTGGCGCATGCCTGTAATCCCAGCTACTTGGGAGGCTGAGGCAGGAGAATCACTTCAACCCGGGAGGCGGAGGTTGCAGTGAGCCAAGATCATGCCATTGAACTCCAGCTTGAGCAATAGAGTGAGACTCCATCTCGAAAAATATATATATATAAAAGAAATGTTCCATATGCTTGCCAACACTTGCTTTTTGTTGCTTGTTTGTATTAGAGACAGGGTCTTGCTCTGTCGCCCAGGTGGGACGGTGGTGGCATGACCATAGCTCACTACAGCCTCAAACTCCTGGGTTCAAGTGATTCTCCCACCTCAACCTCCTGAGTAGCTGGGACTGTAGGTGCACACCACCATGCCCATCTAATTTATTTTAATTTTTTGTAGAGATAGGATCTCTCTATGTTGCCCAGGCTGGTCTCAAACTCCTGAGATCAGGTGATCCTCCCACCTTAGCCTCCCAAAGTGTTGGGATTACAGGCGTGAGCCACCACACCTGGCCATCAACCCCTGTTAATGTTCATCTTTTTCATTACCTATCCTAGTGGGTATGAAGCGTTGTCTCGTTGGTAAGTATCTCTAATAGTCTAATGACTAAGCATGGTGAGTATCTTTCCATGGGCTTCTTGGCTATGTGTATACCTTCTTTGGAGAAATATTCATCCAAATCTCTTGCCATTCAAAAAATTGGGTTAGCTTTCTTCTTTATGGTTGAGTTGTAAGAGTTCTTGTTTTCTGAATTCTAGACTTTTATCTAGATATATGATTTGCAAACATTTTGCCCATTTTTTAGGTCGTCTTTTCAGTTTCTTGATGGTATCCTTTGAAACACAGAAGTTTTAAATTTTGATGAGGTTCAATTTGTCTGTTTTCTTCTTTGGTTGTTTTGTGCTTTAGGTGTCAGATCTAGGTACGTTCCTTTACTTTTAACCGAGTGGAGTTTCTGTATTTAAAGTGGGTATGTTGTAGATCGCATATTGTTAAGTCTTGTTTTACCTTTTTATCCACTCTGACAATTTCTGTTTTTTAAACGATACATTTATATTATTTGCCTTTAAAATGATGATTTCTATAGTTGGATTAATATCTGCCATGTTTGTAGCTGTTTCTAATTTTTGCAGTTTGTTTCTTTTCTCTCTCTCTCTTTTTTTTTTTTTTTTTTTTTTGAGGCGGAGTTTTGCTGTTTGGCCCAGGCTGGAGTGCAGTGGTGAGATCTCGGCTCACTGCAACCTCTGCCTCCCAGGTTCAAGCGATTCTCGTGCCTCAGTCTCTTGAGTAGCTGGGATTACAGTTGCCCTTCACCATTCCAGGCTACTTTTTGTATTTTGAGTAAAGATGGGGTTTCACTTTGTTACCCAGGCTGGTCTCACACTCCTCTGGGCTCACGTGATCCTCCTGCCTCTGCGTCCCAAAGTGCTGGGATTACAGATGTGTGCCACCGCACCCAGCCTGCACTTTGTTTCTTATTATTCTGCCTCCTGTGGTTTTTATCTTTTTATTTTTATTTTTATTTTTTTGATGGGGTATTACTCTGTCAACCAGGCTGGAGGGCAGTGGTGTAATCTCGGCTCACTGCAACATCTACCTCCCAGGTTCAAGTGATTCTCCTGCCTCAGTCTCCCGAGTAGCTGGGACTACAGGCACACGCCATCATACCCAACTAATTTTTGTAGTTTAAAAACAAAATTTTTTTTTTGAGATGGAGTTTTGTTCTTGTTGCCCAGGCTGGAGTGCAATGGCACGATCTCGGCTCACTGCAACCTCCGCCTCCTGGGTTCAAGTGATTCTCCTGCCTCAGCCTCCTGAGTAGCTGGGATTACAGGCATGTGCCACCACACCTGGCTGATTTTTGTATTTTTATTTATTTATTTTTTTTGTGGTAGAGACGGGGTTTCATCATGTTGGCCAGGCTGGTCTCGAACTCCTGACCTCAGGTGATCCTCCCACCTTGGCCTCCTAAAGTGCTGGGATTACAGGAGTGAGCCACTGCGCCCAGCCGTATGGTTTTAATTAAGCATTTTATTATTTCCTTTTGTTTACTCTCACAGCATCTCATTTATACTTAATTTTGTTTTCTTAGTGGTTCCCCTAGAGTTTGTGATACACAGATGCTCTTTGACTTAGGTGGGGTCATGCTCCAGTAAGCCCATCATAAATTGAAAAAGCCATAAACAGAAGATGCATTTAATACATGTTAATCTACCAGACATCGCCACTTAGCCTTGCCTACCTTAAAAGTGCCCAGAACACTTACCTTAGCCTCCAGTTGGCAAAATTACCTGGCGACACAGAACACTGTAGGGTATTGGTTGTCTACCCTGGTGATCACATGGCTTCCTGGGAGCTGCAGCTGCTCAGCGTTGAGAGAGTATTGGACTGCATAGCACTAGACCCAGACGAGATCGAAATTCAAAGTATGGATTCTACCGAATAGGTTTCCCTTTCACACCACTGCAAAGTTGAAAAATTATAAGTTGAGCCACTGTGAAGTGGGGACTGTCTGAACATTTTCTTTCTTTTCTTTTCTTTTCTGACAGAGTCCTGCTCTGTTGCCCAGGCTGCAGTGCAGTGGCACGATCTTGGCTCACTGCAACCTCTGCCTCCCAGGTTCAAGCAATTATTTGCCTCAGCTTCCTGAGTAGCTGGGGTTACAGGCGCCCACCACCATGCCTGCCTAATTTTTGTATTTTTAGTAGAGATGGGGTTTCACCATCTTGGCCAGGCTGGTCTTGAACTCCTCACCTTGTGATCCACCTGCCCCAGCCTCCCAAAGTGCTGGGATTACAGGTGTGAGGCAACGTGCCCAGCCCTCTCTTTTTCTTTTTCTCTCTCCTTCCTTCCTTCTACACTTCCCTCTCTCCCTCCCTTTCTCTCTCTCCCCTTCCTTCCTTCTCTCCCTCTCTCTCTTCCTTCCTTCTCTCCTTCCCTTTCTCTTCCCCCATTCCTTCCTCTCTCCCTCCCTGCCTCTCCCTCTTTCTCCTTTCTCTCCTTCCTTTCTTCTCTTCTTCCCTCTTTCTCTCCCTCCCTCCCTGCCTCTACTTCCCTCTCTTTCTCTTCCTTCTCTCCTTCCCTTCCTCTCTCCCTCCCTCCCTCTCCTTCCTTCTTTCCCTCTTTCCCCTCTCTCCTTCCTTTCCTCCCTCTCTCTGTATTTTTGCAGCAGGGTCTCACTCCATCCAGATGGGACACCGTGAACACAGCAGCTAGATGGAACATAGGCTGGGGATTGGGCAGAACTGAGTGTGAATTGCAACACTGACCTTGAGATTTGACCTTGGCCTTAGGCAAGTCACTTAACTTCTCTGTTTCCTCATCCGCAAGGCAGTAATAATACGTACCTTGCAGGGAGGTTGTGCAAAGTGAAGGAGATGAGAGAGTGCTCAACCTGGTACAAACCTACAATAAATTGCAGCGATGATGGTAATAACTATAAGTTCCCTGAGTGGCATTGTTCTCTCATTGTTCACCCTCTACCCACCCACTCTAACCCAAATGCAGAACAGCTGCTGCGCAGGTCCCCTTGGGCCCACATCTGCCTTTGACCTAGTATAGGCAGTTGCTAGTTTGTTTTTTCTTTCTCTGAGATTGTCCTTCAGCCTCATCTCTATACCTCAGGGTTAACCTGTTAACCTCAGGTTAACAGGTTAACCCTGCAAGACTTGGGGACAGGCTGTGTGGCTTGCTCCCTTTTTCACAGTAACTCCTCAGGACCCACAACCTTGAAGGAGCCCTGCAGATGCAGCCAGGAAGCCTAGCTTCAAAGGCACAAGGTGTGCACATTTGCCTTTGATTGAGAATGAGTAGTCTGGTGCACCTTTCTTTAATTTAGATAGGAGCCCACAATTTGTCAAGAGACAAATGGATGCGGGGCGTGGGAGGAACACAATTCAATGCTCTTCGGGTTTGGATGGTGAACAGATGTGCAATTCCTGGCTCTTCCAAGCTGTTGTCCGCAGACATGAGAATCACCTGCACACTCTCCACTTTGCACAATGAGAAGGAACAAGGTTGGAATAGACCCAGGGGATGTGCCTACAGGGTGTGGAACCTTCTAAGTCACCTTCAGAAAAGGCTCTGCCTAAAGAGAAGAACCGTATTGCTCAGAGCAAGGCATTGACTTCTGGTTGGATTGTAAGATCCACAGGCTGGCCACCCTGGTGGTCCTCCTGCTCTGCTGATGTGTCCCCATGTAACTGCCCCCTCATCCCAGCAGGTCAGATGATCACAGACACAGCCCCCATCCCAGCTGGCAGCGGATGGGACCCCTGATTACAGGAGACTTTTGGCTGGGGAGAGTCTAAGAGGGGACAGGCTGCAGAGAAAGTGTGAGAGGCACCATCTGCAGCAATGTCCTGGGTCAAAGCCCCTGCCCCAGGGTCCAGTGGGGAGGCTACCTCTCTAGGCTCAAACTAGAACTGCTTTAAGGGAGACAGGGGCCTTGTAGGGGAGACACTTCCATGGTAGAAAGGCCCCAGCCCCTGGCAGGGGAGGCTATGATCCAGGCCTGCACACTGCTATGTCCTGGGATCAACTGTCTCTCATACCTAGATCCATATGTTGAAATTCTAAACCCCAGGACCTCAGAATGTGACTTTGTTTAGAAACGGGGTCTTTACAGAGTTATAAATGAGGCTGGGTGTGGTGGCTCATGCCTATACTTCCAACACTTTGGGAGGCTGAGGTGGGAGGATCGTTGGAGCCCAGGAGTTTGAGACCAGCCTGGGCAACAAAGTGAGACCTGAACTCTACAAAAAAATAAAAATAAAAACATTAGCTGGGGATGGTGGCTCCCCCTTGTAATTCCAGCACTTTGGGAGGCCAAGGTGGGAGGATCACTTGAGTCCAGGAGTTATGGACTAGCCTCAGCAACAAAGAGCGACCCCAACTCTACAAAAAAATCAGAAAAATTAGCTGGGCGCGGTGCCTTCCATTTGTAATTCCAGCACTTTGGGAGGCCAAGGTGGGAGGATCACTTGAGTCCAGGAGATAGAGACTAGCCTGGGCAACATAGTGAGGCCTCATCTCTAAAAAAATAAAATAAAATTAGGCAGGCATGGTAGCACACGCCTGTAGTCCTAGCTACTCGAGAGGCTAAGGCAGGAGGATTGCTTGAGTCTGGGAGGTTGAGGCTGCAGTGAGCTGTGATTGTACCACTGCACTCTGGCCTGGGCAACACAGTGAGACCTTGTCTCAAAAAAACAAAACAAAACAACACAACACAACACAACACAAAACAAAACAAAACAACAAAAAACAAAAAACAAACCAAAAACCTGAGGGTGGTTTTGAGAAACCCCTGAACTTACATAGCTGAGGTCTTGCAGTTTGGCTACCGCTGGATACAAGCCCACACCACCAGGGGGCGCCGTGGTGAGAGAGTGAGCCTGGCTCAGGTGAGAAAGCCTCCTCTTGGAATAAGTGAGTGTTCTTTTCCCAAACAAGAGGGAACAAGCCAGACACCTCATTATTAGCTCATATTCCTTTCCTCTCCTTTTTCTGAGCTGGAGCTAGGAGCCTCTCCACTCTTCCATGGCAGAAGGCTGACAAAAATGCACTGTGAAACCCCGCCGGTGAGAACAGAGCTTCTCCACCTCCGCCATTGTTCTCCTGAACTTCTTTAATTCTTCGTTTTAAAATATTTATGAAAGGAGTGTTTCTAGACCCAAAATGTAGTTTTAGACCTGAATGGTCTAAATGGTAGAATGTGTCACTGTATCGCCAACAGCGATTAGAATTCATGAAGCCCACAGGATGACTCTCCCTGCAGCTGATCCGCCTTTTCAGGGTCATTATTAAGGAACTGGTTTCGGGGAGGGAGGGAGGTCCTGTTTCTCTTTCCTGCATGGCTTGGACTCCTGACAAGGACACACGGACAATTCCCTTTTATTACATCTGAGCCACCTCCAGTTTTCCACAGTTCTGCGATCATTAAAATAACATGGAAGGCCAGGCGTGGTGGCTCACACCTGTCATCCCGGCACTTTGGGAGGCCGAGGATGGCGGATCACCTGACATCAGGAGTTCGAGACCAGCCTGGCCAACATGGCAAAACCCTGCTTCCACTAAAAATACAAAATTAGGCAGGGCATGGTGGCTCACACCTGTCATCCCAGTACCTTGGGAGGCTGAGGCAGGCAGATCACGAGATCAGGAGTTCAAGACCATCCTGGCCAACATGGTGAAACCCCGTCTCTACTAAAAATACAAAAATTAGTTGGGCGCGGTGGCGGGCACCTGTATTCCCAGCTACTCAGGAGGCTGAGGTAGGACAATCACTTGAACCCGGGAGGCAGCGGTTGCAGTGAGCCAAGATTGGGCCACTGCACTCCAGCCTGGGCAACAGAGCAAGACTCCTTCCCAAGAGAAAAAAAATAAGTGATATAGAAGACTAATGATACCCCAAAATCACCACGTAGGAAAATTAGCTTTCTCATTGTTTGAAGACAATCTTCAGAGTGTTTCCTTGTCAGGGCAGAGCAGCCTTAAACCCTCGGTTGGGTTTCCTTTCATCCTGATTCATCTGCCTAATTCTTGGGAGGATTCCACTTTGAAAATGTAATTGACCATAGGCGAAACAAAGGCCATTGATGGCTTTGCGAGAGAGCATGTGTATACGGTATTTGATGGGCTAATTTTACCGTGTTTTAATTACAACCCTGGATAGCATAATAAATTTGTGTTCAATTAGGCTGAAGTCATCAACTGCTGAATACATTATACATTTTGTTAAATCAGCACAACTGATGTTATAAGCTTCACTGTAATATCAAGCAAAGATGCTGTTGTCAGATGAACTTAGCCTCCCAATCCCTATTCAAACATGTATGCATAGACATAGAATTGGTTAAATAAAGAAATAACAACTTTATCATCAATATGAATGTGGACATAAAATCCAAGCATGAAGCGTAGAGCAAAGTCCACAAGAGATCTGTAATGCTCTCTGCCTGCACGGCTGTAAGCTACAGAAATAGGGTGGTCATTCAGGCAAAACTCACTCTCCTGCTGAACAGGAGGAAGCAGAAAGGTTCAGGCTTGATCACCACAACTTTGACCCATAGCTGCAGCAGATATTTTGAATGAAGTGCAGATTAAATATTCTAGCTTTTGGGCAGGGCGCGGTGGCTCACGCCTGTAATCCCAACACGCTGGGAGGCCAAGGCAGGTGGATCACGAGGTCAGGAGATGAAGACCATCCTGGCTAATACGGTGAAACCCCGTCTCTACTAAAAATACAAAAAATTAGCCAGGCATGGTGGTGGGCGCCTGTAGTCCCAGCTACTTGGGAGGCTGAGGCAGGAGAATGGTGTGAACCTGGGAGGTGGAGCTTGCGGTGAGCCGAGATCACGCTGCTGCAGTCCATCCTGGGCGACAGAACAAGACTATCTCAAGAAAAAAAAAAATTCTAGCTTTTTTTTTTTGTTGTTGTTGTTCTAGCTGGAAAAATAAACCAAAATGGTGATTAAGAACTGGAGTGGACATCACTAGTGTTCACCAGTATCCCATTCTCCTCTCCTTCCTAGCACAAGGATGCCACATCCTTGACAGTAGGCCAGTCTGTGCAACTAGATCTGGCCAATGATATATAGTATAAGAAGTGTCATTAAAAACAGCAAAAAACAGACAAAAGAAGTGGCATATGTCCCTTTTGTGCCAAGGCACTGAACAGATGTCTCAATTCTCCAGTCTCTCTTCTTCCCTTGTCTTGATGATTGAGAAGGCTTCCATAAGCCTGGATCCCTGAGTGACTGTGTGGAGGAAAGCATATCCAGCCTTTCCTCCTGGCCCTGTCTGCACATGCTGGATATACACGATGAGCGAGAAAGAAATCATTGTTGTATTAAGTCACTGAGATGTTGGAGTTATTTGTTAATGCACAAAGCTTCTCTTAATGACTAATATAAGAATTAAAAAATCATTGAGGCTGGGCACGATAGGCTCATGCTTGTAATCTCAGCACTTTGGGAAGCTGAGGTGGGAGGATTGCTTGAGCCCAGGAGTTCAAAACTAGCCTGGGCAACATAGTGAGATCCCGTCTCTACAAAAAGTAAAAAAAGAAAATTAGCCAGGTGTGGTGGTACACACCTGTAGTCCCAGCTACTCTGGAGGATGAGGTGAGAGGATCGCTTGAGACCAGGAGGTTGAGGCCACAGTGATCTGTGAGCATGTCACGGCACTAACAGAGTGAGACCTTGTCTAAAAAAAATAATTGAAATATGATAAAATATGGTAAAACCCAAAAAGAACATCAGCTTGGGCCATCAATTTATTGTGTCTCTGATGAGAGAGCTTTAATGAAGCCAAGACAGTCTCTTGGAGGGCTTGGGGTCATTATTTTGGTCATTAATGGTTAATGTACACTAATATGCCACTGTGTCTTTGTCTCTTGGCACCTGGGCCATAGTTTTGACCTGACCTTCCTAGGTCCTATGTTTATAAAATATACCTAGAACTTCATTCATTCATTCGTTCATTCATATATTCTAAGCATCAGGGTATGTTAGGGACTGTACCAGGAGCTGAAGGGGGAGTTATTGGGAGTTCATCACGTGGTAGGCACGGTGCCACAATATTTCACGCATTATCAGGCTTAATGCTCACCCCACTACACGTGGCAGGAGGCATACTCATCTGCATTTTAGGGAATTGGAGGAAGGAAGGAACTTGTTCAAGGTGCACCTCCAGGGAGCTGCCAAAGCAGAATCTGAGCCTGACCTTTGGATCTGAGAAACTGCACTTTAGCCACTGCCCAGTGGTAGCAGGATGACTGCCTGCCAGCCACGCTTCTGAAATGCCAACCTGTTCTTGTCACTCCTCTACTCAAGCCCTTCAAAGACTCCCTACTGCTCTTGGGATAAAATCCCATGTCTTCAGCCTGGCCTCAAGGCCCCTGCAAGCAGGTTCATGCCTGCCTCGGCCACCCCAACCTGAACATAAAATCCTGCTCTTTTCTGTCTCAGTGGGTTGAGGGCTGTTTCCTTTGCTGTATTCACTGCCCCATCAGTGTGACATCTGTGTCCAGCTGTGAAACCTTTCCTCTTTCAGGAGCCAACTCCCAGGCTTCCGTCCCATCCATGTGGGTACCTGGGCTGCTGGGTGTTGAAAATCACCAGTGCCTGTCACATGATTCCCCCATGGGACTCACTGTGAGGCCACGGGCTCCTCTTTTCCAGGTAAAATTATTTGCGGGTCACCTGGGGAAGATATCACAGACATCCCAGGAAGGTGCGAATTAAACTTCACAGAACACATAGATTTTAAGAGGAGCTGAGCGGCAGGGCATGGAGGCTCCTGCCTGTAAATCCCAGCACTTTGGGAGGCCAAGGTGGGTGGGTCACTTGAGGTCAGGAGTTTGAGACCAACCTGGCCAACATGGTGAAACCCCGTCTCTACTAAAAATACAAAAATTAGCCAGGTGTGGTGGCGCACGCCTGTAATCCCAGCTACTCCAGAGGCTGAGGCTTGCGAATCACTTGAACCCGGGAGGCGGAGGTTGCAATGAGTTGAGATTGTGCTACTGTACTCCAGCCTGGGCGATAGAGCGAGACTTCGTCTCAAAAAAAAAAGTGTCAGACTTTTAGTTATCACCACTTACCCCTCTTTTTCTCTTCCTTGGTGTCCATCCCTCCTGTAGCATTGGCGTGGTTCACTCCCAGCTGGACACCCACCTTGGACCAAGGTCCCTCAACGTTGTCTCGTGGGCTCAGCTTAGTGCTTGCTGCATAGCAGGACTCAGAATATCCAAACACGTTTCATGTGGGGTGACTCTGGCAGATCTGAAATGACAGACGGCCCCTTGGCGGGGCAGCCGCAAGTCCCAGTAATGCCAGCACTAGCTCCGAGAGGGAAAATTCATTCCTCAACCGCTTCCTGGAGACCCTTCTCCTATGAACAGAGAGTTGTGACTGCCTGCAGCTGATTAGGCCCTTTTGATCCTAAATAGCAGGGATTAGCACTCATGGTCCTTCATGGTTAAAGAGGTCACAGCTGAAGGAAGAGCTGGAGAGAGCCGCCTCTTTCCGCCTAAACTCGGCCCAGCTCCTGAATCTCGAGAGCCCGGATGGATGCTCTGCAGGTGGTGTATTTATCTGAACAAAACCTCCACCTCCCAGGCCCACCCTAGATACTTGATGGGAACCTGGAGGTGACACCTGTCATCTCAAAACGTTCCGCCCATGGCTGGGGTGGTGCTCAGATTCTGGAACTGAAGACAAGACCAGCACACATCCTCCTTTTCATCCCTATCTGCCTCTAACACCAAGGTGGTGGGTGTTTCCTGCGGGTCAGGAAGCTGCAATGTTCTTCCCAGATGTATGCATCTCTCCCCAGGACAGCTGTTCCCAATCCAGGCTGTGCACTTCAATCACAGACTCTTTAGGGTGGGGCCCATGCATCAGTGTTTATTTTTATTTATTTATTTATTTATTTATTTATTTATTGTGATCCTGTTTCTGAAAGTGCTCACAGACAGCACGGGACACAGCTGTCATTCATTATTTGTTCATTTGGCAAACATTTTCTTTTCTTTTTTTCTTTTTTTTTTTTTTTGAGATGGAGTTTCTCTCTTGTTGCCCAGGCTGGACTGCAGTGGAGAAATCTCGGCTCACTGCAACCTCTGCCTCCCAGGCTTAAGTGATTCTCCTGCCTCAGCCTCCGGAGTAGCTGGGATTACAGGCGCGTGCCACCACACCCTGCTAATTTTTTGTATTTAGTAGAGATGGGGTTTCACCATATTTGTCAGGCTGGTCTTGAACTCCTGACCTCAGGTAATCTACCCACTTCAGTCTCCCAAAATGCTGGGATTACAGGCTTGAGCCACCATGCCCGGCCCGTTTTTGTTTGTTTGTTTGTTTTTTGAGACAGATTTTGCTCTTGTTGCCCAGGCTGGAGTGCAGTGGTGTGATCTCAGCTCACTGCAACCTCTGTCTCCTGGGTTCAAGCAATTCTCCTGCCTCAGCCTTCTGAGTAGCTAAGATTACAGGCATGCACCACCACGCCCGGCTACTTTTTGTATTTTTGGTAGAGACAGGGTTTCACCATCTTGGCCAGGCTGGTCTTGAACTCCTGACCTCAGGTGGCAAACGTTTTCTGAGTGCCCCTGTCGACCAGGCACGGGGCTGGTGGCTGGGTGTTGAGAATCACCAGTGTCCATCACATGATTCTCCCATTGGACTCACTGTGAGGCCATGGGCTCCTCCTCTCCAGGTAAAATTGCCTTCCCCAGCTGGGGAAGATGTTCCACGCATCCTAGGAAGGTGTGAATTCAACCTCATGGAACACGTAGCCTTTAAGAGGAGTTGAGTGGCTGGGTGCAGTGGCTCACCCCTGTAATTTCAGCACTTTGGGAGGCTGGGGCGGCAGGATTGCTGGAGTCCAAGAGAGTTTGTGATCAGCCTGGGCAATGTAGTAAGACCCTGTCTCTACAAAATATCAAAATAAGTTAGACAGACGTGGTGGTGAATGCCTGTGTTCCCAGCTACTCAGGGGGCTGAGGTGGGAGCATCGCTTGAGCCCAGGAGGTCAAGGCTGCAGTGAGCTGTGATCGTACCACTGCACTCCAGCCTGGGCGACATAGGGAGACCCTGTCTCAAAAAATAAAAATAAAAACAAACAAAAAAAGATGAGCTGAGTGTAGGGTGGTTCGCTAGAGTTTAAAATTAAATGTCAGACTTGTAGCTATCACCACTTATCCTTCTCTTTCTCTTCTTTCTTTCTGCCTCTTTAAAGTTTCTTTTCTTTCTCTCTCTTTTTTTTTTTGGAGATAGAGTCTCACTCTGTCGCCCAGGCTGGAGTGCAGTGGCGTGATCTCAGCTCATTGCAAGCTCCGCCTCCCGGGTTCACGCCATTCTCCTGCCTCAGCCTCCCAAGTAGCTGGGACTACAGGCGCCCGCCACCTCGCCCAGCTAATTTTTTGTATTTTTAGTAGAGATGGGGTTTCACTGTGTTAACCAGGATGGTCTCGATCTCCTGACCTCGTGATCCGCCCGTCTTGGCCTCCCAAAGTGCTGGGATTACAGGCATGAGCCACTGCGCCCGGCCGTTGTTTTTTTCTTTTTGTGACTACAGAGACCATTTTAGTGTTAGCAGCATCATTTCTTATCCCATTTTCTTTCCAACAATAAAACCCTTCTTGGAGTCTCCATTTATGAAAATACCTGAAGTTCTCTATACTCTGACAGCTTAAGTCAAATATTTTAAAACTGGTCACAGGGCCAGGCATGGTGGCTCACACCTATAATACCAGCACTTTGGGAGGCCAAGGCTGGCGGATCACTTGAAGTCAGGAGTTCGAGACCAGCCTGGCCAACATGGCGAAACCCCACCTCTACTACAAATACAGAATTTAGCCGGGCATGATGGTGTGCCCCTGTAATCCCAGCTACTCAGGAGGCCGAGGCAGGAGAATCACTTGAACCCAGGAGGTGGAGGTTGCAGTGAGCCAAGATCGCGCCACGGCAATTCAGCCTGGCCGACAGAGCGAGACTTTGTCTCCAAAATAAAATAAAATAAAATAATAAAACAAATAAAACTGGTCACAGGAAAAGCAGTAAATCCATGACTGGACTTAAGACCGAACAAATAATAATTTAAAAATCTCACATCAAAGTAATAAGCAATAGTAATTCGAGCGACTCATTAGAGTTCAAGATGCCTAATCATAACGGGTAAGTATTTTAATAAGAAGAGAGGGGAAGAGGAGAAACGAAAATGTTTGTTTTTCCTTCCTTTGAGTCAGTGTTTTCTCTTTATTTGAATGTCATCATTGTGATTTTAGATGATTAGCTCCTGGAGTGAAAGTTCTGGGGCATTCTGGTTTTGATGAATGAATGTGGTCAGAACATGTACTTGGAGAGGCAGAAGCTGAAGGAAAATAAACACCCTTGTAAACAATCATTTGGTGTGTTTGAGTCGTGTCAAAAAAAACCTCCCACTCCCTTTTCTTGCTAGCACCCTACCTTGTTTTTGGGCCTATATAGAGTGCCCTTCACATAACTAACACTATCTTAGAAAATCCACTCCATTTTATATTTCTTTCTCTTTTTTTGAGACACAGTCCCGCTCTGTGGCCCAGGCTGGACCACAGTGCTATGATCTCGGCTACTTTGTTGTGAAATAGTTAGCCTATAACATTTATGTATTGGCCAGGTGCAGTGGCTCATGCCTGTAATCCCAGCACTTTGGGAGGTCGAGGTGGGTGGATCACTTGAGGTCAGGAGTTCGAGACCAGCCTGGCCAACATGGCGAAACCCTGTCTCTACTACAAATACAAAAATTAGCCGGGCATGGTGGCGGGTGCCTGTAATCCCAGCTACTTGGGAGGCTGAGGCAGGAAAATCACTTGAACCCAGGGGGTGGAGTTTGCAGTGAGCCGAAATCATACAACTGCACTCCATCTGGGCAACAGAGCAAGACTGCATCTCAAAACAAAACAAAACAGAACGAAACAAAAACATTTATGTGTAAATTAAGTACACTCTTATGCCTGGTTTATAATATTAACTTGAGAAATGGCTTGAGCCTGTGTGCCTGCAGGCTTGGCCATGATTGCGTCTCTGCACTCTAGCCTAGGTGACAGGGCGAGACTGTGTCTCTAAAAAAATTAAATAATTACAATTTAAAAAAGAATAAAAACCAAAACCCTCCAAGAATGCAACATCGAAAACAGGTAAAGGTGGAATTATTCAGGTAACAGTGAAGATGGGCAGCTTGGAGCACCGCCTCCCCTCCCCGGCACCAGACCCCCACTGAAACTCCCCCTGGGCCACCACAAAGGTCCCTACGGTGACTCTGCTAGGGTTCCATCGGGGGCATTTGGAAATCAGTGGTTTTCCCATTGCTCCCATTTTATAGCTGAAGAAGCAGTCCAAGGGAGAGGAAGGGGTTTCTCAAGATCACGGTGGGTATGGGCTAGTGGCTTGGTTTGCAACCTTCAGTCTCCAGGCGGCTGTTGCTCAAATGCAGGTGTTATATGGGGAGGTTAAGGTGCAGTGCAAACACCCTCACATGGCCGGTTCTGTGCCTGGCAGACTGTCGTCCCTAGCAGGGGGACCTGATGGACAGGTGGGCTGTGATGGGGACCAGTGCCACCAGGGCTGGTAGAAAAGGTAGCTTTTTCCTTTCCCTCACTCCATTCTCAGCGTCCTTAACGTGTGTGCACACCTGCATTTATGTCCAAACTCATAGGACAGATTGTCATCGTTTTTTTTGTTTTGTTTTGTTTTTTGTTTTTTTTGAGAGGGATTCTCACTCTGTTACCTAGGCTGGAGTGTAGTGGTGTGATCTCGGCTCACTGCAACCTCCGCCTCCGGGGTTCAAGCAATTCTCTGCCTCAGCCTCCCAAGTAGCTGGGATTACAAGTGCTCGCCACCAGGCCCAGCTAATTTTTGTATTATGATTATTACTTTTTAGTAGAGACGGGGTTTCATCATCTTCGCCAGGCTGGTCTTGAACTCCTGACCTTGTGGTCCACCCACCTCAGCCTCCCAAAGTGCCAGGATTACAGGCGTGCGCCATCGCGCCCAGCCTTTTTATTTTTATTTTTTTTTAAGAGAAAGAATCTTGCTCTATTGCCCAGGCTGGAGGCTGGAGTGCAGTGATGCAATCATAGCTCACTGCAGCCTTGACCTCTTGGGGTCAAGCAATCCTACCACCGCAGCCTCCTGAGTAGCTGGGACTACAGACACACACCACCACACCTGGCTAATTTTTGTAGACACGGGGTCTTCCTATGTTTCTCAGGCTGGTCTCGAACTCCCAGCCTCAAGTGATCCACCTGCCTCAGCCTCCCAAAGTGCTGGGATTACAGATGTGAGCCACCGTGCCCGGCCTGGGGGTTTTTAAAAGCCTAATGAGAAAGTGTTCAAAGGATGTCATTATCTTTTCCCTCCCTGGTGGAGTTAGAGCACCAGGCTGGGCTCCTGCGCAGCTCCTGCCACAAGCTAATTTAGCTGTGATTTGTAGAGAGCGTTCATGGTTTAATAAAGTGACTTTCCAGTTGCTGTGTTTATCACAACTCAAGCAAGGAGTCTCACTGGGGAAGCATCTGGTGCCGATTATTATTAAAATAAAAAACACTTTCGTGAGCTATTTTGTCAAGCTCCTTCAGAGTGACTCAACCTCCCCAATCCCGAATGGAAGAAATGAGTTGAGAAAGCTCACGGAGCGGGAGGCTGAAGCCCAGAGTGGGGCTCTGTCAGCAACGGTCTCGGTGGGGCGGGGGAGCAGGGAGGACAGGACGCTGGAGCCGACACACCGGGACCTGAGCAAGGAACTTCGCGTCTCTGGGTGGTGACTCAGGGATGATCCCACGTGCCACCTCCTTAGGCCACAGAAACAACACCACCATCATGGCTGGCGTGGACTCCTGAGCACACTGTTTGCAGAGAAGGTGGGAAATGACTTTGGTTTACTTTTGTGAGCTCTAGCAGACCACAGTAGCCCTGCCCACTGTGGTTTTTGGGTGGAGGTTCCATTCCAGCAAATAAGGACCCACAACTCTTTGGAAATCATACATTTCTTTTTTTTCTTATATCCAGCAACTACAGAAGAAAATTATAAATTAATTTCTCCCTTCCCTCCCCTCCCCTCCCGTTCCGTTCCAAGATAGGATCCCATTCTTTCACCTAGGCTGGAGTGCAGTGGTGCAATCATAGCTCACTGCAGCCTTGGCCTCCAGAGCTTATGTGATCCTCCCACCTCAGCCTCCCAAATAGCTGGGACTACAGCTGTGTGCCACCGTGCCCACCTAATTTTTTTTTTTTTTTGGTGGAGATAGATCTCACTGTGTTGCCCAGGCTGGTCTCAAACTCCTTGCCTCAAGCGATCCTCCCACTTTAGCCTCCCAAAGTCTGGGATTATAGGTATGAGCCACTGTGCCTGGCCAAAGGTATTCTTAAAGATGAAGACACTAACTCAGACCCAAGACTTATTGGAGGATGCCCAAAATGCTCAGGCCCAAAGAATATTTTCCCAAGATCTAAGTTAGAAAAATACTTGAAAGGGCAGGCGCGGTGGCTCATGCCTATAATCCCAGCACTTTGGGAGGCCGAGGCTGGCAGATCACGAGGTCAAGAGATCGAGACCATCCTGGCCAACATGGTGAAACCCTGTCTCTACTAAAAATACAAAAATTAGCTGGCATAATGGCACGTGCCTGTAGTCCCAGCTACTCAGGAGGCTAAGGCAAGAGAATCGCTTGAACCCGGAGGTGGAGGTTGCAGTGAGCTGAGATTGCACCACTGCCCTCCGGCCTGGCAACAGAGTGAGACTCCGTCTCAAAAAAAAAGAGAAAAAACTTGAAAAATAATACTAAATGTTGAAGACAGCAAGTTTTCCAGGTCCCTGAAGACCCCAAAGTTATTGTTGAAAATAAAATAAAATAAATAAAAATAGAACGTGGCCACATTGTACAAAGGTAGAATATATCTAACATATGTGATAAATGTATGATCCCTTTATCTAGAATACATCTAAAAGAGACTATTTTATCTGGAATCAATATAAAAAATTATGACCAAGTCAGGGCATAGTGGCTCATGCTGGTAATCCCAGCACTTTGGGAGGCCAAGGCAGAAGGACTGCTTGAGCCCAGGAGCTCAAGAGCAGCTGGGCAACATAGTGAGACCCCATGTCTAGAAAAAAAAATTAACACAGTGTGGTAGTACAGGCCTATAGTCCCAGCTACTCGGGAGGCTGAGGCAGGAGGATCACTTGAGCCCAGGAGTCTGAGACTCCAGTGAGCCATGATTGTGCCACTGCACTCCAGCCTAAATGATAGAGTGAGACCCATCTCAAAAAAAACATCCAAAACCAAAAAATTATGATTGGGACCTTTCATGTTCTTTTTCTTGTAGTAAGTCTTCAAAACCTGGCGTGCGTTTTACACTTACATCTCAGTTTGGACTGGCCACTTTTCAAGTGCTCAGTATCCCCATGTGGCCAGTGGCTATTGTATTCGAGCACAGAGCTCTTCAGAATCAAACACGGAAAACAGAGAAGCAGGGCATGAAGTGTCAGCAGTCAAACATAATCAAGGTGAGCAGAAAGGGAGACCCCCACTTTCCCCACCCCCACGGACAAAGGCAGAGGAGAATCCTGTAGGCCTGTGGTGGGATGGGACCTTACCACAGAGGAGGGCCAGGACTAAGGTGAGAGAAGTGAGGCACTCACCTCGGATTCACACTTCAAAGGGTGTCAAAAACTCAGCAGTCAAGATAAATAATATTTTCCTGCAGCAGGGCACAGTGGCTTATGCCTGTAATCCCAGCACTTTGGGAGGCCGAGGCAGGTGGAGGTCAGGAATTCGAGACCAGCCTGGCCAACGTGATGAAACCCTGTCTCTACTAAAAATACAAAAATTAGCTGGGTGTGGTGGTGGGTGCCTGTAATACCAGCTACTTGGGAGGCAGAGGCAGGAGAATTGCTTGAACCCAGGAGGCGGAGGCTGCAGTGAGCCAAGATTGTGCCATTGCACTCCAACCTGGGTAACAGAGTGAGACTCCATCTCAAAGTAAATTAATAAATAATATTTTAATGCAATATGCAAAAATTAAAAGAATCCACAAGGGAAAAACTATTAATATTTTAAATAAAGACAAAACCGAACCCTGCAATGTGCACCAATTCACTCCTATCTCCTCCAGTCTTGGCCCCGTTGGATCCATCTGCACAACAGTCCCATTTCTTTTCTCCCTTCCAGGCTTGTGGTTGGGTAGGATGACCCCAAACTTGGCTCTGGGGCTGAGTTTTGTGACCCAAGACTTTCCAATTAAAGTCAGCATTTGTATTAGTCATCTAATGCCATGTAAAAAGTTATCTTAAACTCAGTGGCTTAAAAGGCCAAAAACCTTCATTATCTCCTAGTTTTTGTGGGTCTGACATTTGGGAGTGGCTTAGTTGGGTAGTTCTGGCTTTGGAACCTCCCATGAGGTTGTAGTCATGTGGTTAGTCAAGCCTGTCATCGTCTGAAGGCTCAAATGGTGCTGGAGGCACCACTCCCAAGTTGGCTCCCTCATGTGGCTGGTGCTGGTACTGCTGTTAGTGGAGGCCTCAGTTCTCAGCATGGGCCTCTCCACAAGGCTGCTTGAGTATCCTTATGACATGGTGGTCATCTTTGCCCAGAGTGGTAGATCTAAGAGGACACAAGGTGGAGCTCCAATGTCCTTTCTGACTGGTCCTCAGAAGTGATGCTCCATCATTTCCGAAGCATACCCTGACCACACAGGTCAGCCGTATTCATGGAGAGAGGGAACTCCAGAGTATGAATACCAGGAAGCCAGAAAGACGAAAGACTTGGTGCCATCTTGGAAGCCAGCTATCATACTGTTTTAGTTTCAGGGGTGTGTGTGTGGCCCATGATGGTTCTAGAACCTTCTTTGAAATCCCTGGGAAAGAGGTGGTGTCCTTTACAGCAAGGCTGGTAACTGGATAGAAAACCTGCATAGCATTGACTCAAGAGAGCTTTCTCAGGCCCTCTCATGCCTTATGTATTTATTTAACATGGATTTTCTGATTATAAAAATAATATATATCATTTATAGAAATACTTGAAGATTCCTCCCAGTCTTGCCACTTAGAGAAAACCCTTGCTAACATTTTGGTATATTTCTTCTTTTCTTCTTCTTGATCTCTTGTCCATCCATGTCTGTATGACTTTCTCTCTCTTCCCACCACCCCCCACCCATCATCCTTTTTATAGCAAGACATTTAAGCTGGTCTCATTACTGCACATCTTCTGTGGCATAAAACTAAAAATAAAAACTAATGAGTCATGGTATCTTCAGGCTCTGGCTCCCCAGAAGGCTGGATAGTTGGGGGGCTTGGAGCAGCCTCGGGTGATGGCTCCTTAACAGCCACCTGGGCCGAGTCTACCTGCTTCTCCAACAGGGTGGCAGGACAGTTGTAGGTCCTTCTGCACCTGTTGGGGTCAATGTTGGAGCTCAGAGGCCCCAACTTGCATTATTATTATTCTTATTATCTGAGATGGAGTCTTGCTCTGTCGCCCAGGCTGGAGTGCAGTGGTGTGATCTCGGCTCACTGCAACCTCTGCTTCCTGGGTTCAAGCGATTCTCCAGCCTCAGCCTGCCAAGTAGCTGGGAATACAGGTGTGCGCCACTGTGTCTGGCTAATTTTTCTTTTCTTTTCTTTTCTTTTTTTTTTTTTTTTAGTAGAGATGGGATTTCACCATGTTGGCCAGGCTGGTCTTGAACTCCTGACCTCAAGTGATCTGCCTGTCTTGGCCTCCCAAAGTGCTGGGATTACAGGCTTGGGCCACCACGCCTGGCCTCCATCCTGGATTATTACGGAGGAAGTGGTATACCTATATCCAGGCCTTGGATGAGATGGCTGCGGGCCTGCCTGGGGGAGGTCTTGGGAGGGGACAACTGTGACACTGTGAGCCCCTGGGCCTGGGCCAGGCCCACCTTCCAGGAGAGTAGGTCTCTTATTCACCATTCCTTGGGGTCAGCTATAATGTGGGGACCCCTGGCACAAACCGGTTGCCTCTGATGGCAGCCAAATTGACCGAATTCCCTGACCCTGCATCTCATGAGGCTGCTTTCTCAGTTCCAACTTCCAGCAGCAGCATCCAGCCTGTGGCACGCCTCCCCCGGGGAATGGCCAAACTGACAGACAGACACACACACACACACACACACACACACACACACACACACACACACACCCCGCTTCGGGCCCTACCAGGGCAGGAATAGGCAGAAGGGGGTCCTGTCTGGCATAGGTGGAGCCTGGGGCTGCTGGTCTGGCCGGCTTTCCCCTTACCCAGCCTCTGCTCAACCCTGTGCTCCCTCCTCCTCCTCTTCCACAGTGGATGCCGAGCCACACCCTGCTCAGGCCCCACCAGCTCACGTCCTTGCCCCCGACAACCAAATCACTCACTCTCGCCCCTCCAGCTGGTCCCGGGAGCCTTGCTCACTAAGCACCATAATAGTTGTTATCATTGCTTACCATCATGGAAAGCACGACCTCAGCTCACAGCAGCCTCGACCTCCCAGGCTCAAGAGATCCTCCCACCTCAGAATCTTGAGTAGCTGGAACTCAGATGCACTAACATGCCCAGCTAATTTTTTTAAGTTTTCTTTTTTTTTTTTTTTTTTTTTTTGAGACAGAGTTTCGCTCTTGTTGCCCAGGCTGGAGTGCAGTGACGTAATCGAGGCTCACTGCAACCTCTCCCTCCTGGGTTCATGCCTCAGCATCCTGAGTAGCTGGAATTACAGGCATGTGCCGCCATGCCTGGTTAATTTTGTATTTTTAGTAGAGATGGGGTTTCACCATGTTGGTTAGGCTGGTCTCAAACTCCTGACCTCAAGTGATCCACCTGCCTCGACCTCCAAAGTGCTGGGATTACAGGTGTGAGCCACTATGCTCAGCCCTTTTTTAGTTTTTTTTTTTTTGTAGAGGTGGGGTCTTACTATGTTGCCCAGGCTAGTCTTGAACTCCTAACCTCAAACGATCCTCCCACCTCAGCCTCTCAAAGTGCTGGGATTCCAGGCATCAATCACTGTGCCCGGTGTATTTATTGCTTTTAATAACTCCATAGATGTATGAGAAGCCCTGTTTCATAGAGGAGGGAACCAAGGTTAAGTAACTTGCCCAGCTGAGCATCTAAGTGCTGGGACCCATATTGATGTCATCCTGACTCCAGTGTCAATGATCCTGTTAGATGTAACACGATGCTGCTTCCTACAGAGCCTGACCCAGCGACCACCTCCTCCAGGAAGCCCAACCCCCATCCCCGGAAGCCTGACCCCATGAGCCTGTCCTGCTGCCTCATTCCTCTGCTGCGCCTTCCTCAGTCCCATCTTCCCCTTTGGTGACCTTCATCTCCCTTCCTCTGTCTCTTTCTCCTGCATTCCTCTCTTGCCATGTTTGGTGTTAGGGGTTAACTGTGTCCCCTGCAAATTCATATGTTGAACTCCTAATCCCCAGTCCCTCAGAATATAACCTTATTTGGAAATCGGGCCTTTGAAAAGGTAATTAAGGCCGGGCGTGGTGGCTCACATCTGCAATCCCCACACTTCAGAGGCCAAGGCGGGAGGATTGCTTGAGCCCAGGAGTTCGAGACCAGCCTAGGCAACATGGCGAAACCCCATCTCTACCAAAAATACAAAAACTAGCTAGGCATGGTGGTGTACACCTGTAATCCCAGCTATTCGGGAGGCTGAGGTACAAGAACTGCTTGAACCCGGGAGGTGGAGGTTGCCGAGAGCCGACAACCTTGTTGCCTGGGTGACACTGAAAACTCCATCTCAAAATAAATAAATAAATAATAAATAAAATAAAATGAAAAAGAGGGAATTACATCCAAATGAGGTCTTTAGGGTGGGCCCCAATCCCACCTGACTGGTGTCCTTGTAAGAAGAGATTAGGACACAGACACACACAGAGGGACGGCCACGTGAGGACACAGGGAGAAGACGGCCGTCTGCCGTAACTCCAGAAGTTAGTGTCAGGCTAGGATTGAATTGCAGGAAACCCAGTTGGTGTGGGAAGACTGGAGCATTGGTTGATGTCAGAGAAGACACTACTTATTTGGTGTCAGGGAAAAAAAAATATCAGGCAGCTTCAGGAAATTAACCCCTTTGGGAAGGATATTAGGATTAGGATGTGAGAGCAGAGGGGAGATCTGGGGGCTCCAACATGCAGTGTCCACCCCAATCCCATGCCCTACTCTTCCCAGCTCTGTACCTCTGCACCCCCCAGCTCTTCCTAGAAAGGGCTGAGGCCATCTGCACTGAGTGGTGGCCTCATGGCATGTGAGGGACAGATCTGGAGATGCTGATGCTTCGTTGGTGAATTTCTTGACTCAATCTATCTCACAGCCCAGCCACAGGGCGGCCCGAGTCACCCTCTCCCTTTTGTTGCTGATGAGTTTCTGATGCAAACTCTACTGAATGTGTCTCACGTGGCACATATTTGGAAACTGGCTTTTTTCTGTTGCTCATTTAAAGCAGAATGAAGCCTTTCTTGGAATACAGGTTGCAATTATTAACTCACAGCCAAGGAAACATGGCCAAGATCTCGAGTTTGCAAGGAGCTAGGAGCTAAGCTATTAATTTGGAGTCTAGCATATCGAGGCTTGTGGTGACCCCACTGCTCCGTTCCTGCCATAAGACCCCATTCCTGCTCAAGTGGAGATCCATTTTTCATCCAAATAAATTCTCGGCTCCATCAGAATAGTAATATAACCGCCCCCACCCCCAATCTCAGCATGAGTTCTGGCCAGGAAAAGCAAAGAAATTTCTGCTCTCAAATTCTTCCCTTGAGCTAAGTAGACTAGCATTCATCAGGAAGCACACAGAATTTGTTTCCTTAAAAAAATTGGTTTGCTTTCCTTCTTGTTCATTTGCAGAAATAAGTTGGCTGCTAAAGGAGACAGGAAAGAACGAGGGAGAAGAAAAAAGGAAGGAAGGAGGGGAGGAAGAAGAGAGGGGAGGGAAGGAGAGAAGGAGAGGAAGGAGGGAGGGAGGGAAGAAGGAAGGGAAGGAGGAGCAGAAAAAAATGGGAGGGAGGGAAAGAAGAAGGGGAGGGAGAGGGGAGGAAGGAAAGAGGGAGGAAAGGAAGGAGGGAGGAAGGAAACAAGAATCTGGAAGAGGCAGAACTGTAGGAGTAGCAGAGAACATGTCTTCGGTTGCCAGAGTGGGTGCACGAAAGGAGTTGACTACAGAAGGGTCACAAGGGTCCCCTCTCTTGACTGTGATTGTTATATGACTGTATGTGTTTGTTAAAACTCATAGAAATGGCAGGGCGTGGTGGCTTATGCCTGTAATCCCAGCACTTTGGGAGGCTGAGGCGGGTGGATCATTTGAGGTCAGGAGTTCGAGACCAGTCTGGCCAACATGGCGAAACCCCGTCTCTACTAAAAATACAAAAATTAGCTGGGCGTGGTGGTGGGCGCCTGTAATCCCAGCTACTCGGGTGGCTGAAGCAAGAGAATCACTTGAGCCTGGCAGGCGGAGGTTGCAGTGAGCTGAGATTGTACCACTGCACTTCAGCCTGGGCAACAGAGTGAGACTCTGTCAAAAAAACAAACAAACAAAAAAACCACCTTGTAGAAATGGACAAGAAAATATTTTTTTTTAATTTTAATTTTAATTATTTATTTTTTTAAGAGTCAGGATCTCGCTCTGTCATCCAGGCTGGAGTGCAGTGGCACAATCATAGCTCACTGCAGTCTCAACCTCCTGGGTTCAAGCGATCTTCCTGCCTCAGCCTCCCAAGTAGCTGGGATCACAGACACATGCCACACACCCAGCTAATTTTTAAAATTATTTTTGTAGAGATGGGGGTCTCGCTATGTTGCCCAGGCTGGTCTCAAACTCCTGGGCTCAAAGAATCCTCCTACCTCAGCCTCCCAAAGTGCTGGGATTACAGGCAAGAGCCACCATGCCCAGCCTCCAGGAGTGAATTTTATGGTATGTAAATTATGCTCCAATAAATCTGACTCCCAAAAAAGGAAAAGAAAGCAGGAAGAGAGGGAAAAGGAGAGAGAGGAGAGACAGACAGACAGAGAGAGAGAGGCAGAGAAAGGATGAGAGAGAAAAAAAGAGAGGGAGATTGAAAATCCTTTTAAAAGCCAGTGCAAGGGTGGCAGTCAACAAACTGAAGCTCTTCAAATCATCACAGTCTTAAATTGCAGGCAGACAGGAAGACAGAGACAACAGGTACATTCATGATCTGACCAGGGCTAGCACTCCCTAAAGGGTGGGGAGGTGGGGGTAGCCTCCAGGAGAGATGCAGGGGTCAGGGACATTGTTCCTGGGAGATAGGGGGAGTGTGTGCTCCCCCACTCTTTGGTCCCTGTCCTCCCCACTCCTGAAGACGTTTCTGACACAGTGCACCAAGGAGGCGGAGTTCTGGAGAATGAATGTCAAGGAGGCGGGGTTCTGGGAGGTGAATGTCAAGGAGGCGGAGTTCTGGGAGGTGAATGTTGAGGGCATGGAGTTCTGGGAGGTGAATGTCAAGGACGTGGAGTTCTAGGAGGTGAATGTCAAGGAGGCGGAGTTCTGGAAGGTGAATGTCAAGGAACTCTTAGAAATCCGAGTGCCCCCCACCCCATATTCAAATGATGACATGGCAGGAGTGGGCTGGGGGTTGTTCAGGGCAGACAGTGTCAAGGACTGCAGCCCAAAGGCCACCAGACCCTGAATTTCTTTCCCTCTTGCTGCATCCAGGGCTTGGATTTCCATTCCAGCAGGGTGGGAGTTGTCGTCCTGCCTGCACCTGCCTCCCCATGGTGAGGGCCCTGAGGACAGGAGACCCACTGTACTGTCCTGGCCCAGTGTTTAAGCCCATTGCTGATACATGGGTTGTGGAAGTTTAGTATGTGTAAAATTATATCAAACTTTTAAAGAAGTTATATTATAGCAGAATTACATCAAGATTTGAGGGTAAGAGTGTGTTAGTCCATTCTCACATTGCTATAAGAAAATACCTGAGGCTGGGTAATTTATGAAGGAAAGAGGTTTAATCAACTCAAAGTTCTGCATGGCTGGGGAGGCCTCAAGAAACTTACAATCATGATGGAAGTTGAAGGGGAAGCAGGTGCCTTCTTCACAGGGTGGCAGGAGGGAGAAGTACAAGCAAGGGAAATGCCAGAGGCTTATAAAACCATCAGATCTGGCCAGGTGTGGTGACTCATGCCTGTAATCCTGGCACTTTGGGAGGCCAAGGCGGGCGGATCACTTGAGGTCAGGAGTTCGAGACCAGCCTGGCCAACATGGTAAAACCCTGTTTCTACTAAAAATACAAAAATTAGCGGGGCATGGTGGCAGGTGCCTGTAATCTCAGCTACTTGTGAGGCTGAGGTGGGAGAATCACTTGAACCCAGGAGGCAGAAGTTGCAGTGAGCTGAGATCAAGCCATTGCACTCCAGCCTGGGCGTC
Source organism: Homo sapiens (assembly GCF_000001405.40). NCBI lineage: Eukaryota > Metazoa > Chordata > Mammalia > Primates > Hominidae > Homo > Homo sapiens. The sequence continues at coordinate 98,726,361 of NC_000007.14, read as the reverse complement.
GCAGCAATACTCTGTCTCAAAAAAACCCAAAACAAAACAGAAAAGAACAGCCATCAGATCTTGTGAGAACTCACTCACTATCGTAAGAGCAGCACGGGGGAAATGTGCCCCCAGGATCCAATCACTTCTTACTGAGTCCCTCCCATGACACGTGGGGATTATGGGAACTACAATTCAAGATGAGACTTCGGTGAGGACACAGCCAAACCATATCAGAGTGCATCTGGTTATAGATTATAGCGATACAATTACTTTTTATTTTTTGTAAACAGGGTCTTGCTGTCTCCTACGCTGGAGTGCAGTGGTGTGATCATGGCTCGCTGCAGCCTCAACTTCCTGGGTGATCCCCCCACCTCACCCTTGCAAGTAGCTGGGACTACAGCTATGCACCACCATGCCTGGCTAACTAAAAAAAATTATTTTTTAGAGACTGGGTCTTGCTATGTTGTGCAGGCTGATTTCAAACTCCTGACCTCAAGTGATCCTCCTGCCTTTGGTGCCTGGCTCAGGGCCTGGCACACAGATAGTGAAAACCCACGAATGCTCCATTTCCTACCTGTTTGAGGAGTGAAGAAATGAATGCACAAATAAGGTAACCAATACCTGATGTGGATTTCAGCTCTACTGATGGAAATCTCTGGCTAAAGTTTGTTGGAAATCCCTTGAAAACTTGAGCAAAGTGACAGCTGGCACCATGAAAGCAAAGTCCGTGGGGCCTCCCTGTTTTTGGTTGTTAGCTTGAGTGTGGCGTAGTTAGAGCCTTCATGGGCTTCCTGGCCAATGACCCCCCCCACTGTCAGCATCATTGAGGCATGAGCCACAGCCACCAGTGCATTGACCTACGCTGGTCCTTGGAGATATCCACTGGGCAGGCCCTGGGGACAGAGCAGAGAGAAGACCAGGCAAGGCCTTCCCAGGGAGCTGATGTCCTCTTCGTGCCAGGCTGTTGCCCAACAAGCACTCCGTTAAGTGCTTCAGGCTAAGCTCTGGGAGCCCCTGGCGTCACTCATTTTAGCTGGGACACAAGAAGACTCCAAGAGATTCAGTCTCCCGGAACAGATCCATCTGAGAAGGCAGCTGCAATCAAGATTTTCCTTGGCAGCTTTGGTTTCCTTCCAAGAATTCTGTTCTCCCATTTCACAGAACAAATAAAGTAAAAACTGTCCTTGTTGGCTGGGTGCCGTAGTTCACGCCTGTAATCCCAGCATTTGGGAGGCCGAGGTGGGCAGATCGTCTGAGGTCAGGAGTTCAAGACCAGCTGGTCAACATGGTGGAACCCTGTCTCTACTAAAAATACAAAAATTAGTCAGCTGTACTGGTGCATGCCTATAGTCCCAGCTATTCAGGAGGCTGAGGTGGGAGGATCACTTGAGCCTAGGAGGCAGAGGCTGCGTTAAGCTGAGATTGTGTCACTGCACGCCAGCCCGAGTGACAGAGCCAGACCCTGTCTGAAGAACAAAAAACAAAAAGAAAAACTGTTTTTGACCACAGCCAGAAGCCTACTGCTTTGCAGAGGGCTAGAGCCTTTGCAATGCATAGTCAGAGCCTTGGTAGGTTTCCTGGCTAGCGATCACCACCGTCAGCACCACTGGGACCTGAGTCACAGGCTAGTTAAACTGATGTTGCAGTTCAGGCCTTTGGAATGATGAGAGAATACATTTCTGTTGTTTTCAGGCACCAGGTTAGTGGTCCTTTGTGAGGGCAGGTTTAGCAAACGAATACAGGTAGGTAGTTTTATACCCACTCACCTACTCTGGTCCTTGGAGATGACCACTGGGCAGGCCCTAGGGACAGAGCAGAGAGACCAGCAAGGCCTGCCCCTGGGAGCTGATGTCCTCCTGGGACAAGGTCATAATTCAGCCAGGTGTCTCCAACACTGAGCTTTCCGTACCATTAAAACAAGACCAATGGAAGTTTTCTTGATGATAGGTCATTATGTGAATCTGGGCACCTAACTCTGAAAGACTGCAAATACTTGAGGGGTGCTGCTCTAACAAAACCCCTTCCATGTGCCCATCTACTTATTTCATGAATGGTATCTTTTTAATGCTTGCATTAAAAAATAGACAGAGGCCGGGTGCAGTGGCTCACGTCTGTAATCCCAGCACTTTGGGAGGCCGAGGCAGGCAGATCACTTGAGGTCAGGAGTTCGAGACCCGCCTGGCCAACATGGTGAAACCCCGTCTCTACTAAAAATACAAAAATTATTTGGGCATGGTGGTGTGCACCTGTAATTCCAGCTACTTGGGAGGCTGAGTCAGGAGAATCGCTTGAACCCAGAGGTGGAGGTTGCAGTGAGCCAAGATCGCACCACTGCACTCCAGCCTGGGTGACAGGGCGAGGCTCCGTCTCAATAAAATAAAATAAAAATAAAAATAAAGAGAGGAAAACTGCTGCTGAATTTGAGTTCATTGAGGAGAGAGACACTCAACTACGGATTCATGGAATCAGTGCGGAAAAACAGACACCCCCATCGATCTCATTAAAAGATGCAAGTCTCACAAAAGTTTATGTTTGTGCTTAATAATTATTTACAAAAATGTATAATGAGTTGGTTTTGATAAATTGAGTACTCATGATTGTATTGTTAGCTCAAACAAGAAGAATTTAACTCTAGAGCTTTCTTGTCACAGGTAATTAAAAAATGTAATTTTAACTGATATATTTTTTTGTTGAGAGAGTTATAATAGGGCGATTAATAAAATACTTTCAAGCATAAAAATAGATTGAGTTAGAATATAGTTCTGTGGGGGAAATGGAATGGAACTATGAGCTCAAGGAGAGCAACGAAAATTACAAAATTCTTGACTATTAAAAAGGAGCTTGTCTGGGTATCTTCTAAGCAAATGATGATGGATATCAAATTACTGTGGTATGTAGATTTCAATGGATATGTTTAAGAGAGCGATATGACAGTTTTATTTTTTAAGTGTCAATATTTACACCAGAAATATTGTCCTTTGCAACCATTTACACTGAGGAAAAGTTTTAGATGCCAATTAAAAAAGTTAGAAGATAGAAAGTATTTCAGATTCTTTGCGGTGGTGGAGGAGGGCATGTAATCAAACAATAACAATAACATGAGACAAAGCAATAAATAGAATAACTCACGTTTACTTATTTTTGCGCTCGGTATAGTTTTATAAAGATCCTTGGTTTGTGGCCAGGCACGGTGGCTCCTGCCTGTAATCCCAGCACTTTGGGAGGCCAAGGCGGGCAGATCACCTGAGGTCAGGAGTTCTAGACCAACCTGGCCAACATGGTGAAACCCCGTCTGTACTAAAAATACAAAAATTAGCTGGGCGTGGTGGTGGGCGCCTGTAATCCCAGCCTCTCAGGAGGCTGAGGTGGAAGAATCGCTTGAACTTGGGAGGTGGAGGTTGTGGTGAGCCGAAATTATGCCACTGCACTCCAGCCTGGGAGACAGAGTGAGACTCTGTCTCAAAAAAAAAAAAAAAAAAAAAAAATCCTTGGTTTGTGACAACATATAACTTTTTGGAAAGAAAAAAGAGTCTTCCTAACTATATAAAATAATCAACATTAATCTTATAAATACAACCAGTAATTCATGACCAAATAAAACACATGGGAGATGAAGTAACAAACAAAAGAAGCCATGTTTGTTCATTTCTGTTCGTAGCAGAATTTCACACGGCCCCTGACTCTGGGACAACGTGTAGTTCTCCAGAAAGATGACACTTTGAAGACAAAACAGGACAGAGTACATGGTCCCTGATGTCTCTTGCCTGAGTCACTACATTCCTTAAAAGATAAATGACCCTGATCCTTGCCTTTTCCTATAAATAATATCTGACAAAATTAGTAATGTAGTGGCTGGGCGTGGTGGCTCATGCCTGCAAATCCCAGCACTTTGGGAGGCCAAGGTGAGAGGATTGCTTGAGGCTAGGAGTTCCAGGCCAGCCTGGGCAACATAGTGAGACCCCACCTTTACAAAAAAGAATTTAAAAATAAACTGGGCGTGGTGGTGCATGCCTGATAGTCCCAGCTACTTGGGAGGCTGAGGCGGGCAGATCACTTGAGGTCAGGTGTTCAAGACCAGCCTGGCTAACATGATGAAACCCTGTCTCTACTAAAAATACAAAAATTAGCTGATTGTGATGGTGGGCATCTGTAATCCTAGCTACTCGGGAGGCTGAAGCAGGAGAATCGCTTGAACCCTGGAGGCGGAGGTTGCAGTGAGCCGAGATCGTGCCACTGCACTCCAACCTGGGTGACAGTGCAAAAATCTGTCTAAAAAAAAAAATTGGAGCGGGAATTGGGGGGTGTAAGGCAGGGAAGATGGGGATGACTGTTTGCCGAATGGTTCCTTGCAGATGAGAAGCATGGATACCCTGGCAGGAGGGAGGAAGAGGGAAAGCTGCAAGTCACACCTGTCACATGTACATGGCACTTTCAGCTTGGAGCAGACACCCTGCCGCCTCTGCTTGTATCAGGCTGCTCTAATAGCAGGTGCACACAGCAAGGACAAAGTCCCCACCATGGCTGTGTCAGCTGCAAAAGGCTTATGTTTTGCACTGGGACACTGTTGGGGAATATGTAATCAATTTCAGGGACATCTCCATAAAGATCCAACACGTAGACATTTAAAAAGGCAAGCTTCAGGGTTTCTGAAAAAATGTACTCCAGTGAATTCCAGCAGCAAGCTTGGTGTGAATGCTTACTGTGGGGCAGGCACTGGGTATCTGTATAAGATGGACCTTCTGGCTCCAGGGGCTGTGGAGAACAGGCTCCACTGGACAGGGGTCAGGCTTCCAGCCTTAGAGGTCATGAGACAAGCATGTGGAAGGAGGTGTTGGGGGAAGTTCAGAGCATGGTTTCAGGTCCAAGCTAACGTATCAGATACCAATTCCCTGGCCTCCTGGGACAACGGGGACAATATTGCTTTCCAGGCACCAGGCACAGTGATACGATTTGGCTGTGTCCCCACCCAAATCTCATCTTGAATTGCAGCTCCCATAATTCCCACATGTTGTGGGAGGGACCGGCTGGGAGATAATTGAATCATGGGGATGGTTTCCACCATACTGGTAGTGAATATGTCTCATGAGATCTGATGTTTTTTATTGTTTTTTTGAGTTGGAGTCTTGCTCTTGTTGCCCAGGCTGGAGTGCAGTGGCTCAATCTCAGCTCACTGCAACCTCTGCCTCCTGGGTTCAAGTGAGTCTCCACCCTCAGCCTCCCTAGTAGCTGGGATTACAGGTGCCCACCACCACACCCGGTTAATTTTTGTATTTTTAGTAGACACAGGGTTTCACCATGTTGGCCAGCCTGGTCTCGAACTCCTGACCTCAGGTGATCTGCCTGCCTTGGTCTCCCAAAGTGCTGGGATTACAGGTGTGAGCCACCATGCCCGATCTGATGGTTTTATAAGAGTTTTCCCTTTTCGCTTGGCTCTTATTCTGTCTGGCCTGCCACCATGTAAGACGTGCCTTTCACCTTCTGCCATGATTGTGGAGACTCCCCAGCCATATGGAACTGTGAGTGCATTAAACCTCGTCTTCTTTATCAATTACCCGGTCTCGGGTACGTCTTTATCAGCAGCATGAAAACGAACTAATACACGCAGTGTCTGAGAACTTTACATATATTCCCTCAAGGAATCCTCTCTGCTATTTTATGGGGTCATGTAGTAGGCTGATAGGGTGGCTGCCCAAGGTCCTAATCCCTTGAACCTGTAAATGTCTCTTCATAAGGAAAAAGAGGTTTTGCAAATGCGATTAAGTGAAAGATATTGAGATGGGGGAATTATCTTGAAAGCACGTGCATCTGGTACTTTCAGCTTGGAGCAGACACCTCACCACCTTTGTACCTCTTAGGCTGGTCCAATGACAGCCAGGTGGGCCTTAAATACAATTATAACTGTCCTTATAAGTAGGAGACGGAGGGAGATTTGACACAGGCAGAAGAGGTGGCGACGTGAAGTCAGAAGCAGAGATTAGCCAAGGTATACCAGCCCCTGGAAGCTGAAAAGGCAAGGTACTTGTTGTCCCCAGAGCCCCACACACCCGGAGGAGGTGTGGTCCTGCCAACACTTTGATTTCAAGCCAATGAAATGGATCTTGCACTTTGGGCCTTTGGAATGATGAGAGAATACATTTCTGTTGCTTTCAGCCACCAAGTTAGTAGTCCTTTGTGAGGGCGGGCTTAGCAAATGAATACAGGTAGGTAGTTTTATATCCATTTTACAGACAGGGAAACTGAGGCTCAGGAAGGCTAAGTGTCAAGGCTGATGTTTCTCCCCTCCACCAGGGTACTTCTGGGTTCAGGTTCCTTCTGAAGCAGCTGTCCTGACTCACAGTGTGGGGTCTGCAGGCCCCACCAGGCACCCACCACCTGGTTCCATGTCTAGTCCCAGGAGGGGCTCCTGGTGCCCGGGCTGCCCCTGCTCTGAGATGCAGCCATGGGCACTTGGGATAGGCCAGCATTAGAGGACCGTTGGGACCTCAGGAGGTGCCCAGAACTCAGGACTCCCACAGGGGCAGAGTCAGTGGGGTGTGGCCCCTGCACTCCAGGGTCCCTGGACCAGGCTGGAGCTGCTGGCACCAAAAGTCTGGAACTTCAGGGTATGTCTTTGAACATTCAAGGAAAGCCCTTTTATCACACGCAATACAAAAATCTGGACTCCCAGGGACCCAGGTAAGGTTGGCCTAATGAATTGAACAGACAAATAGGTCCCTAGGGAGCACTGGCTCCTCAGGCCAGAGCATCAGTGGCTTTTGGCTTCAGCACATCCTGTAAATCGAGCCTGCGGGGGGAACGACATGTCTCGACCTATTAGTCATTCTCCACAGCAACGGCTTCAATAAATGCAATACTCATGATAATCCACACCTTCAAGAATCAGGAAAACTATTTTAATTAGCAAAGCCGTGGTCTCCAGGGGAGTCATTGGGCTCTGCGATGACACAGAGGGGTTGAAGGGAAGTAAAGAACAGTCAAATGCAAAGGTTTGGAATGGGTGCATTAAAAAGTGGCTGACAGGGCTGGGCTTGGTGGCTTACGCCTGTAATCCTAGCATTTTGGGAGGCTGAGGCAGGTGGATCACCTGAGGCCAGGAGTTCGAGACCAGCCTGGCCAACATGGCGAAACTCTATCTCTACTAAAAATACAAAAATCAGCTGGGTGTGGTGGTGGGCACCTGTAGTCCCATCTACTCAGGAGGCTGAGGCAGGAGGATTGTTTGAACCCAGGAGGCAGAGGTTGCAGTGAGCCAAAACTGTGCCACTACACTCTAGCCTGGGCAACAGAGTGAGACTCTGTCTCAAAAAAAAAAAAAAAAAAAGTGGCTGAGATATCTGGACAGCTGCTGGCACAGGGACCCCAGTGGGGCCAGCAGCATTCTAGAACAATGATCTTCAAGATGGGTGTATCAAGGTCCCCAAGCTGGCTGTATATATATTGGTATTTAATAAACATAAAATATTACACATCTTTTTTTTTCCTGGAAAAAAACTCACTTTTTTTTTTTGCAGAAAAAAAAATCTGTTGATCAGAGATTTTAGCTACCCAACGAAAACATTAACTTCTGAATTGGATTAAAAAGTCATTGTAGGATGGGCGCAGTGGCTCATACCTGTAATCCCAGCACTTTGAGAGGCTGAGATGGGAGGATCATTTGAGATCACTTGAGACAGCCTGGGCAACACAGCAAGACCCCATCTCTACAAAAAATAAAAAATTAGCTGGGTGTGGTGGAGCACAGCTAAGTCCCAGCTACTCAGGAGGCTGAGGTGGGAGGATCACTTGACTCCAGAAGGTTAAGGCTTCAGTGAACTATGGTTGTACCATTGCACTATAGCCTGAGCAGCAGAGTGAGATTCTGTCTCAAAAAAATTCTTTTAAATTAAAAAAAAAAGTTAATACTAGTCTGTGGCTTTCGCTGTATCTTAAATTGCTTCTTTCAAAAAAGTTTTACTATGGAAAATTTCAAATCTAAACATAAATGGAGAAGGTGAACCACTATATATTCGCCTCCTGGCTTCCATAAGTACCCAATTCAAGGCCAGTCTTACTAGGACTCTGCCCAGACTACGCTCCCTCCTCCTGCCCAACCTGGATTGTTTCGAAGTGTGATCCAAAACACCAGCCCGGGTGCAGTGGCTCACGCCTGTAATCCCAGCACTTTGGGAGGCCGAGGCAGGTGGATCACCTGAGGTCAGGAGTTCGAGGCCAGCCTGACCAACATGGTGAAACCCCATCTCTACTAAAAATACAAAAAATTTGCTGGGCGTGGTGGCAGGCACCTGTAACCCCAGCTACTCGGGAGGCTGAGGCATGAGAATTACTTGAACTCAGGAGGCGGAGGTTGCGGTGAGCTGAGATCACACCCTTGCACTCCAGCCTGGGTGACAGAGAGAGACTCCGTCTCAATAAAATAAAATAAAATAAAATAAATAAAAAATAAAACAACAGATCAGTAGGATGGCTAAATCACAGGAAAAAAAGCTTTACTGGTGATATCAGTTGGCAAACCGGAAGAGACAGTCTTTGCATGTGCTAAAGGTGCCCTCCTTCGAGAAGTGAAAGGACAGGTTGGGATTTATGCCTCATAGGTTCCTCATTAGACAATAGAGTCATGCATATTCAGGAGGTTTGTGGGGGAAGCTACACATATTTATGAGAGGAGCTGAATGCATGGACATTGGGTAAGCATATATGTCACATACATCCGGTGCTCACTTTGGGGCAGGGTTTTGGCATTAAATTGAGGTGGCATTTGGCTTTTTACAGCAGTAGGTAAACTATGGGACTCAAAGAAAATTTGTGAGCAATCTCTATGAGCGCTGAAACTGGCTTAAGTTCTGCAGTTGCTTATTAGGAAAGTATGTTTGTTAAGGCTGGTCCTTTGTCCAATCAGAATTGCAGTGGTCTGAGTTGTAAATCAGAGGTAGGCTGGGCACAGTGGTTCACGTCTGTAATCTCAGCACTTTGGGAGGCTGAGGTGGGAGGACTGCTTGAACTCAGGAGTCTGTGAACAGCCTGGACAACATAGCAAGACTTTGTCTTTACAAAAAAATAAAACAAAAAAAGGCCGAGTGCAGTGGCTTATGCCTCTAATTCCAGCACTTTGGGAGGCTGAGATGGACGGATCACCTGAGGTCAGGAGTTTGAGACCAGCCTGGCCAACATGGTGAAACCCTGTCTCTACTAAACATACAAAAATTAGCCAGGTGTGGTTGTGCACACCTGTAGTCCCAGCTACTCGGGAGGCTGAGGAAGGGAATCGCTTGAACCCAGGAGGCAGAACCCAGGAGGCAGAGGTTGAAGTGAGCCGAGATCGTGCCACTGCACTCCAGCCTGGGCAACAGAATGAGACTCCATCTCAAAAAATAAAATAAATAAAAAACATAAAAAGAGTTAGAAGGGGTCTGATAGCTCCTATTGTCAGGAAGTTTAGCAAGTGTGGTTTTTCTTGCAGCTATAGGAATTTAGAAATTTGCCATGTCAGCCAGGCCCTGAACGCTTGACCTGTAGGTAATTGAGTTTTGTTAGAGTCCATCTAAGTTAATCCAGAGGCATCTATTTTGGTCTCTCTGATGACAAAAGTAAATCCTAGACATCATCTTTCATCTGTAAGCATTTCAGTGAATATCTTTAAAAGATAAGGACATGTTTTTCCAAAAAAACCCCACATAACCACTATTTTATTATCACACCTAAAAAATGAGCTCTAAGCCCTTGATCTCTTCAAATATCCTCTGTTCTAATTTCCCCACTTCCCCAATTGTCTTATAATTGTACATATTTTTATATTTTTTTACACTTTGAATCCAAATAAAGTCCACACATTGCAATTGGATCATACCTATGTCTCTTTTATTCTGGGAGATTTTCCCTCCCGCACTCTCCGTCTTTATTTTTCCCACTCCGTTTGTGATTTATTCATCAAAGAAACTAGGTTGTTGATTCTGTTGGGTTTCCCACTGCCTGGATTTTGCTGCTTGCAGCCCTGAGATGTCCTGAAATGTATTTCTCTGTCCTCTGCATTTCATCTTTTATATTTATATATATATATTTATATTTATATATTTATATATAATATATAATTTTTATATATATATATAAAACTTTAAGTTTTAGGGTACATGTGCACAACATGCAGGTTTGTAACATATATATATACATGTGCCATGTTGGTGTGCTGCACCCATCAACTCGTCATTTACATTAGGTATATCTCCTAATGCTATCCCTCCCCCTCCCCCCACCCCACAACAGTCCCCAGTGTGTGATGTTCCCCTTCCTGTGTCCACGTGTTCTCATTGTTCAATTCCCACCTATGAGTGAGAACATGCAGTGTTTGGTTTTTTCTTCTTGCGATAGTTTGCTGAAATGATGGTTTCCAGCTTCATCCATGTCCCTACAAAGGACATGAACTCATCATTTTTTATGGCTGCATAGTATTCCATGGTGTATATGTGCCACATTTTCTTAATCCAGTCTATCATTGTTGGACATCTGGGCTGGTTCCAAGTCTTTGCTATTGTGAATAGTGCCGCAATAAACATACGTGTGCATGTGTCTTTATAGCAGCATGATTTATAGTCCTTTGGGTATATACCCAGTAATGGGATGGCTGGGTCAAATGGTATTTCTAGTTCTAGATCCCTGAGGAATTGCCACACCGACTTCCACAATGGTTGAACTAGTTTACAGTCCCACCAACAGTGTAAAAGTGTTCCTATTTCTCCACATCCTCTCCAGCACCTGTTGTTTCCAGATTTTTTAATGATCGCCATTCTAACTGGTGTGAGATGGTATCTCATTGTGGTTTTGATTTGCATTTCTCTGCATTTAATCTAATCGGGAAAGTCTGAAGACCTGTCAGGTTCAGGCGGGGTTTTCGGCAAGACCACTTCATGGATGATGGTGTGTCCTCCCTTGGGGACATATTATGTCTGATGGTCCCTTTCTTAGATCATATCACTGCTGAATTTGCAATATGATGACACCCTAAATCTGTGATTTCTCCTGTGTTTATGAGCTGAAAGAATTCTGCAAAGAGAGAATGCTCCCAACATTTATTCAAAAAAGGCAGGATGAATGTTCCATCTCACAGTCTGTCCCTTTTTTTTTTTCTTTACAAACCAGTTTTCAAAATCATGAGTTGTTTCAAGCCATTGCAATTGTTATTCTTTATCGATACTCAGATTTTCCTCTCTAAAACAAGGCAGGCTTTTGGCCAGGCATGGTGGCTTACACCTGTGATCCCAGCAGTTTGGGAGGCTGAGGCAGGTGATCACTAGAGGTCAGGAGTTCGAGAACAGCCTGGCCAATATGGTGAAACCCCATCTCTACTAAAAATACAAAATTAGACGAGTGTGGTGGCGAACACCTGTAGTCCCACCTACTCTAGAGGCTGAGGCAGGAGAATTGCTTGAACCCGGGAGGTAGAGTTTGCAGTGAGCCAAGATCGTGCCACAGCACTCCAGCCTGGGTGACAGAGTGAGATTTCATCTCAAAAGAAAAAAAAAAGAAGGCAGGTTTTTCATGAGGATCTTGAAAAAGGCACCAACCAAAGGCACTGGCCAGGATGCATTTAGTGGAAAAACCCCTTGATACTGGGTTTCCATTCTTCACAAGAAGTATTCACTTTTTTTTTTTTTTGAGACAGGGTCTTGCTCTGTCACCCAGGCTGGATCACCCAGGTGATCATAGCTCACTGCAGCCTCGAAAACCGAGGTTCAATCAATCCTCCCACCCCAGCCTCCAGGGTAGCTGGGATCACGGGCACACACCACCATGCCCAGCTAATTTTTTAATTTTTTTATGGAGATGGGGTCTTGCTATGTTGCCCAGGCTGGTCTTGAACTCCTGGGCTGAAACGATCCTCCCACCTCAGCCTCCCAAATCACTGGGATTACAGGCATGAGCCACCACACCCGGCCAGATGTAATACTTGAAACGTCAGCCTGACCTAACTAATTATTAATGTGTTAAACACCCTCAAGGGAGAATTCGGAAAGGCTGTTATACCTCGAATGGTTGATCCTAGTTTTGAATCAGCCTCAGAGTAAAGCAACTCACTTTTTATACTATAATTACCCTGCTGTGTGAAATTCAGTAATTTGCATGAATAACTTTCTAACAAGAAAAAGGAGTGGGGATTGTATGATTTTAAAAGCCATGTTAGTTTATTACACGCTAAGCTTGAATGGTGTATATTCTATGTATGCTAAGCTTGTTCCAGAAAAGCCGTGATGCTCTAGTTTAAAAGCCAGTTGACTGGTTCTTCCTTAAACTGCCACACAAAACTGTGCTTGGATTTGGTATTCAAATGATATCTTTGTAGTGAAAATGATCACTAACGTAATATGTAACTCTAACATGAAACCTGATTTTATTGCGTTACAGTTCTGATTTTATTAGAACTGGATCATTTTGCCAAAACGGTATACTTTGGTGAAAGGGTCCAAACGTCTCTGTAATTCGAAATGCTGTATTATGGGCTGGTTCTGTTATTTTTGTAATTCGATTCTAAGTAGAACACAAAAGTCATTTCCTGAATTTTGAAATACTATAAATTTAAACTGAGAAACAGCTGTTCATATCTTTAATGCATTCTCTTTGCCATCTGACAAAATCGTGCCTCAGTAATTGCTATAACACTGATCATTTAATTTAAATACAGTACTTAACCACATTTTCCTTTTTGAAATAGGTGGGACCGCATGAAATCTTTCTTTGTACATGATATGACTAATTTCCTGCCTTGATTTGAAACAGAAATCCCAGCTATTAATAATCTGGTGACATGGAAAATAAATCTCTAGCCACTAAGTGAAATTGCCCTAAAGCTTTTCTTATGGGAAATTCTTCCTTTTGATGTCCAAGGGTCAGGTGGATTCTACAAGATATAACCTACTAAAAAGCATTTCGTTTCACAGCAGAACACCATTTGCTATTAAACTGTATTTCTGACACAATTATTTCTGTAATTTTGATGTGGTATCTAGAGTATTTTGCTAAAAGGAAATTATCCCTTTCCTTTAATTTGCAATGCTTAATGTAAGCAATAAACTTCTACTCCAGTTTATTATGGGATGGCTAATGGGTGCTCTGAGCCACTAAGACGGATGATCACTCAACTCTGTGAAAATTAGTCTTTTCCTGCTTAAAATATTGTTTGGTTTGACTTTTTTAAGACGTTTGAAAAAGAAGCTCAAATCGACTAAGGCTTGTGATTCTTTTTTGTAACTGTTATGACATTTCAGCTAGATGCAAAATTCCTACTTGGTTACAGTTGATGTAAGATTGTCTGGTTGATGTTCTCTGTGCTAAGCTTGTTCCAGAAAAGGTGTGATGCTCTAATGGCAGTATATTTCTAAAACTTCCTGTATTGTGTTGAATTCTCAAACGTGGTAAGCGGCAAATTGCATATATACTTTTTATTTTGAAACACAGTCAACTTTTCTTCTTCTTCTTCTTCTTTTTTTTTTTTTTTTTTTTTTGAGATGGAGTCTCGCTCTGTCGCCCAGGCTGGAGTGCAGTGGCATGATCTCGGCTCACTGCAACCTCCGCCTCCCAGGTTCAAGTGATTCTTCTGCTCTCAGCCTCCCGAGTAGCTGGGAATACAAGTGTGTGCCACCAAGCCCAACTAATTTTTATATTTTTAGTGGAGACGGGGTTTCACCATATTGGCCGGGCTGGTCTGGAACTCCTGACCTCGTTATCTGCCTGCCTCAGCCTCCCAAAGCGCTGGGATTACAGGCGTGAGCCACCGCACCTCGCCCAACTTTTCTTCTTATAAGGACCCCAGTTAATGAATTCTTTCAAACTTAATCACCTCTTTAAAACCCTGTATTCAAATACGGGCACTTTCTAAGAGTGCTGAGGGTTACGACTTCAACATATGAATTTTAGGGGAACAGAATTCAGCCCACATCACCGATGGTCAACCTCATGTTGTATATATAGCCCCAAGTGGTTCTGCTGGTGGGATCCAGTGCTGACTAACACAACAGCACCTTTTTTGTGTCTTTTTGTTTTTACCCATCAGGCGTAGCTTCTTCCAGGCGTGCAACTTGAACAAGATCCACGGATTAATTTTCCTCTAATCGTGTAACTGATAACAGGAAAGACAGAAGAAGCCAAACACCCGCAGGAATTGAGATCCTAGGACTCCAGCATTGCGATGGACTCCGTCTCTGCCAGCTGTACATTGGCGGCCCCGGGGCACCTGTTGGCCTAACAGGTGTCACCTGTAGGGCTGCACTTTGCAAACATCCACAGAAGGCCCTGCACTGCTTTCCAGGAAACTGGTGGCTCCCAGTGGTCCCAGTGCCCTGTCTTACCGTGGGGAGGTTGTGCTATGCCCCTCTGGATAGCTGAGCTCTGTGTGCCTGGGTAACCAGGCCTGGCAAGCAGGCCAGGGGTGTGTTTGGCAAAGGTGGGCACTGTCCCCTGACTCTAGCTGTAGCCCCTCAACCCATCTTTGTACCACAAGCCCTGAGGTGCTGAGCTCTTCAAGGAAGTGTGTCAACTTTAACGCTCTCTCCACGAAGAGAGTCTCACTTACTGTCCCACTTCTGCCACCTTATATTCCGCTCTTGGCTGTCCTGCCAGAAGCCTGGGGCCCTCAATGACAATGACAGAAGGCTGGGGCCCTCTATGACAATGACAGAAGGCTGAGGCCTTGTGTATTATTAGTTTCCAGGCACTACCACGAAAAATGCATAGACTGGGCGGCTTCAGCAACAGAGATTTATTTTCTATCAATTCTGGAGGCTAAAGTTCAAGATCAAGGTGTTGGCGGGGTCAATTCCTTCTGAGGCCACTTTCCTTGGCTTGTAGACACTGTCTTCTCCCTGTGTCATCACAGGGGTGTCCCTCTGTGCGTGTCTGTGTCCTAATCTTTTCTTCTTATAAGGACCCAAGTCCTGTTGGATTATGGTGCACTCCAATGAATTCATTCAAACTTAATCAGTTCTTCAAAGCCCCATCTTCAAATACAGGCACTTTCTGGGACACTGGAAGTGAGAACTTCACATATGAATTTTAGGGGAACAGAATTCAGCCCACACCACCTACTAGTGCAGACAGACAGTAAGCCACAAACAAATGACTGAACACAATAAGTTCAGATCAAGGTGAATGTTTCAAAGACAGAGGGAGTCAGCCGGGTGAAGATTCTGGGTGTGGCCAAGAAACAGCAAGGTACCAGGGCCCTGGGTGATTCCACAGGGGGCTCATGGTTCAGAGTCTAGTCCTTTTTTTTTTTTTTTTCTCTCTGTTTTTGGAGACAGAGTCTCACTCTGTCACCCTGGCTGGAGTGCAGTGGTAAGATCATGGATCACTGCAGTCTCCAGCTTTCAGCTTCAAAGAATCCTTCTGTCTCAGCCTCCGGAGTAGCTGGGACCATAGATGCACACCAGCAAACCCAGCTAACTTCTAAATTTTTTGTAGAGATGGGGTCTCAGAATGTTTCCCAGGCTGGTCTCAAAGTTCTGGGCTCAAGCGATCCTCCTGCCTTGACCTCCCAAAGTGCTGGGATTATAGGCGTGAGCCACCGTACCTGGCCCAGAGTTTAGATTTTATTGTAAGACATATGGGAAAAATTCAGAGGGCTCTCAGGGAGAGAATCATATCTGATTTGTACTTTTAAAAGGTTATTCTGAATGGATGATATAGAGTTTCAGTTTTGCAAGATGAAAAATTCTAGAGATGGATGGAGATGAGGGTTCATAGCAGTGTGAATATGCTTACCACTATTGAACTGTACACTCAAAATGGTTAAGATGGTAAATTTTATGTCTGTATATTTCACCATAATTTAAAAAATCTAAACATGAAGTATACCCATACATGTATTTGATACTTTTTTTTTCTTTTTTGAGAGAGGGTCTCGCTCTGTTACCCAGGCAGTGGCACAATCATGGCTCATTAAAGCCTTAACCTCTTCAGGCTCAAACCATCCTCCCACCTCAGCCTCCCGAGTAGCAGGACTACAGGTCCACCACCACGCCTGGCTAATTTTGTTCTTTTTGTTTTTTATTTTTTGTAGAGACAGGATCTTGCTATGTTGCCCAGGCTGGCCTTGAATTCCTAGACTCAAGCGATCTTCCCACCTGGGCCTCCCAAACTGCTGGGATTACAGGCATGAGCCACTGCACCCAGCTATGTTTGTTTTTTTTCCTCTGATTTTGGGGTGAAGAGAATACATGAGACAAAGAATGACTTAAAAACAGTTCATCTGGCCGGGTGTGGTGGCTCACACCTCTAATCCCAGCACTTTGGGAGGCTGAGGCGGGTGGATCACGAGGTCAGGAGATCGAGACCATCCTGACTAACATGGTGAAACCCCATCTCTACTAAAAATACAAAAAAATTAACCGGGCGTGGTGGCGGGCGCCTGTAGTCCCAGCTACTCGGGAGGCTGAGGCAGGAGAATGGCGTGAACCTGGGAGGCAGAGCTTGCAGTGAGCTGAGATCACGCCACTGCACTCCAGCCTGGATGACAGAGCAAGACTCCGTCTCCAAAAAAAAAACAAACAAACAAACAAAAAAAAACAGTTCATTTGATATATGCAGAAAATGATGAATTCTCCATCCATGATAGGGAATAATAGGAGGATTTTCATTATCCTGCAAAAGATCAAAATATCAACTATTCCAATTATTAAAATAAATGCAGGGCCTAAGCTCATTTTAAGATGCATGTCTAATTTAGATATTTTAGTTAGATAAGTGACATGTGATCCACTGGTACCTTTTTGTTTGTTTGTTTTTGTTTTGTTTTGTTTTTTTGAGCCAGAGTCTCGCTCTGAAACCCAGGTTGGAGTGCAGTGGCGTGATCTCAGCTCACTGCAATCTCTACCTCCCAGGCTCAAGCCATTCCCCTGCCTCAGCCTTCCAAGTAGCTGGGATTACAGGCTCCCGCCACCACACCCAGCTAATTTTTGTATTTTTAGTAGAGACGGGGTTTTGTCACGTTGGCCAGGCTGGCCTCGAACTCCTGATCTCAAGTGATCCACCCGCCTCGGCCTCCCAAAGTGCTGGGATTACAGGCGTGAGCCACGGCACCTGGCCTTAATGTTTTTAATTTTTAAAGAAGAATGTTATTTTGATGTTACCATAAGGAGAAGCTGAATGAAAAGGATACAGGAGCCATATCTGCAACTTTTCTACAAATCTGTAGTATTTGCAACTGTTCTACAAATCTACAATTATTCCAAAATAGAAAGTAGATTTTTAAAAAATGATGCTGCATATGCCCACTAGAAAGACTAAAATGAAAAGGACAGACTACACCAAAAAAGGATGTGGCACTAGAAATCTCACTTTATTCTTTCCAGGTCTCTAAAGAAGCACTAAAATTACATGCGCATTAATGCATGCAGATACTATTGCTAGATGTTAGGCACATACTCAGACGCAGAAAAGGCAATTTCTGTTTTGAAATGTCAGTGGTTCTAAGTCACTGCTTTGCCTACACTCAGACTTTATATAGCAGCAAATGACTGAAAGTCCTAAACTGTGAGCACAGCGCTAGAAATCTCACTCCAACTCCGTGAGAATGTTGATTGGTGCAGCCACTTTGGAAGGGCGTTTGGGGGTATTGACTGACGTCACTCTTGCTACGTGCTACATGCATGTAACATGTTACACCACTTACTACATGCAACATGCTACGAGTAAGTCCAACCCTGAGTGTACGCCCAGCAAAAATGAGTGTGATGTTCATGAAAAGACCCTGCATGTGGATGTTCATAACAGCATTATTCTTTTTAAAAAAGAACTGGTATGTACATATATATATATAAAATTCACAAATAAACATGGTATATTTTATCAGGTACATGTTTTGAAATATGTGTATACATTGTGGAATGGCTAAATTCAGCAAATTAACATATGCATTATTTCACATACTTTTTTTTTTTTTGGGGGGGACAGAGTCTCACTCTATCGCCCAGGCTCGAGTGCAGTGGCGCGATCTCGGCTCACTGCAACCTCTGCCACCCAGGTTCAAGCGATTCTCCTGCCTCAGCCTCCCAAGTAGCCGGGATTACAGGTGTCCGCCACCACGCCCAGCTAATTTTTGTATTTTTAGTAGAGACAGGGTTTCACCACATTAGCAAGGCTGGTCTCAAATGCCTGACCCCAGGTGATCCACCCACCTCGGCCTCCCAAAGTGCTGGGATTACAGGCGTGAGCCACTATGCCCGGCCCCTTTGCCCATTAAAAAAAAAAATTGAGTTCTTTGTTTCCTTCTTATTGAGTTATTTGAGTTCCTTATAGCAGAATTATTCTTAATAGCCTGTTATAGACTGAATTGTGTCTCCCCAAAATTTATATATTGAAGCCTGAACCCCTAATGTGACTGTGTTTGGCTTTTAAAGAGGTAATTACAGGCCGGGCGCGGTGGCTCACTCCTATAATCCCAGCACTTTGGGAGGCCAAGGTGGGTGGATCGCCTGAGGTCAGGAGTTCAAGACCAGTTTGGCCAACATGATGAAACCCCATCTCTATTTAAAATACAAAAAAATTAGCAGGGCGTGGTGGCGTGCTCCTGTAATCCCAGCTACTCAGGAGGCTGAGGCAGGGGAATTGCTTGAACCAGGGAGGTGCAGGTTGCAGTGAGCCGAGATCGTGCAATTGCACTCTAGCCTGGGCAACAGAGCAAGACTCTGTCTCAAAAAAATAAAAAAATAAATAAAAATAGATAGATAATTACAATAAAATGAGGACATAAGAGTGAAGCTCTAATCCAGTATGACTTGTCTGTATAAGAAGAGGAAGAGACACCACAGATACACACACCCAGAGAAAAAGCCATGTGAGGACATCATGAGAAGACAGGCATTTGCAAGCCAAGAGAGAGGGCTCAGGAGAAACCAAACTTGCTGGCACCTTGATCTTGGATTTCCAGACTCCAAAACTGCAGAAAAATAAATTTCAGCTGTTTAAGCCATGTAGTCTGTGGTACTTTGTTGTGGCAGCCTGAGCATATGAATACAGAGCCCAAACTGGAAATAAACCAAATCCCTGCCCAAAGTAGAATAGATTAAATACATTGCACTATGTTGCAGTGGAATACTACATAGGCATGAAAAAGAACAAATTATTGATGTGTGCAACCTTATGGATAAATTTTAAAATGTGGAGTGGAAGATGCAGACGTGCTGTAAAGTTCCATTTATATACAAACTTTAAGACTAGTTGACCGGTAGCTCACGCCTGTAATCCCAACACTTTGGGAGTACGAGGAGGGCAAATCACTTGAGGTCAGGAGTTTGAGGCCAGCCCAGCCAACATGGTGAAACCCCATCTGTACTAAAAATTCAAAAAATTATCTGGGTGTGGTGGCACACATCTGTAATCCCAGCTACTCAGGGGTCTGAGGCAGGAGAACTGCTTGAACCCGGGAGGCGGAGGTTGCTGTGAGCCAAGATCTGACACTGCACTCTAGCCTGGTCAACAGAGCAGAACTCTGTCTCAAAAAAAAAAATACTAATCTTGGTGAAAGAGGTCAGAAGAGCGGTTACCTTTTGGGGCTACTGACTGGGAAGGGCCATGGGGGACCCTCTGAAGAAACAGAATGTTCTAGATCTTGACCTGGTAGAAATGACAAGGGGCACATGCACAGAAATGCATTAATCTGTGCCCTTAGATCTAAGATCTGTCTGCTTTACTGTGAGTTTTCTCTCTCTCTTTTTCTTTTTCTTTTTTCGAGACAAGTTCTTGCTCTGTCTTTCAGGATGGAGTGCAGTGGCAGAAACCTTACTCATTGCAGCCTCGAACTCCTGGGCTCAAGCGATCCTCCTGCGTCAGCCTTCCGAGAGTAGCTGAGACTACAGGTGCATGCCACCGTGACCCCAAGCCCAACTAATTAAAAAAAAATTTTTTTTTGTAAAGATGGGGCCTTGCTCTATTGCCCCAGCTTGTCTCAAACTCCTGGCCTCAAGTGATCCTCCTATCTTGGCCTCCCAAAGTGTTGGGATTACAGGCGTGAGCCACCGCAACCTAGCCTACTGTAAGTTATATCTCGATTAAAAAGCGGAAAGAAAGGAGAAAAAGAAAAAGAAGGGAAAGAGACACTGAAGGAGGGAGAAGAAGGAAGAAGAGTCAAGCCGCCCTGAATTAACTCTGCACTTTTCGACAGATATCTTGGCCTCTGTGAGGACAAACCTTAAGTGCCTCATACCTCCATGTCAGAGGGTCCGCTCACTGACCTCTCAGGGACCGTAAAATTCTCTCTTCGAATGCAATGAGTCCCCAGTTCTCGTCCCCTGCCTCTCGTGAGACCGAGCCCCTGAAAGCACTTTGGACTTATAAAACTTGAAAGGCAATAAATTAAAATATCAAGGCAGTAGAAATGAGTATTTAAAGCACGAAGTGCACCCAAACATGAGTTTGAGGCTGAAAAATCGAGTCCGACTTTCTTGAAAACCTATGTTAAAAGCCTGGGTAGCTCCCTTTCATGAAACGGCCCTTTAAATATTGCATGCCGGCCCCATCTCCCAGGGATTCGCAGCACCGCGGTCCGCGTTTCATCTTCTGACTCCATCAAAGGCGGTACAGCTTCATCACAGATTCAGAGGGTGTGCGTTGCCAGCTTCCCAGGGGCCAGCCCAAGGAATTAGCATTTTCTGCTAGCAACAGATGAAATGTAGAATAAAATAAGGTGGACTCGATGAAGACAGGAACGAGGGCTGTGATGAACAAGTGCTGTGGCTTTGTAGGAGAGGGAGGTCCCTGGAGTGGGTGCAGCCAGGGAGGCTTCCTGGAGGAGGTGGAAGATGAGATGGATCCCATTTAACAGTAATAATGATAATAATAATAATAGCTTTGCTTGAATTCCTGCCAGAAGCATTTCTGAGATAAGGGTTCAAATGCACTTGGTTTATTGGCGGGGGGGGGGGGGGTGGGGTCGTACTGGGAACACCAAGAGTGGGGAGGGAGAGGGGGAAGAGAAGGCGTTCAACAAACGGTGCGATGGCCATGTTCTCACTTATTTGCGGGAGCTAAAAATAAAAACAATTGAACTCATGGAGATAGAGAGTGGAAAGATGGTTACCGGAGGCTGGGACAAGTAGTAGGGGTTGGGGGAGGCGGGGATGGTTAATGGGTACAAAACAATAGATAGAATGAGTAAGACCTAGTATTTGATAACACAATGGGGTGACTGTAGTCAATCATAATTTAATTGCACATTTTAAAATAATGAAAAACAGGCCAGCACAGTGGCTCACACCTGTAATCCCAGCACTTTGGGAGGCCAAGGCAGATGGATCATTTGAGGTCAGGAGTTTAAGACCAGCCTGGCCAACATGGTGAAACCTCATCTCTAATAAAAATACAAAATAAAATAAAATAAAATAATTTTAAAAAGTATAATTGGATTGTTTGTAACACAAAGGATAAATGTTTGAGGGAAGGGATACTCCATTTACACTGATGTGATTATTACACACTGCATGACTGTATCAAAACATTATTTTTTTCTTTCTTTTTTTTTTTTTTGAGATGGAGTTTCACTCTTATTGCCCAGGCTGGAGTGCAGTGGCACGATCTCTGCTCACTGCAACCTCCATCTTCTGGGTTCAAGCGATTCTCCTGCCTCAGCCTCCCTAGTAACTGGGATTACAGGAGCCCGCCACTATGCCCAGCTAATTTTTTTTTGTATTTTTAGTAGAAATGGGGTTTCACCAACGTTGGCCAGGCTGGTCTCGAATTCCCGACCTCAGGCGATCCACCCGCCTCAGCCTCCCAAAGTGCAGGGATTACAGGCGTGAGCCACCGTGTCCAGCAAAACATCTTATGTATTCCATAAATATATACACCTACTATGTACCCACAAAATATTTTTAAACAGGGTGCAATGGCAAACCAGGCTCCCCCATGGGCAACTGGAGCGTCATCTCCCTGGGGGACCCTGGCAGCTCTGCAGAAGGGGCATTTCGGAGTTACCCCACCCGGGTGGGAGGGAGCTGGGCGTTTCCGCACTGATGGGTGAGGGCTTCTAGGGGAGGGGATGGCTTTATTCCCTGCATTTCCATCCTGCCATGAACACTGTTAGGGCAAGCTCTGGCTGCCAGGAAAGCCCCAGGCCTGAGAGATGCGATGGTTCCAGGGAGAAGGCTGGATGGCAGCCTTGCAGCCACGCTGCCACGGGTCAGGTGTCCGTCACAAGTCAGCTGCTGGGCTAAGCTGTCTGCCCGCACTTCTCTTTTCTCATCTGACTGCACTCCACATGGAGGCATTACATGAGGAAGCTGAGTTGCACAGAGGGTGAGGAACTTGCCTGATTGGCACGTTGGGAGGAAACCAAGTCTACGTCAGCTGGGTCACTGGACATATGAGTGGGTGTGAACGTCTTCTCCCCTCTATCCTCCCTCCAACCTCCGGAGCTGCTCCTCCTTATCCCACCCTCTGCTCCAGACCTGAAACATCCTTGGCAGATTTTGAGTTCCGATGGGGAGCAGGGATGAAGGTGGTCTATATCCAACAGGACAAACACACTCCTGAGACTTGAAAGAAGGATGGAAACAGCCCAAGTGTATGATGGATGAGTGGATAAACACAACGCGGTCTAGTTATCCGATGGGACCTTATTCAGCCTTAACAAGGAACCAAGCCCTACACGTGCCACCGCGTGGGTCAACTTTGAAAACATTGTGCTAAGTGACAGAAGCCAGACAAAAAGCCAAACGCTGTATGAAATCTCTAGAATAGACAAATCCATAGAGACAGAAAGCAGATGAGCTGGGGCTGGCGGAAGGGATGGGAAACGGGGAGTGACTGCTTAACCAGTAGAGTTTCCGTTTGGGATGATAAAAAAGCTTTGGAGGCTGGGCACGGTGGTTCATGCCTGTAATCCTAGCACTTTGGGAGGCCAAGGTGGGTGGATCACCTGAGGTCAGGTGTTCGGGACCAGCCTGACCAACATGGTGAAACCCCGTCTCTACTAAACACAAAAAATTAGCTTGGTGTGGTGGTGCATGCATTAATCCCAGCTACTTGGGAGGCTGAGACAGGAGAATCTCTTGAACCTGGGAGGCAGAGGTTGCAGTGAGCTGAGGGTGCGCCACTGCACTCCAGCCTGGGCAATAAGAGCAAGACTCAGTCTCAAAAAAAAAAAAAAATGATTTAGAAACCTACCGTTTTTGTGCTGGGATTACAGGTTTGAGTCATAGTGGTGATGCATGCATGCACGACATGGTGAATGAATTTCATGCTACTGAATTGTACACTTAAAATGGTTAAAATGGGCTGGGCTGGGTGCGGTGGCTCACGCCTGTAATCCCAGCACTTTGGGAAGTCGAGGCGGGCGGATCACGAGGTCAGGAGATCGAGACCGTTGGTGAAACCCCATCTCTACTAAAAATACAAAAAATTATCCAGGCGTGGTGGCGGGCACCTGTAGTCCCAGCTACTTGGGAGGCTGAGGCAGGAGAATGGCGTGAACCCGGGAGGCGGAGCTTGTAGTGAGCCGAGATTGCACCACTGCGCTCCAGCCTAGGCGACAGAGCGAGACTCCATCTCAAAAAAAAAAAAAAAAAAAAAAAGTTAAAATGGCAAATTTTATGTTATGTATATTTTACCATGTTTTTCATTTTATTTTATTTTTTGAGACAGAGTCTTACTCTGTCACCCAGGCTGGAGTGCAGTGGCACGATCTTGGCTCACTGCAAACTCCACCTTCTGGGTTCAAGTGACTCTCGTGCCTTAGCCACCTGAGTAGCTGAGATTATGGGTGTGTGCCATCACGCCCAGCTAATTTTTATATTTTTAGCAAAGGCAGGGTTTCGTCATGTTAGCCAGGCTGGTCTTGAACTCCTCACCTCAAGTGATCCACCCGACTCGACCTCCCAAAGTGCTGGGATTACAGGCGTGAGTCACCGCGCCCGGCCTTACCGTGTTTTTAAAATTTTAATAATGTAATATGCCCCAAACCATTGAATTCTACACTTTAAGTGGGTGCATTGTAGGATATGTATATTACATCTCAATAAAGCTGTTTTTATTTTAATTAATTTACTTTTTATTTTTTGAGACAGGGTCTTACTCTGTCATCCAGACTGGAGTGCAGTGGTGCAGTCACAGCTCACTGCAACCTTGACCTCCCCGGGCTCAAGGGATCCTCTCACCTCAGCCTTCTGAGCAGCTGCAGTCACAGGTGTGCACCACCATGCTTCACTGACTTTTGTATTTTTGGTAGAGACAGGGTCTTGCTATGTTTCCCAGGCTGGTCTTGAACTCCTGGCCTCCAGCGATCCTCTCACCTCAACCTCCCAAAGTGCTGGGATTACAGATTTGAATCACTGCACCCAATCAAAGTTGTTTTTAAAAAAGCCAAGGCCAGGTGCAGTGCCTCATGCCTGTAATCCTAGCACTTTGGGAGGCCCAGGCAGGTGGATTGCCTGAGCTCAGGAGTTCGAGACCAGCCTGGGTAACACAGCGAAACCCTATCTCTGCTAAAATTAAAAAAAAAAAAAAATTAGCCGGGTGTGGCAGCATACGCCTGTAATCCCAGCTACTCGGGAGGCTGAGGCAGGAGAATTGCTTGAACCCAGGAGGCAGAGGTTGCAGTGAGCTGAGATCATGCCACAGCACTCCAGCCCGGGCGACGAAGTGAGACTCCGTCTCAAAAAGAAAAAAAAAAAAAGCCGAAAAGGCCAGTGGCAGGTGCTGGTACAGCAGATGGGCCTTCCCTTTGGCCTCTTCTGGTTCTCTCTACTGTTTGTGAAGGGGAGAAATGGATCCTGTGAGGTGACGAGGATCCCGTTGGCGATCACCGCACCCAGCATGACGCCGAGTGGTCAGGGAAACTCCCAGACTTACAGAGAATCCCCTGAGAGGCAGTGCTATGGGTGAGGTGGAGGCCGCCCTAGCAGGCCACATCCCTGGAGGTCACTGAAGAGTCCCAGAAAACCATGCTGGAAGCCCCCATCCAGGAAAAATTCAGTAACTCAAAGGTCTCAACATGCCAGAGGCTTTAGGAGCCAGGAACCCAAGAGGGGACATCTGAGTCATGCAGTGCCGCACTGTCGTCAGCCAGAGATGCTTTAAAGACAAAAAAAAATTTTTTTTCAATGAAAATAGCTTTTCTCTGCTTTCTGATGATGTAAAAATACATGCTCATTGTAAAAGTAATTGCAACAACATAGAAAATTATAAAGAAGAAAAGACACCTAAATGTCACCACTAACATTTTGGGACCATCTTTTCAAGCGTCTATTTAAGCATTTACACACACATGCATATACACACAGGTTCATAAATAGGATCCCATTATACAAGCACATTATATTATGGAAATTTTTTTTGTTTGTCTTGCCTCTGCCTCCTTCCCCCATTCCTTCTCTTCCTTCCTTCCCCTCCTCTCTCCCCACTCTCCCTCCCTCTTTCTCTCTCTCTTTCTTTCCTTTCCCCATCACTCCCTTCTGGCCAATGTCAGCCTGGGATATGACTCTGTCCATTTTCTCTGTACTCCTGTTATGTTAAACAAACATGCCACGACATATCTACATAATCATGAAGGGAGGAATGAGGGCTGTGGCCAAGAGGTGCCATGACCTTGTAGGAGAGGGTGATCCCAGGGATGGGTGCAGCCAGGGAGGCTTCCTGGAGGAGGTGGAAGATGTACGTATCCATTGCTACATAACTCACCACCCCAAGGGTAGTGGCATGAATCACAATCATTTTAGTAGGTTCATGGCTTCTGTGGGTCTGGAATTCAGGAAAGGCACAGTCTTTGTTCCACGTGTCTGGAATCTCAGCTGGGAAGACTGGGATCATCTGGGGGCTGTTCCACTCCCAGTTCTACTGTCTAGGTGCCTGGAAGCCTGGCCTCTGCTGGAACTGTGGCCTGGAATGCATAAGCATGGCCTCTCCATGTGGCTTGGGCATCCTCAGAGCATGGCGGGTAACTTGCTCAAGACAAGGTCCCAGGAGGAGCCCTCCAGAGAGGAAGAGTTTCGAGAGTCTCGCAGTCATGCAGGACCGTTTTCTTTGCATTCTATTGGTTAAAGGTGAATCATACGGCAAGATTCAAGGGCAAGGAATTAGACCCCAGCCCTGAGGGGAGAGTGTCAAGGTCACACTGCAGAAGAGCTTGTGGGGCGGGAGATATTGTTGCAACCATCTTTGGGACATAGGTTCTGCCTCACCGTAACTATATATATGGCTATATACAAAATTTCTTTTTCTTTCTTTCTTTCTTTTTCTCTTTCTTTCTTTCTCTCTTTTCTTTCTTCTCTCTTTCTCCTTTCTTTCCTTCTTTTTCTTCCCTTTGTTTTCTTTTTCCTTCCTTCCTCCCTCCCTCCCTCCTTTTTCTTTTTCTTTCTTTCCCTTTCTTTCTTTCTCTTTCTTTCTTTCTTTCTTTCTTTCTTTCTTTCTTTCTTTCTTTCTCTCTCTCTTTCTTTCCCTTTTTTCTTTTTTTTTTTTGAGACAGGGTCTCATTCTGTCACCCAGGCTGGAGTGCAGTGGCACGATCATGGCTCACTGCACCTTGACCTCCGAGGCTCAGGCTGTCGTCCCACCTCAGCCTCCCAAGTAGCTGGCACAATTTCTAAATACAAGATCTTGCTTATACTCCTCTGATTCCACCTTTTTTCACTTAATGCTAAGTCACAGAAAGTAAGTCAGTCATCTGGAAAAGCTCAACCCACTGCTTCTCACAGCGCACTGTGGTCCACAGTGGTGGTGTAGCCCCACCTACATTCAGCCGCTCCTGCTCTCTACAGTTTTGGCAGCATCCTCTGTAGAGCTCCAGCCTCCTGACATTGCACAGTCCAGCCTTTCTGTATAGGAAAAACTCATTCTGCAACAAGGAGGTGATGATGGAGGAGCCTAAGAGAGGCCTGCTGACCCTATCCCAAAAAATCACTAGGGAGGGTTAGACAGAGGCATCTGGGCAGAGAGTGAATTGAAGTAACTGTGTCTCTTCTAGCTGGGTTCACGCATGTTATGACTACGTATCTTTTATTTACTCCCGAACACAAAGCGTGGAATTCCCTGTCCTCTGATCCACTAAGCCAAGGGTACATTTTGTTGTTTGGACATCAGGCCAAAGCTGAGGAAGCTCAGAGCACTGGTGGCAGTTGTACCTGATTATAGCCCAGCGACAGGAGGACAGGAGGAAACTGTCAGTTTTGCTTAATGGTGGCTGAGGAAACTAACTGTTAGCTCTGCCTAACTGGTGGCAGTTTTGCCTAATGGTAGATCAGTGACAGAAGGCTGTTGGTTAGTGAAACTGACAGCCTCATTTGCTCCAGATGTTGAATCTGTTCAGCGATGGCAGACAACACAGCTGTTCAAAAGACATGCCCAGAAAGAGCTGGATTTTTTTCCCCTTCCAAGGAAGAAGCAAGGAAGGGAAAGTTAAAAACCTGACCCACTGAAAGGGGAAACTTGGGCCAGGCATGGTGGCTCATGCCTGTAATCCCAGCACCTTGGGAGGCTGAGGCTAGAAGATCACTTGAGGCCAGAAGTTCAAGACCAGCCTGAGCAACATGGTGAAACCCAGTTTCTACCAAAAAAAAAAAAAAAAAAAAAAATTAACCGGGAGTGGTGGCACATGCCTGTAGTCCCAGCTACTCAGGAGGCTGAGGTGGGAGAATTGCTTGACCCCAGGAAGTGGAGGTTGCAATGAGTCAAGATCGTGTCACTGCACTCCAATCTGGGTGACAGGGCAAGACCCTGTCTCAAAAACCAAACAAACAAACAAAAACAACAGAAAGAAAGAAAGAGAGAAAAAAGAAAGATGAACCTTGGTTTTGGTCTCTCATCTGAATCTAGGTTGCTGCTGATATTTGAAAAATATCAGTGACAGCAGGAAAAAGATGTACAATAAAGAGGCCAGACGCGGTTGCTCACGCCTGTAATCCCAGCACTTTGGGAGGCCGAGGTGGGCAGATCACTTGATGTCAGGAGTTTGAGACCAGCCTGGCCAACATGGTGAAACCCCATCTCTACTAAAAATACAAAAATTAGCCAGGTGTGGTGGTGGGCACCTGTAGTCCCAGCTACTCGGGAGGCTGAGGCAAGAGAATCGCTTGAACCCGGGAGGCGGAGGTTGCAGTGAGTCGAGATCACACCACTGCACCATAGCGTGGGCAATAGAGCAAGACTCCGTCTCAAAAAAAAAAAAAAAAAAAAAAAGATGTACAGTAAAGCTAATGAAATGCCAGAGTCAGCCCCTTCCCTTGCAAGTACCCATTCCAAGATCCTGCTGCTAACTGGTAATGCTACTGTTGTATTCTTTTTTTAAGGGGAGTCTGCCAAATCACCTGTTTCATATCCCACAAAACCTGAACCCACCCATCACTGTCCCGTATGTACTCAAGGCACAATGCCAAGGGCGATATAACTTTGAAACTTCTAGCAATTTCCAAAGGACATGTCTTTGAGAAATCCACAGCTGCATTTACAGCGGGTGAGCTTTTGTTTGCTTGTTTTTGTCAGGGGTGCAAAGGTTAGGGAAGGAGAAAGGAGCTGGGAAATAGGAAAATGTATTTGCATGCTATCAGATTTTTTAAAATAAATACTTATCATACTGCATTGATATCCCCAATCCAAATGCAAATGACGGCAGAGATCCATGCCTTGGAATTCAGCCCTCTTTAAAAAAGGCAATCATACGATTTTATTTTCAGCCCTGCCTTTTATCGTCCAGCCCTTAGGCAAAGAAGTTGAAAGAGAGCCAAGCTTGCGAAGACAAGCAGGCTGCCAATTCATCGGTTCTCATTGGAGATAGGTGAAGTTTCTGACCAAGAAAATCACAGCCTTGGGCACCCACAGTACACTGAAAATTTGACAGGTTCAAGTCTCCACATGGTCGGATCAACAAATTAGTCTTCCTGATTGTGAGACACAGACTTGATGGACTTAGCTGAGGTTAGCAGGAAAAGAAGTTACTTGGTGAGGCCCCTGCTGCTTTTGGACTCAAGAAATCCAGAGGGCTGGCCTTCACGTCAACATTTTATATGGATTTACTCTTACAGTGGCTATGGCTCCTACCAGTGCCCAGATGGTCTCTGCTGACCCTACTTGTTTCAATCACAAGCTACCAATTTGAAGATTGGATTGGAGCATCTGATTGGTCAAGACTAGGTCATGTGACTATAGGCTAGTTGCAAAGGAAGATGGGAAAATGACTGTCAGGCACTTTTTATTAAATGTGGAAGGCAGACTTGGAGGATCTGATTGGTCAAGACTAGACCGCATGACTGCAGGCTAGTTGCAAGGGAAGCTGGGAAAGTGATTATCGGGTCCTTCTTATTAAAAATGTAGAAAGCAGGCTTCAAAAGCATTAAGGTTAGCCAAAAGTTATGAATGGACCCTTCGCAAAAGCAAATGCATGAATGGCTGATAGGCACATGAAAAGATGGTCAACATCATTAATTATGAAGGAATTGCAAATTAAAACCACAATGAGATACTACTATGTGCTTATTCTAATGGCTAAAACTTAAAAGACTGATAACATCAAATGTTGGCAAGGATCTGGAGCAACCAGATTTTTCATGTGTTGTCAGTCAGAGCATAAGATGGTACTACCACTTTGGAAAACAGTTTGGAAGTCTCTTGTAAAGTTAGGTGTACACTTACCACCCAACTCATTGATTGCATTCCTAGATATTTACCCAATGAAATGAAAATGTATGCCCACACAAAGACTTGTACATGAATGTTCATAGAAGCTTTAATCATAATAGTCCAAGCCAGAAACAATTCAAATGTCCATCAACAAGTGAATGAATGAACAAATTATAATAGATCCATAAAATGAAACACCACTCAGTCTTAAAAAGAAATGCAATAATACAGCTGAATTTTAAAATTCAAAAACCTTATGGTGAAAGAAAGAAGCCAGTGCCATAGGAGTACCTACAGTATGATTCCATTTTCATAAAACTCTAGGAAAGAGAAATCTACTCTATTTTGATAGAAAGCAAATCAATGGTTGTCAGCAGCCTGGAGAGAGGAGTGTGTTTTGACTGGGAAGGAAGAAAATAATGGGACATTTTGCAGTGATGAAAGTGTTCTGTATCTTGACTGTATACACAGTCAAAACTCATCAAACAAAATCGTGTGCATTTTATTGCATATAAATTATACCTTAATAAAATTTAAAAGAAGCATTAGGAGAACATGGGGCTTGCTTCCAGATAACTTATGTTGCCTAGGGAAGTCAAGAGGACCATATATTACTGAACCCCTACAATGGAATTTCTTTTTTTTTTTTTTTCTGAGACAGAGTTTTACTCCAGGCTGGAGTGCAGTGGTGCGATCTCACCTCACTGCAACCTCTGCCTCCCAGGTTCAAGTGAGTCTCTCAGCCTCCTGAGTAGCTGGGATTACAGGCATGGGCCACCACACCTGGCTAATTTTTGTATTTTTAGTAGACATGGGATTTCACCATGTTGGCCAGGCTAGTCCTGGCCTCAAGTGATCCACCCATCTCAGCCTCCCAAAGTGCTGGTATTATATGTGTGAGCCACCACACCCAGCCCTTACAATGGATCTTATACATTACAGGTGTGATCTCATATAATTTCATCCTTCATATAGTCCCTAAGAGATATTTTATCTATTTTTTTTCCCAACGAGGAAATTCAGACTCAGAAAAGTTAAGTCACTTACCCATAACGAATAAAAGACTGAGTTAAGGACTTCATTTATTTGGTCAACCAACGTTGACTATTAACATTGATTTCAACATGTACAAGGCTGTCTGCTAGAGTTCTGAGGTCCTGCCTCCAGGAACTCCCAAGGTGGTGGGTAAGAGGGACCTGTAGCAGACAGCAGCAATCCAATGGGAGGAGGATGTGTGAGTATGAAAACAGGGATGGATGGACTCCTTCAGCCTTGTAAGGTGAAGTGAGAGGGATTTATGCATTTGGAAAGATGACAATGTTGGCTTAGGAGTGCGGGTCGGGGGTGGTGTTTCCAGCTGTGGGAATATCACAGACAGATGTAGGAACAAATTGCACAGGCTTGGGGCCCATCGCGGTGGCTCACACCTGTAATCCCAGCACTTGGGGAGGCTGAGGCAGGCAGA
Organism: Homo sapiens; assembly: GCF_000001405.40. NCBI lineage: Eukaryota > Metazoa > Chordata > Mammalia > Primates > Hominidae > Homo > Homo sapiens. The sequence continues at coordinate 98,695,331 of NC_000007.14, read as the reverse complement.
TCACCTGAGGTCAGGAGTTCATGACCAGCCTAGCCAACATGGTGAAACCCCATCTCTACTAAAAATACAAAAATTAGCCAGGCATGGTGGCGTGTGCCTGTAATCCCAGCTACTCAGGAGGCTGAGGCAGGAGAATCGCTTGAACCAGGGAGGTGGAGGTTGCAGCGAGCTGAGATCGCACCACTGCACTCTAGCCTGGGTGACAGAGGGAGACTCTATCTCAAAAATATATATATATATATATAAATAATAAAAAAATGCACAGGCTTGGAATTGTTATGGCAGGAAACAGTGAATCATGGCAGGTGTTTGAGCAACACAACACTGTGATCAAGGTGCAGATAAAGACAGATCTTCCCCTCAGTGGCATTCACCTGGAAAGCTCCTTCTCATCTATCCTGGCCCAGCTTCATTGCCACCTTTTCAGAAAAGCCATTAAAAAAAATACAGCCCAGGCCCACATATTGAGTATTATCCTAAGAGTTGATAAGCAAAGACGTCCATCACAGTCAAAAATAGTCACAGCATTAAGGACTTCTTCTATTTATTTGGCCAATCAACATTGACTATTAACATTGATTTCACTTATTGCATGCCAAGCACTGTATATGCATTATCTGACTTAATCCTCCTAATGACCCATTTGGGTTCCTTTATGGTCCCCCTCTTATGGTTGCAGTAGCTACGGCACACAGGGGTTAAGTCGTATTTCACAAGGCTGGCAAATAGCAGGGCTATGCTTTGAAAACTGACCTGTCTGTTTCTTCCTCTTCTTCTCTTCTCTTTTTTTTTTTTTTTTTTTGAGACAGAGTCTCATTCTGTCGCCCAGGTTGGAATGCAGTGGCATGATCTCGGCTCATTGTAACCTCTGTCTCCCAGGTTCAAGCAATTCTCCTGCCTCAGCCTCCTGAGCAGCTGGGATGACAAGCACCCGCCACCACACCCAGCTAATTTTTGTATTTTCAGTAGAGACAGGGTTTCACCATGTTGGCCAGGCTGGTCTTGAACTCCTGACCTCAGTTATCTGCCCACCTCGGCCTCCCAAAGTGCTGGGATTGCAGGTGTGAGCCACCTCGCCTGGCCTGACCTGTCTGCTTCTTTACACTTCACTGTGCAACTTTTGATTATGAATGCAGATTTCTCCTATTGCAGTGGTTGCCAAACTTTTTGGCACTGGGGACCAGTTTCATGGAAGACAATTTTTTCAGGATGGAGTGGTTGGGGCAGGGATAGTGTCAGGAAGATTCAAGTGCATTGCATTTATTGCGCCCTTTATTTCTATTATTATTACATTGTGATATCTAATAAAATAATTATGCAACTCATCATAATGTAGAATCAGTGGAAGTCCTGAGCTTGTTTCCCTGCAACTATGTGTTCCCATCTAGGGGTGATGGGAGACAGTGACAGATCATCAGGCATTAGATTCTCATGAGGAGTGTGCAACCTACATCCCTCAAGTGTGCAGTTCACAATAGGGTTTGTGCTCCTATGAGAATCTAATGCCTCAGCTGATCTGACAGGAGGTGGAGCTAGGGTGGTAGTGTGAGCAATGGGGAGCAGCTGTAAATACAGATGAAGCTTTGCTGGCTCACCTGCCACTCATCTGCTATGTGGCACAATTTCTGGGGGTTGGAGACCCCTGTCCTCTTGGTCCTACAGGGCTCACCTCTCAGGACCCACAGGCTTACTGCAGAAGTTGGTCTGACCCCTTGTTGATGCCCCTGCCTGGTCTTGTCAGTCTCAGAGAGACACAGCCAGGAGCTGTGTGGTTACCCTGTACCCACGGTGCACCCAGGGAACACTCTGTGACTTCTCCAATTGCTCCTATAGATAACATCACTATCATAGAATCTAATATTAGTCTTTTGAGGTTTTTTCAGACTGATGCCACCTGGACCCATGACTTATGACTCAGCTGGTCCTGTGGCCCCATCCAGAGGCAGACTCAGTGCATGAGGACCATTTTCCAGACCCCTGTGATTTCATCCCTAACCAATCAGCAGCACCCATTCTCTAGCCCCCTGCTCACCAAATTACCCATAAAACTAGCTTCAGGCTGGGCATGGTGGCTCATGCCTGTAATCCCAGCATTTTGGGAGGCCGAGGAGGGCGGATCACAAGGTCAGAAGTTTGAGACCAGCCTGGCCAACATGGTGAAACCCCGTTTCTACTAAAAATACAAAAATTAGCCAGGGGTGGTGGGTGGCTGTAATCCCAGCTACTCAGGAGGCTGAGGCAGGAGAATTGCTTGAACCCAGGAGGCAGAGGTTGCAGTGAGCCAAGATCATGCCATTGCACTCCAGCCTGGGTGAAAGGGTGAGACTCCATCTCAAAAAAATAAATTAAAAAAAAATTAGCCAGGCGTGGTGGTTGGGCGCCTGTAATCCCAGCTACTTGGGAAGCTGAGGCAGGAGAATCACTTGAACCCAGGAGGTGGAGGTCGCAGTGAGCCAAGATCATGCCACTGCACTCCAGCCTGGGTGTCAGAGTGAGATCCTATCTCAAAAAAACAGAAACAAAAACAAAAACAAAACTGTATCCTCTGAGCTCTTGGTGAGACTGAATTAGGTGATAATCCAGTTCTTCTGCATGCCCAGCCTTGCATCAATTAAACTCTTTCTCCACTGCAATGTTGTGGTCTTGATGAATTGATTTTGTTTGTGCAGCGGGCAGGAAGAATCCATCAGGCAATTACAGAGAGACAAGAGAACAACAGAGAAACTGAGTCAGAGGCTGCTCAGACAGCTCTGCTACAGGACTACAGTTTCTTAAAATAGCGAATATTCCTTCTGCTTAGTTTGTATTGGGTTTTTCACCATTTGCAAAATATACCTGCAAGAGATTTACCAAAGAATGACCTGAAACCCCTTTCTCTCTCTCTCTCTTTCTCTCTCTCTCTTTCTTTTTTTTTTTTTTTTTTGAGACAGAGTCCCGCTCTGTCACCCAGGCTGGAGTGCAGTGGCACAATCTCAACTCATTACAACCTCTGCCTCCCAGGTTCAAGCAATTCTCCTGCCTCAGCATCCCGAGTAGCTGGGATTACAGGCACCCATCACCACGCCCGGCTAATTTTTTTTTTTTTTTTTTGTATTTTTAGTAGAGATGGGGTTTCACCATGTTGGCCAGCTGGTCTCTAACTCCTGACCTTAAGTGACCCGCCCACCTCGGCTTCCCAAACTGCTGGGATTACAGGCGTGAGCCACTGTGCCCGGCCTAAAACCCTTTTCTCTTCCCGCTCTTTCTTCCTAATGAATTCAGCTTCGTTGTTCACCCATTTGCATTTCTCTCTTAGACACACAACTGATCAAATCACTTCTAGAATGAAAACCCTGTGCTTATCTTGTTGAAGCAACTGCTTTAATTTCAGCCTTTACAATCACAGTTATTCTTACCCCAGAGTCTGGCACCATCTTCCATGAATGTGTCAGCATTGAGCTCCCTGAAATAAAGTACTGGAGCACAGTTGTCGAGTTGGGCTAATTAAAGATGCGTATCACTGGTGGAATTGTCTCTTTGGAACCAAAAAATTAATTACATCTCTTTGGCCTGGTGACCAGATGTGGAAAACAAACCAACAGATACACACAATTGTTTGCTATCTACAGTTCTCCCAATACATTATCTCCAGTTCTCATTTGCTTTTTCAGATTCTGGGGGTACCGGAGAATGAATGTCTGATGGGATCTGAAGAAACCAACTTCTAGACGAGTGCGGTGGCTCACACCGTAATCGCAGCACTTTGGGAGGCTGAGCCTCCAAAGTGGGTGGATTGCTTGAGCCAAAGAGTCTGAGACCAGCCTGGGCAACATGGTGAAGCCCTGTCTCTACAAAAAAAAAAAAAAAAAAAAAAAAAAATTAGCGGGGTGTGGTGGTGAATGCCTGTAGTCCCAGCTACTCAGGAGGCTGAGGTGGGAGGATTGCTTGAACCCAGGAGGTTGAGGCTGCAGTGAGCTGTGATTGTGCCACTGCACTCCAGCCTGGGTGATAGAGTGAGACCCTGTCAAGAAAGGAAAGAAAGAAAAAGAAAAAGAAAGAGAAAGAAAGAAGAAAGAAAGAAAGAAAGAAAGAAAGAAAGAAAGAAAGAAAGAAAGGAAAGAAAGAAAGAAAGAAAGAAAAGAAAAGAAAGAAGGAAGGAAGGAAAAAGAAAGAAAAGAAAGGAAGGAAGGAAGGAGGGAGGGAGGGAAGGAAGGAAGGAAGGAAGGAAGGAAGGAAGGAAGGAAGGAGACAACTTCAGATAGTCAATGGCACCTGGAAATGCTCCCCAGGCAGGAGACTGGGAAGGAGAAGCAAGAAACTAACCAGAGTACCAGAGTGAAGGCTTAAAGGGCCATGTCCCAAAGATGGGTTCATAACTTACTTTAATTAATTAATTAATTAATTAATTAGAGACAGAGTCTTGCTCTGTCACCCAGGCTGGTGTGCAGTGGTGCAATCTCAGCTCACTGCAGCCTCCGCCTCCCAGGTTCAAGCGATTCTCCTGCCTCAGCCTCCTGAGTAGCTGAGATTACATGCGCCCACCACCACGCCTGGCTAATTTTTATATTTTTAATAGAGTTGGGGTTTTGCCATGTTGACCAGACTGGTCTGGAACTCCTGATCTTAGCCCCCCACCCTCAGCCTCCCAAAGTGCTGGGATGACAGGCATGAGCCACTGCGCCTGGCCAGTTCATAACTTTATGAAGCAGACATGCGTCTGTTTGTTGGCATTGAAACAGGGAAGTTGGAGGCCGGGGGCGGTGGCTCATGCCTGCAATCCCAGCACTTTGGGAGGCTGAGGTGGGCAGATCACAAGGTCAGGAGATTGAGACCATCTTGGCTAATACTGTGAAGCCCTGTCTCTACTAAAAATACAAAAAATTAGCCGGGCGCGGTGGCGGGCACCTGTAGTCCCAGCTACTTGGGAGGCTGAGGCAGGAGAATGGCGTGAACCTGGGAGGCAGAGCTTGCAGTGAGCCGAGACAGCACCACTGCACTCCAGCCTGGGCGAAAGAGCAAGATTCCATCTCAAAAAAAAAAAAAAAAAAAAAGTTTAAAAAAAAGAAACAGGGAAGTTGGCGTTTCCTGTGAGGGGAGTCCCAGTGGCAGCACCTGAACCCCTGAAGAAGAGGAATTGTTGGAAAAGACCAGCCAGGGATCCTCCCGGGTCCCTCCTGGTGTGTTCCTCAGGCAGGTGGCAGGTGGCAGGTGTGTGCTTTGTGGGGAAGGTCATTTGTGAAGTTAGGGGAGCAATCTGTAAGAAGGCTGATGTGGTTTGGCTGTGTCCCCACCCAAGTCTCATCTTGAATTGTAGCTCTCATAATTCCCACATGTTGTGGGAGGGACCCAGTGGGAGAAAATTGAATCAATTGAATCATGGGGGTGGTTTCCCCCATACTGTTCTGTGGTAGTGAATAGGTCTCATGAGATCTGATGGTTTTATCATGGGAAATGCCTTTTGCTTGGTCTTCACTTCTCTCTTGTCTGCTGCCATGTAAGACGTGCCTTTCACCTTCCGCCATGATTGTGAGGCCTCCCCAGACACGTGGAACTCTGAATCCATTAAACCTTTTTCTGTATAAATTACCCAGTCTCCAGTATGTCTATTAGCAGCATGAAAATGAACTAAAACAACTGCTCTCACTTCTGACACCAACTCCAAGTTCAGGGGTCCCCAAGACAACTCTCAGGTTGAACAATGTGCTAGAAGGACTCACAGAATGCACTGAAAGCCGTTATGCTCATGGTTACGGTTTATTACAGCATAGGATACAGATTAAAATCAGCCCAGGGAAAAGACTCATGAGACGGAGTCTGGGAAGTTTCCAGCAGAGCTTCCAGTTGTTCTCCACCAGTAGAGTTGTGGGCAGCACTAAATGTCCCCAGCAATGATGTGTGACAACCCACATGGGACCTTGGCCACCAGGAAGCTTGGCAGAGCCTTGGCGTTCAGCTTTTATTAGGACTTGGTCACTGAGACGTAGCTGATGGTCCATGTGGCTGACCTCGTTTTCCAGCCTCTTCACAGAGCTGATACTGCAGGGGCCCAAAGCTCCTACCCTAAATCACGTTTTTAGATTATCTGGTGTGGCCCTAGGCCCCCAGGTAAACAGACACTTATGACACAGGACATTCCAAGGGCTTAGAGATCCCTTCCCAAGAGCTGATGGCAAAGGCTAGACCTCTCTTTGAGCAAGGCTGATTTTTTTCTTTTCTTTTCTCTGTCTCTCTCTCTCTTTTTTTTTTTTTTTTTTTGAGATGGCTGTAACTTGTGTATTTAAGGGAGCCCTCTGTGTTTCAGCTGGGAACACAGGCATAGAGGGCCCTGGGCCTCTGTCAGTTGCCAACTTTCTTTCTTTCTTTTTTATTTTTTTGAGACAGAGTTTCACCCTTGTTGCCCAGGCTGGAGTGCAATGGCACTATCTTGGCTTACTGCAACCTCTGCCTCCCTGGTTCAAGTGATTCTCCTGCCTCAGCCTCCTGAGTACCTGGGATTACAGGCACGTGCCACCATGCCTGGCTAAATTTTTTTTTTTTTTGTATTTTTAGTAGAGATGGGGTTTCACCATGTTGGCCAGGCTGGTCTCGAACTCCTGACCTCAGGTGATCCACCTGCCTTGACCTCCCCAAATGCTGGGATTACAGGCATGAGTACCCGGCCTGTTTTTCTTATGTTGCTTTTCTTCCCTGAAATACCTCAGCTCTCTTTCTTTTCCTTCCTTCCTTCCTTCCTTCCTTCCCTCCTTCCTTTTTTCCTTCCTTCCTTTTCCCTTCCTATTTTTTTGCAGTTTTTCTTTACCTGGTATCAACGTGCACATCTAGAGTCCCCATCTCTTCCATGGCAAATTTCCAGATCTCTTTGCATGACCAAGGGGCACGCTTCTTAAAGCGTGCTTGTGCTTGTGCTTGTGAATGTTGAGGGTGCATTCTTGGACCACTAACTCATTGATGGCAGAATGGTCCTTCTTTGGAGGAGCCATACTGACAGACCCGAGTTGGAAAAATGCCTTGACTCTTTCTATCTGTTCAACTGAATCCCACCCAGTTGGTGAGGTTATCCCCAGCCCACCTCCTCCTGGAAGCCCCCGGAGACTTTCCCCAGGCTGGTTCCTTTTCATAGCCATCCCAGAAGACAGTGGATGCAGTATGATCTTGCTGCTGTGACCCTCAGTCTCTATAATAGCATCTGGCACTTTAGGGGGCCCTTTGAAACACTAGAGAGAGAATCTGTTTTGGGTATGGGCTATGGTGTTTGGGGTAGCCTTGCGTGCAGATTTCTTGGAGACTTTGTAGCTGAATGAACCTGATTTGGCAAATGAATAACAGAATGGCTCCCTCCCCGGGGTCATCTCAGCACAGAGTGGCCAAAATGTCCTGGGCCTGTTCCTCAGCCTTCTTCACAAATTCTGGATTAGTTCATGCAGCGTGGGCCCAAGACTGCCACAGAAGTCACCTCCTGGGGAGTAAATCAGAGATTTCGAAGTTTAGGGTAATTTACGAACAGGGCAACTATACCAAACCCCTCATTTACAGAGAAAGAAACTGGGCTTAGAGAGAGGAGCAGGCTTGCTGCCAATTCCTCCCTGCTCAAGAGCTTCTGTTTGCAGATAGAACGGGTGGTTAAAGGGTTTTACAATTAATGTAATGAATGTCAGTCATTCTCTGGGCATTCTGCAAAATTGCCAGCTTAGAAAGACTAAAGTGAGATCTTGTCTGATCAGATTTTAAGCTCTGTGATTAACGAACAACATGGCTTGAAGCCACAAAAAGTGCAAGCAATACTCCCCGCCAGCTCAGAGCAATCCCTGACATTTGCAGTTCAGACGTTGGGAGAACGCCAAGATTTGGGCACTGCCTGACCTTAAGAAGAAAGGACAAGATTAGGGAATGACAAAGGAGACCCCAGATCGCTAAGTCCTTGGAAACAAACGCTCCATCATGGTGGCTTTCACACGGCTGGGGCATGGTGTATCTTTTATGGCTCTGTCATTCTTTTGCCTTTGCCACTGAAGCCCATTTTCCAGCTTTGTGTCCAATTTATGGATGCACACGTATAATTACACCGGTATTATACGCTTGCACATAAAACCCGGTGACTGTGGAATCTCATTAGTTTTCACTTTGGTAAATCTCCATCCTGGATCAACTCAACAAAGAAGTGGTTTGTTCTCTGAGTAGCAATTGGCCCACACATCTGCCTGCCAGAGCCTTCCCTAATTATGGAACACACTCAAAGGCTCATTAGGAACTTAAATTACATCCTTGTTTTATAAGCAAGCACATTGGTAGGATGCAGGAGCTTTGATGTATTACTCATTCATTCACTCATCCATCATTTGTTGATTTGTCCATTCATTCTTTCACTCATTCATCCATTTGTTAGTTTGTCCACTGATTCATGGACTCATTCATTCATTTGTTGTTTGTCCATTCATTCATTTACTCATTCATTCATTTGTTCGTTTGTCTATTTGTTCACTCATTCATTCATTTGTTTGTCCATTCATTCATTTACTCGTTCATTCATTTGTTTGTCCATTTGTTCACTCATTCGTTCATTTGTTGGTTTGTCCATTCATTCATTCACTCTTGTTGGTTTGTTCATTCACTCATTCATTCATTCCCTCAGTTTGTTCATTCATTCACTCAGTTTGTTCATTCATTTGCTTGGTTCATCCATTGGCTTGGTTCATCCATTCACTCAATCGTTTATTCACTCCTTCCTTCATTCATTCACTGTTGGTTCAGTCAGTCATTTGCTCATTTATTTCACTTGGTTTGTTCATTCATTAATTCATTCACTCATTCATTCACTCATTGGTTTGTTAATTCATTAATTCACTCCTTCACTCATTCATTCACTTGTTGGTTTGTTAATTCATTCATATACTCATTCATTTGTTGGTTTGTTAATTAATTCATTCACTCCTTCACTCACTAATTCATTAACTCATTCATTCCTTTGCACAATACCAAATTGGAGATGCTCAGAGGTCAGCCAAGTTCCCCTGGTCATCTACTAAAGCTCATGAGGCACAGTATGACATGGCAACATCTCAGTTAAGAGCCATCCCAACCTGTCTTCAGGTTCAACCCACCCTTGCTTTTAGCCACATGAGTTCTGTGAGTTCAATGTCAGCTGAATCTGAGATATGTGGTTTAAACATTGGTCAGGGCAAGTTGGAGGCCTGGAGGACATGGCCCCAAACATCTTGAGGGTAGGCTGCCTCCAGGGACACCCAGGCTGTTGTGTGGAGCCCAAGGGTGCATCTATGTCGCCCAGCAGGAGCTACTCACCTTGACTGACCCTGCAGTGACTCAGGAGCCTCAACTCTTGCTGGACAACTGGGACCGCAGGTTTTCCCACCTCCTCTCAAGGTCCTTCAACAACGCATTGTCCCCACACAGTCCCATCCATCCTTCCAGCACTCTGTTCAGATCATGGCTTGCCCTGGCTTAAAACCCTCCAGTGACTCCCCATGACTCCTCAGGTAAGGTTCATACCACTTTCCCGGGATATATGGGGTCCCTAATGCCCCAGCACTTGCTCCCTTCTCTGACCTCATCGCATTTCCCTCCCTCTTGAAGTGCAAAGCCCCGCCCTTCCCTGCAGCTGCCCGAGATTCCCTGGATGCCTGGGTCCTGTGCCAAGGATGCTGATTCCTCTGTCTGGTCCACCCTTTCCCGGAAACAACTCCTCTGTTTCTAGACTCAGCTCCTGAATCCGTGTGCAGAAAGCTTTCCCGATGAGAGATGGGATGCATGGAAATAAGGGCTCGTTCTGAGGATGGAACAGAGCTGGGCATTCAGGGCTGAGACTGGAACGCAAACACCAGTGTTCGGCCCGTGTATGACAATGGAACTCTGACCCACCTCCTGCAGCCGCCAGCCGAGGAAGTCAAACCAAACACCAGGGCTAGATCAGTAACTACCAGCTTCTTGAAAAATTTTTCCCCGCACTTCCAATTCATGACCAAGTAGAGGAAGCCAGTGAGGCTCCATTCTATCCAACCTCATAGGAGCCCTGTTTCCAGGGAGATCTCTCCAGCCTCCAACCAGGGCACACCTGGGCCTTCCCTTTTCTCTCTAAAGCTTTCCTCTACCTGCCTTTGAGTCTGTCTGCCTAATGCCAAATGACAGTGGCCGACTCCCTTGCTATAGCGAGCTCTGAATTAGGAGCCTTTGCCTTCTCTCATTTGGGTTCTTTTCAGTTACATCCACACCAACCAGCTCCTGATACCCATCCGCCTTCTTCCTAAGCACGAGGCCTCCCTCCACAGAGCCCTCCCAACCGTCCATGGCTCACTTCCATCATCGCTGTCTTCCTTCTGAGCTAGAGTCTCCTGTTCACAGCTCTGTACCCCAGCACCCAGCATAGAGTCTACCTGTTATTTGAGGGAATGAACAAATGAATGAATGAATGAATGATGTGACTATTTACAGATAGCCAAACGCTTGGTACCACAGGGACAAATTCCCAGAAATCCAAGCCTACTGTGCACCCATGTGGGCATTAAGCCAGTGAAGATAAAAACTTACGCTTCCTTGGACTTTGGAGATGTTTAAGAAACAGAGACAATAGGCTGGGCACAGTGGCTTATGCCTGTAATCTCAGTTCTTTGGGAGGCTGAGGTGGGAGAATCGCTTGAGGCCAGGAGTTTGAGACCAGCCTGGGCAACATAGGGAGACCCCATGTCTACAAAAAATTAAAAAATTACCACCGGGCTTGGTGACTCACGCCTGTAATCCCAACACTTTGGGAGGCTGAGGTGGGTGGATCACTTGAGGTCAAGAGTTCAAGACCAGCCTTGCCAACATGGTGAAACCCCAGTTCTACTAAAAATACAAAAAATTAGCTGGATGTGGTGGCAGGCACCTGTAATCCCAGCTACTTGTGAGGCTGAGGTAGGAAAATCCTTTGAACCTGGGAGGCAGAGGTTGAAGTGAGCCAAGATCATGCCACTGCACTCCAACCTGGGCAACAGAGCAAGACTCCATCTCAAAATAAATAAATAAAATAAAAAATTACCTGGACATGCTGGTGTGCACCTGTGGTCCCAGCTACTCAAGAGGCTGAGGCAGGAGGATCACTTGAGCCCGGGAGGTGGAGGCTGCAATGAGCTATGATTGTGCTGTTGGACTCCAGCCTGGGCAACAGAGCAAGATCTCATCTCAAAATTAATTAATTAATTAGTTAATACGATTTAAAAACGAAAGAAAGAAACTGAGAAGAGAATGTATGTGCTCTTCCATGGTAGTTAGCAGTTGTGAATTTACACATTGTGGAATTCTGTAGGGAATGTTTCTGTCTTCCTCCGGGCAAAACATGTCCCAAGGGCAGGGACTTGGGTTTATTATTCTTATTGTTATTTGGTGTATTTTTAGTGTCTGATATGCAGTAGGTGCTTATCAAATATTATTGGAAGGAAGGAAGGAATGAAGGGAGGGAGAGAGAGAGGAAGGATAGAAGGAAGGAAGAAAGAGAGAAAAGAAAGAAGGAAGAGAGGAAGGGAGGGAGGGAGGGAAGAAGGAAGGAAGGAAGGAAGGAAGGAGGGGAGGAAGGAAGGAAAGTAAGGAGGAAGGGAGGGAGGGAGGAAGGAAAGAAGGAAGGAGGGAAGTAAGGAAGGGAGGGAGAGAGGGAGGGAGGAAGGAAGGAAGGATGGAAGGAAGAAGGGAAGAAAGGAAGGAAGGACCTCAGTCTCTTCAGGCTGCTTTAACGGGACATCTTAGACTGGTGGCTTATTGACAACAGAAATTTATTGCTCACAGTTCTGGAGGCTGGGGAGTCCAAGGTCAAGGTGCTGGCAAATTCCAAGTCTGGCGAGAATCTGCTTTCTGGTTCATAGATGGCATCTTCTTGCTGTGTCCTTACATGGAGGAGGGAGGAAGAGAGCTCTTTGTGGTCCCTTTTATAAGGACATGAACCCCTCATGACCTAATCATCTCCCAAAGGCCCCACCTTCAAATACCTTCACATTGGGGTTAGGTTTCAACGTGAATTTCGGGAGAAAGCCCAGAAAAGAAGGGAAGGAAGGAGAGAGGGAGGAGTATAAGCAGAAACTTGGGTCTCTTGGGGTCCCCTCTTTTCCCCTCTCCCACCCCTAACTGTCTTCATCACTCTTCCCCTCCAGCCCCACTTCCAAGAGCTTTCTGTCCAGAATAAAGCTGGAGACAGGACCATGGTGAGGATGCAGAATGAAAGAATGCATGGCTGCGTGAAAAGACATATTTATTTTTTATATTTTTTTAAAAATTTTTTAGCTTTTTTTTTATTTGTTTATTTAGTAGAGACAGGATCTCATCCTGTCACCCAGGCTGGAGTGCAGCGGCATGATCCATAGCTCACTGTCACCTCAAACTCCTGGGCTCAAGTGATGCCCCTGCCTCAGCCTTCCAAATAGCTGGGACTACAGGTGCATGCCAGCATGCCTAGCTAATTTTAAAAATTTTCTTCTGTAGAGATGGGGTCTCCTTGTGTTGTCCAGGCTGGTCTCAAACTCCTGTTCTCAAGGGATGCTCCTACCTTGGCCTCTCAAGCACTAAGATTATAGGCCATGAGCTACCACACTTGACCCATTTCTGAGCATCTTTTTTTTTTTTTTTTTTTTTTTTTCAGACACAGTCTTGCTCTGTCACCCAGGCTGGAACCCAGGAGGCACCCAGTGGTGCAATCCTGGCTCACTGCAACTTCCACCTCCCGGGTTCAAGCGATTTTCGTGCCTCAGCCACCTGAGTAGCTGGGACTACAGGTGCGTGCCACCATGGTGGTTAATTTCTGTATTTTTAGTAGAGACAGAGTTTTGCCATATTGGCCAGGCTGGTTTGGAACTCCTGACCTCCGGCGATCCTCCTGCCTCGGCCTCCCAAAGTGCTGGAATTACAGGCGTGAGCCACTGCTCCCAGCCTGAACCTCTTTAAATGGGATTTTCATCTCACCTCTAACCCAAATTCCCAGGCTAGGCGCTAGCCAGGGGAGCCCCTCCCCACTTCTCTAACTGGGAGGGCCATCTCAGGGCAGGGTCGGCTGAGTCTCCTCTGTACTGGTCCTGACCTAGGCGTGGAGGGGAAGGGGCATTTCTACCAAGGCAGGGAGCCTCTGTCGAAGACAACAGCCCAGTGCCAAGCGTCGTAAATTATTCTGTGGGTTTTAACAGGAACCATAAATATTACATAGCGCATTCCTGTGTTCTGCGAGCTCAGGAAGCAGGTGTGACATGCACTCCAACACGTAATTAGGCAGACTCGGCCAGAAACCAGCCTCAGCCACAAAAATATCACTGACGATTGCCTCCAGACCCATCGTTAGAAGCAAGAAAGACCAGCGTGAGAGAAGTCCGGCGTCAGAGAAAGTTGCTGGTTGTCTCATAAGAGTTCCAAATTTTATTTTGATTCTGACGCTATCTGAGGCCGATAGTGGCCACGCCAAATCCAAATTAAATACCTAGTTTAGGGATTTTAATCTGAGGAATACCAGCAAATGTGCCACTTTGGGGACGGATTGTTTATTTGGGGGGCATTGATGGGAGATTGCATAAGCAGACCAAAACCCTGAAACAGCAACAAATAAAATTAAAGCAGCAGCCTTCAGCCGACATAAGATCTGGTCTGCTAATGAACTCACAGCGACGTACTCATCTGGCAGCCTCACTCACCACTCTCCAGTGGCACCGAAAGTGACCAGATGGGCCCCATCCAGGAAGTGCTTAAAGATGTGTCCACTTCAGACTTCATTTTTCCACGTGTTCTGGAAACCCTTTGTCTCCCAGGAGTTTCATGAAGTTTTTTTGTTTGTTTGTTTTGTTTTTGTTTTTTGTTTTTTTTTGAGACAGAGTCTTGCTTAGTCACCCAGGCTGGAGTGCAATGGCGCGATCTTGGCTCACTGCAACCTCTGCCTCCTGGGTTCGAGCAATTCTCATGCCTCAGCCACCCGAGTAGCTGAGACTACAGATGCACATGCCACCACGCCCAGCTAATTTTTGTATTTTTAGTAGAGACGGGGTTTCACTATATTGGCTAAGCTGGTCTTGATCTCCTGACCTCAGGTGATCCACCTACCTCGGCCTCCCAAAGTGCTGAGATTACAGGCATGAGCCACTGCGCCCGGCCTCTTGAATTTTTTTTTTTTTTAGGTTTTGTGTCCCCATCTGAAAAACAAAGGTGTAGAGGGAATTATAAAGTCTACCTTTATTTATTTATTTATTTTTTGAGACAGAGTCTCACCCTGTTGCCCAGGCTGGAGTGCAGTGGTGGGATCTCTGCTCACTGCAACCTCCACCTCCCGGGTTCAAGCAATTCTCCTTTCTCAGCCTCCCGAGTAGCTGGGATTACAGGCATGTGTCACCATGCCCGGCTAATTTTTGCGTTTTTAGTAGAGACGGGGTTTACCATGTTGGTCAGGCTGGTCTTGAATTCCTGACCTGAGATTATCCTCTCACTTCAGCCTCCCAATGTCCTGGATTATAGGCTTGAGCCAACACGCCCGGCCAAAATCTACCTTTTCATTCTGAGCTGGGCGGGCTCTAAGTTGTGTCACTCGTATGTTTGACAGAATTGTGTTTGGCTTTTGTAAAAGTAAAAGTATTACTAGTAGTAAAAGTATTACTGGTTTCAGTGGGGAGGATTTTGGGGTCGCCTAGAGGGACAGCACTGACCACAAACCCCTCAGGGATGAGCTGAAGGCCTAAGTACCTGGATGGATAAGGCATACCCTTGGCCAAAGGACACGAGGGCCTGGCTTTGCTCTGCCCCACAGAACTTTCTAGAGCTCTGAAAATGTTCTCTACGTGTTGCCCAATACAATGGTCACCAGCCCCATGTGGCTATAAAGCATTTGGAATTTTAAGTGGCTTGCATGACTGAGGAGCTGAACTTTTCTTTTATAAATTGTGTTTGTTATCAATTCATTTGAATTTTAAGAATGGATGCCAGAGGGAGTTATCAGAAAACGCGTCAAGATGTTTGGAACCACTTAGACGTTAGAATCTGCTTTTTTTTCAACTGCAAATTTTTAAAGAAGTCTAAATACGGATCAAGTATTTCTGAGGAAAATTTAGGGTGTGAATGGAGATACGCAGTGAGTGTAAAATACACACCAGATTTCTAAGACTGAGTACCAAAAATGTAAAATATTTCCTTCGTAATTCTTATATTGATTATATGTCGGGATGATAAACATTTTGGGTACGTTGGGTTAAAATGGAATATATTCTTAAAATGTACTTCATCTGTTTCATTTTCCTGTTTTAACCCATTTATGTCTGAGGTTGCAATGTTTTGAATTTTTGCAATCAGACCTTTGTGATGACATTGAGCGGTAGGATATAAACAACCCCCGCATTCTTAGCGTTCCAATAATGGAACACTAGGCATACATGGGCTTGATGTGGTTGCTGGAGAATTTAGACCACATGTGTGGCTTATGCAATGGTACTAGCAATCATGTTGATGGCCTGGCCTCAGCTAGGCACTGGATGCAGGGGCAATGACATCTCAGTGTTTAAGGGCTCAGACCTGTAGGGGAGATAGACATGTCAACTAAAGAAAAAAAAGAACAAGCTTTTCTTTCTTTTCTTTTTTTTTTTTTGAGATGGAGTTTCACTTTTGTTGCCCAGGCTGGAGTGCAATGGTGAAATCTCGGCTCGCTGCAACCTCTGCCTCCTGGGTTCAATCAATTCTCCTGCCTCAGCCTCCCGAGTACCTGGGATTACAGGTGCCCGCCACCACGCCCCACTAATTTTTGTATTTTTAGTAGAGACGGGGTTTCATCACGTTGGCCAGGCTTGTCTCAAACTCCTAACCTCAATGATCCGCCTGCCTTGGCCTCCCAAAGTGCTGGGATTACAGGTGTGAGCCACCCCGCCTGGCGAAAAATCAAGCTTTTAAAGAATTAAAGTTCATTTTATTCAGAAGTCTTACTGAGGACTATAGACTGAGGCCCATAGCCCAGGGGCAGCCCTTTAGAGAGGTTCAATCAGACTTCTCTGAAGCAATCAGTGTTTCTTCCTTTTTTGCTTTTGTGTTTGTTTTTTGTAGTCTGCTTGCTAGGGACCAATTACTGTTTTAATTCACCGCTTACATACAGGTAGTGGAGGTTCAGTATGTGTAAAATCACATCAAAGTTTAAGTGCAAAAGAACAACTGGTTATAGCTTACAGAAGTGTAATCACAACCCTGTTAGATGTCATTTTGTGTGCAGAAGAAGGCAAGGACTAGGGTCATTTAATTTTATTCTTATTATTTTTTAAGAGACAGGGTCTTGCTCTGTCACCCAGGCTGGAGTGCAGTTGTGTGATCAAGGCTCACTTCAGCCTCCACCTCTTGGGCTCAAGTGATTCTCCTGCCTGAGCCTCCTGAGTAGCTGGGAGTACAGGTGTGCTTTGGCCCCGCCAAATCCTGGGATTACAGGCATGAATCACCATTCCCAGTCTAAGTTTTGAGGAATGCAGTGACTCGGGCAAGAGACGTGGTGGGCTGTGTGCTCTGTCTTGTTTTGTCTTTAAAGCATCTTTCGGGAGAGCTGCCCACCTTCACAGTCAGGGACTTTGTGAAATTCTGATGCTACAAGAAATGAGCAAACCTGGTGTTTTTTGTTTCATTTTGTTTTGTTTTGTTTGAGACAGAGTTTCTTTCTTGTCACCCTGGCTGGAGTGCAATGGTACAATCTTGGCTCACTGCAACCTCCACCTCCTGGGTTCAAGCGATTCTCCCACCTCAGCCTCCTGAGTAACTGCCACCATGCCCGGCTAATTTTTGTATTTTTTAGTAGAGACCGGATTTCACCATGTTGGCCAGGCTGGTCTCAAACTCCTGACCTCAGGTGATCCACCCGCCTCGGACTCTCAAAGTGCTGGGATTACAGGCATGAGCCACCGCACTTGGCCAACCTGGTGTCTTATGTTTGCTACTTTGTCTCAGAGACAGCAAGCAAGAATACAAGCATGAAAATAGCAGGAATGCAAGGATGGTCTGAAGAAACCCGCCATGTGCACGGAGCCTCCCTAGGACCTCAAGTCTGCAAACTGCACAACTATACATGGCAGACCTGCTGCCCTGCTCCCCTTCTTCCCTCTGCAATGCCAGCAGTTCCACAAATCACAGGCAGGGAGCTCAACAGCCCAGGCCCAGGGAGAAATCTTGACAGCAGGGACAGCTGATGCAGACATCCAGGAAGGTCACGGTGACATCATTTTCAGAAAAAACATCAGTTGCCAGATCAGATACCAAAATCTACAGTTATAGTCTCAGCTCTTCTGGAAGGCACAGATATCGCATGTAAGAGGGTCTGGCACTAGAATACCCACTCCCGCCCCCCAGTAGTCTTCCTGACCTGGCAGTGCCCACTGTCATCACTGCACACATCACTGTCGCCCTGGGCCAATAGCCTGTGTTGGCCCAAGGGTCCCAGTGTGATTCAATGTGGAGGTCCCAGTCTTATTCAGTACAAGGGCCAGTTTGTAATATCAGAAATGTCTGGCCAGGCACAGTGGCTCACGCCTGTAATCCCAGCATTTTGGGAGGCTGAGGTGGGTGGATCACCTAAAGTCAGGAGTTCAAGACTAGCCTGGCCAATGTGGTGAAACCCCATCTCTACTAAAAATACAAAAATCAACCAGGCATGGTGTTGGGCACTTGTAGCTCCAGCTACTCAGGAGGCTGGGGCAGGAGAATCACTCGAATCCGGGATGTGGAGGTTGCCGTTGAGCCGAGATTGTGCCACTGCACTCCAGCCTGGGTGACAGAGTAAGACTCTGTCTAAAAACAACAACAACAAAGAAACGTCCACGTAGCAAGGATGGCGAGGATGTTTTGAGATACCAGTGGAGGGCAGAGAGCAGCTATGAATGAACTCAGGCAGTTTTTTGAGACAGGGTCTTGCTCTGTCAACCAGGCTGGAGTGCAGTGGTGTGATCATAGCTCACTGCAGCCTCTATTTCCCAGGCTCAAGCAATCCTCCCACCTCAGCCTTCCAAGTAGCTGGGACCACAGGTGCACGGCACCACACCTGGCTAATTTTTCTTTTCTTTTCTTTTTTTTAGAGGTAGGGTCTCGCTGCATTGCCCAGGCTGGTCTCGAACTCCTAGGCTCAAGTGATCCTCCCAATTTGGCCTCCCAAAGTGCTGGGATTACAGGTATGAGCCACAGCACCCGGCCCATGCTCATTTTTAAGACTTGGCTCCAAGGCCCAGTGTATGTGGTCTCATTTACCATTTACATGTACTCTAAGACAGGCAATATCACTATCACTCCCAGTTTACAGAAGGGGAAACTGAGGCACAGGAAGGTAAGTGGCTTGTGGATAAGGTCAAGCGGCTGTAAGTATAGAGCTGGAATCATCAGGCTGAGATGAGAAGAGACCTGGAGCATTTGAGAGGGAGGGCAGTGCTAGGAAGAAAGAGCACAGAAGACTGGGTTCAAATCCTGGCACTGACCCATGATGTGGGCTTTGGTAAGTCTATTGGCTTCTGGGTCTCAGTTGTCTCATCTGTAAAATGGGACCCTTTCATCCATCCTAATAATATTTACTGAGGACCTACTATGCACTATGATCTTTTCTACGTACTGGGGCTACAGGGCTTATCCCCTAGTGGGAGGAGAAGGATGTTATGAGACCATGTCAAGATAAGTGCTGGTAAAGAATAAAGCCTGCAGCCATAAAAAAGAATGAGTTCGTGTCCTTTGCAGGGACATGGGCGAAGCTGGAAGCCATCATTCTCAGCAAACTAACACAGGAACAGAAAACCAAACACCGCATGTTCTCACTCATAAGTAGGAGTTGAACAATGAGAACACATGGACACAGGGAGGGGAACATCACCCACCACAGCCTGTTGGAGGATGGGGGGCAAGGGGAGGGAGAGCACTGGGACAAATGTGTCATGCATGCCGGGCTTAAAACCTAGATGACAGGTTGATAGGTGCAGCAAACCACCATGGCACGTGTATACCTATGTAACAAACCTGCACATTCTGCTCATGTATCCCAGAACTGAAAGTAAAATGAAATTAAAAAAAAAAAAGGAATAAAACCATGGGGCCAGGCACAGTGGCTCATGCCTATAATCCTAGCAATTTGAGAGACTGAGATGGGAGGATCACATGAGGCTAGGAGTTCGAGTCCAGCCTGGGCAACATAGCAAGACCCTCCTCAGTATAAAAATTAAATAAATTAGCCAGGTGTGGGGGCTGCGCCTGTAGTCACAGCTACTCGAGAGGCTGAGGCAGGAGGATTGCTTGAGCCCAGAAATGTGTAGTTCGAGGCTGCAGTGAGCTATGATGGCACCATGGTGCTCCGGTCTGGGCTACAGAGTGAGACCCTGTCTCTAAAATAAAATTCTAAAAAAGAAAAAAACTATGAGAAAGGCGCAGAGGGTGAAGAGTGACTGGGTGGCTACTCTGCCTTAAGAGGTGACCCCTGCAGAGTGAGAAAGGAGGGGCTCTGGCCACAGAATTGGGAAAAGAGCATTTCTGCCCAAGGAGATGAGACAGTAGGTGCAAAGGCCCCAAGACAGGAACGATCTTGGAGGTTAATGAGAAGCTTAAACCAATGGGTCAAGTCAGGGACCTGCTAGGAGGAGGGGTGGGCTGATGGACAATTATTCCCCGGCCCAGCTTAGCCCAGACGCCTCAGAAGAGGACACCTGTGTGCCAGGCAGTAGTCCTCCAATTTCCTCCCCAAATCCAACCCCCTTAGGGGAGGCTGATTTCCCTAGAGGGCCAGCTGCTTGGTGTCAACTTGGATTGACCATTTAGGACACCGATACTCCAAATTTAATTTTTCCTTCGTGTCTCTTTCCAATTGACGAACTCTGAGTTATCTCTTTAAAAAAAATCATCCTAGAGGGGAGAAATCAGCAGACTTCAAAGCAAAATCAAGAGCTGCATTCAGCACTTGACCAGGGCTGTCTCTAACACTGGTCTGGCCCAGGGCAGTGCATGCAGTCGGTGCATTATGTATGCTCAATATGTATGAATGGCTTCACCAGGTAGGATGTCCTCTTGAGTCTCTCCTAGGCTTCCCTGCTGCTGAAGTACTGGGAAGGAGACAGGCAGCCCCAGGAGGTCACAGGACAGATGGACACTCATGACACTAAGCAGAGTGACACCAGCCAAGCCCGGTCAAGCCAGCTCCATACCATCCGTGTGCAGCGTGTGGAGTGGCATCCAGCATCTCCCACCCATTTCTGGGATACCTGTGCTTCCCCAGACATTGTATCAGCTCAAATGACCCACTCGGGACCCAAGGGCTGAGCTGCGCCTGCACAGGGCCCTGGGACATGCCCACGTGACCTCCCCAAAGCCCGGGACTGATAGGGCTCGTTGGAGACCAGCCCCAAGCAGAACAGCCATGGGGGGTCCCCATGGGGATCTTGTCCACTCTCCTCCTTGTGGACCACGACCCTTGGAGGCTCTCAGAGGCACCTGGGCTGGTTAAACAAGGGCTGGAACCTCCTTTCTGCAGAAATCTGTCTGCTTGACCTTCCCAGTTTTCATCCCCATGGGACACCAGGAACTGGGGCATCTCCTGCTGCAGCCCCCAGTTCCAAGGTGAAGCCAGCTCAAGTGCTGGTCCCAGCTCTCAACATCTGCATATTCACCTCGGAGCCCCGGCCTCCAGCCTCCAGCTTCCATCCGCTTTCTGTATGCTTAACAGCCAAAACAATGCATCACAGAAGTGGGTGGGGTGGGGAGAGGGTGCCAGCTCCACCAGGGAGAGGGCAGCAGGTGAAAATCTGAGTCATTCCAGTTCTGGGAAGTCTCCATCCTCGCTTGTCTCCGCAGAATCACAACCTCACATGGGCAGAGCAGGGCCCTGACTGTGGTCCTGTAAGCTTCCTGGTCGACCTCCCTCCTTCTCGGTTTATTCCGCCTGATGGGCTCTTCTGACTGGCTCCAAAGAAAACAGGTTAGCAATTTCCACCCTCTTCAGCCTCAGGACTCTTGAAGTAAAACTTTAAGCTACCTCCGCAGGGATGGTAGAATATATTTTGGGATATATTACTGTATAATTTGGGATAGTTCAGTAATTTTCCAGAACGACATTAACTGGGGCTGTGCTAGCCTTTTTATGTAAATATTGTTTCCCTATTATAATAATTACAATGAGATTTACCATTTATTAAACACTTACTGTATTCTAGGCACTGCAACCCTGGGAGGGAGATACTGTTATTGCCCTCATTTTCCAACTGAATAAACTGAAGTTCTAATAAATAAAGTGTGCAAAGTCATGTTCTAAGTGGTATTGCCAAATCTGCCTGTCTCTGGCAGACGGCAAGGATTGGATGCCCAGTGCCATTTCCAGCTCCCTTTTCCTTACCTTCCTCTTCTAGACATGATAGAAACCTTAACTTGCCAGACTTCCTTGCAGCTAGATGTGGCCAACTGAACAGTTTGGGCCATGAAGATGTAAGCCAAAAAGGCAGAGGCTTTGGAACAGATTCAGCCAATCAGATTTCTTCCTTTATTCTGCCTGGAATACAGATATGATGTCTGGAGGCATAGCAACTATTCTGTGGCCATGAGGCAATCAGTTCCACATGCCAAGGATGGCAGAGAAAGGAGGTAGAAGTAATCTGGGTTTTGATGACATCAATGTATTCTCTTCCCCCTGGTCATTATTGCATGAGGCAAATAAACTTATTTAATATAACATTCATTGGGTTTTTTGTTTCTCACAGGCAAATACCATTGATATAGTTTGGATATGTGTCCCCTCCAAATCTCATCAAAATGTGATTCCTAATATTGGAGATGGGGTCTTGTGGGAGGTGTCTGGGTCCTTAGGGTCAATTCCTCATGAATGGCTTGGTGCTGTCCTTGCCGTAATGAGTGAGCTATTGCTGTGTTGCTTACCATGAGATCTGATTGTTAAAAGGAGCCTGGGGCCAGGAACAGTGTTTCACACCTGTAATCCCAGCACTTTGGGAGGCCAAGACAGGCAGGTCTCTTGAGGTCAGGAATTCATGACCAGCCTGGCCAACAAGGCAAAACCCCATCTCTACTAAAAATACAAAAATTAGCCAGGTGTGGTGGCAGGCTCCTGTAATTCAAGCTACTTGGGAGGCTGAGGCAGGAGAATCTCTTGAACCCAAGAGGCAGAGGTTGCAGTGAGCTGAGATCGTGCCATTGCACTCCAGCCTAGGTGACAGAGTAAGACTCTGTCTCAAAAAAAAAAAAAAAAAAAAAAAAAGGAGCTAGGCATCTCCTTTTCTCTCTCTCGCTCCCTCTCTTGCCATGTGACATGCCTGCACTGCCTTTGCCTTCTGCCATGATTGGAAGCTTCCCGAGTATCCTTATAAGAAACACATGCTGGCACCATGCTTCCTGTGCAGCTTGCAGAACCATGAGCCAAAACAAACCTCTTTTCTTTATAAATTACCCAGCCTTGGGTATCTCTTTATAGCAAGGCAAATGGACTAACACAGCCATCGTAACTGAGACCTGACCTCCAAAGTCCATGGTGTTGGCACAATTTGGGGGCTGCCCATTGATCAGGGTGCTTTGGGCCGGGCCTTGGGAAACAGCATTAGAATGAACCTTGATTTGTCAAAAGCCAAGGATTCGTACCCACAAACACCACTGGAGTGTCCAGAGAGTTTCAAGGGTGGCAGCAAGCATTTCCTCAGTGGGCCAAAATCGTCACTTTTGTTTCAAAGACTTTGAGATTCCCCCATGAGTAGCTACTTCCCACAGAACTGGGGGCTCCTGCTTGGAGCACAGTCACGCCACAAATCTTGTCCTGATTTTAGTCTGTGTGCTGGTCGACTGCCTTCATCCCTGTCCCTCTGCCACTTTGGGGAAACTAAGGCAGTACCATACTCTCTGGCCTATCTGGTCCCAACAGACTACAGGAAAATCAGGCACATTACTCAGCAAAGAGAATGCCACAGTGCAGTCCCAGCAAACTCTGGAGGACGCCAAGAGGCTTGGGGGCTGTTCCCTGTATCCCCATCAATGAGGTTCTCCTGGAGGTAGCACTGGAGGGATGGTGGTGCAGACCTCAGGCAAATCACTTCATTTCTCTGAGTCTCAGTTTCCTCTTCTATAAAATGCGTATGAAAAGAATGTCTGCCTTATAAGATTGCTGTGAGAGTTGAATGACTTAACATGTGCCATGCTCAGTACAGCACCAGGATGTCAGCAGCCACCATGAGTGTGCTGTGACTATTATTGTGATTTTCAGCTGTGGGAGGCATCAGGACTACTCCCCACCATCCCCACCATCTTCTCTCTGGATCCAGGGATCATTGCACCTCCTTCTTCCCTTGAATCAGGCACAGATGGGTGGATTGTTGGGAAAACACCTAGAGGATTGTCCTGAATAGTCACCCAGACCAGCAACAGAATTTGCATGAACACGAAATAGACATCAACTGAGTGAAAGTCATGAGACTTGGGCATTGTTTGTTACTGCAGCAGAGCATAGCTTAACCTGACTAATATGCTCTTTCAGATCAACTACTCAATAAACTCATAATCAAGATCCACAATCAGGACTGGGTAGCTGCTACAATTGAGAATGAAACTTTGCTCTAAGCCTTTTGCTTAGACTAAAGGTGGGACAAGATGACCTTCTTTTCCCAAGAGGGAGGGTTGAGGACATGTTGAAAGAGAAATGTTGGTTCTAAGCCTCCCAAGATTCACGTCTGTAATCCCAGCACTTTGAAAGGCTGACTTGGGAGAATTTCTTGAGACTGGGGGTTTGAGGCCAGCCTGGGTAACACAGTGAGTCTCTGTCTCTACAAAAAATAATTCAAAAATTAGCCAGGCATGGTAGCATGTGCCTGTAGTCCTAGCTACTGGGGAGGCTAAGGCAGGAGGACTGCTTAAGCCCAGGAATTCAAGGCTGCAGTGAGCCAAGAATGTGCCACTGCACTCCAGCCTGGGTGACAGAATGAGGCACTGTCTCTAAAGAATAATAATAATAATAATAATAATAATAAGCCTCTCAATAGGGCCCTCCTAGGCACACAAAAGACGGCAGCTACAATAGGGGCTGATGCCCAAGACACAAACAGCTGCTGCCAACGGCCAGCCCGGCCAGTGAAGAGCATTGTCCAGGGAGGCTCTTGTGGGTATCCAAACCCAGTGGGCAGATTCTGGTGTCCAGCTCAGGGCAGAGATGGAATTCCTATTCCTGGGAGATGGAGGAACAGGGCTGTGTTGTCTGGGTCAAGGAGCTAGGGGAAGGCAGATGACAGAGGCAAGGGCTCATTGTGCAATTTACTCTCTACACTGAGAAACAGAGATGAGGCAGTTGCTCCTTCTGGGTTTGTAGCATCGTCACTGCGAGGAGTGCAGAGTCTTCATGATGCTATTGGCAGGCTCCAAGAGCAGCCTTGGCAAAAGGCCCTGTAACAAGGGGCCACACGACACGCTGAAACTCCCCTCATGAGCCAGCTCAGACGACGCTCCTGCCTCCTCTTCCCAACCATGATCTCCAGATGAGCACTGAAGGGAAGAAAGGACATCATTGATTACTAATCAGAAGATGAGAGACTGTACCAGCCTTTATCGTGATCTCATCTCTGTTTATTTTTATTTTTATTTTTTTTTGAGATGGAGTTTCGCTCTTGTTGCCCAGGCTAGAGTTCAGTGGCGCCATCTTGGCTCACCGCAACCTCTGCCTCCTTGTTCAAGTGATTCTCCTGCCTAAGCCTCCCGAGTAGCTGGGATTACAGGCATGTACCACAATGCCCGGCTAATTTTATATTTTTAGTAGAGACGGGGGTTTCTCCATGTTGGTCAGGCTGGTCTTGAACTCCCAACCTCAGGTGATCTGCCTGCCTTGGTCTCCCAAGGTGCTGGAATCACAGGTGTGAGGCACCTCACCCAGCCCATATATATTTTTTTAAAAGATAGAGTCTTGCTCTGTTGTTTAGGCTGGAGTGCAGTGGCGCAATCACAGCTCACTGCAGCTTCCAACTCCTGGGCTCAAGCGATCCTCCGGCCTCAGCTTCCTGAATAGCTGGGACCCACAGGGGCACGGCACCACGCGTGCCACCCAGCAGTGGAAGCGCCCAGCACGAGCAGGTGTCAGTATTTCTTTCAATCTCATGACACCCAGTAGCACACTCCACCTTCTCCATTCTACAGATGAGGATGCCAAGACCCAGGGATGCCAAGTCTCTCAACCAAAGTCACATGGGCCATTTTGGAGACTGGAGTGGGGGCTTCCAGATCCAGCCTACTCTCCTTCCAGCAGACAGCTCGTGGGGGTCCAGGCAGATACAGGGCAGCATCCAGTCAGCCTGACACCAGGCTGGACTGCTGGGGAATTCCTATCTCAGTGGCCCAGGGGCTTGGCGGCAGGTTCAGAGAAATGACCACGGCCTCGAAGGGGGTCTCACACAATAGTGTAGGCATGAGTCTGAAACCCCAGTAGCATCCCCAGGGCTCTAAGTGAGACTTAGTCCTGGGGAGGCAAAGGAAAACCAGGAAGACAGAGTTGAGCAGACCCAGCCCAGGCTCCTGAAATCCTCTCTGCAGGGAAATCCTTGGCTCAGGTGCGTGGCAAATCTTCCATGCCTGGCCCTCCTCCCAGGCCTGCCAGCCGAAGGCAGGACCCGTCTCCCCGGGTACCTTGGCATTAAAATATTGTCCACATATGGTGGGAAATTAAAGTCCTCTTTCCTTTTCTTGCTGTTTTAATGACTTAATATGCAACAAAAGGAGAGCTTTTCTCCTGGGAGTTTCCAGCAGATGTTGCTGTTTATCCTGGCTGTGCTTCCCCGTCCAGCTGCCCATCCCAAATCATGCGGATGTTCGAACGGGATGCTCCACATCAGAACACAATTGAGATGCAGCCCAGCCATGCAACAGGGACCATTTGATCCAATCTGGGCCCTTTTGGATGGGGGAGTTCAAGTTTCCATTAAGTATTGCTGATTTTCTCCCAGATTGAAATAATAATGTAATCAACACGGGTGCCAGCTCATGACAGCCCTCTCAGGGACACTTCATCTGGCTGGAGAAAGCTGAAACAGCCCTTCTGGCTTCCACCCTGGTCCCACCTGCAGCCTGTATCCCAGCCTCATCTCTGTTCATATATATATATATATATATATATATATATTTTTTTTTTTTTTTCTTTCTTTTTTTTTTTTTTTTTTGAGATGGAATCTTGCTCTGCTACCCAGGCTAGAGTGCAGTGGCACAATCTCGGCTCACCACAACCTCCATCTCCCGGGTTCATGCTGATTCTTTCGCCTCAGCTTCCGGAGTAGCTGGGATTACAGGTGCCCCCCACCACGCCCGGCTACTTTCTGTATTTTTTTTAGTAGAGACGAGGTTTTGCTATGTTGGCCAGGCCGGTGTTGAACTCTTGACCTCAGGTGATCCACCCAATCTTGCCTCCCAAAGTGCTGGGATTACAGGCATGAGCCACCGTGCCTGGCCTCATATTTTTTTTAAGAGACAGGGTCTTGCTCTGTTGCTGAGGCTGGAGTGCAGTGGCACAATCAGAGCTCACTGCAGCTTCCAACTTCTGGGCTCAAGCAATCATCCCGCCTCGGCTTCCCAAGTAGCTGGGACCACAGGGGCACAGCACCATGCATGGCTAATTTTTAATTTTTTTGTAGAGATGAGGTGGATGACATCTTGCTATGTTGCCCTGGCTGGGTCTTGAACTCCAGGCCTCAAGTGATCCTCCCACCTCTGCCTCCCAAAGCACTGGGATTACAGGCTTGAGCCGCTGCAGCTGGCCCCTCTTTGTATGTTGATATTCTCTGTGACTTCCCTCTACGTTCTTCTCATGTTGCATTAGCAAGTATTTTGCTGCAGAGAGGAAATCTCATCCTATAGCAGCTCAGGGTGAGGGCTCCGAGATGAGCTCACCCAGGTTTCAAATTCCCAGCGACGTTGCATGAATTCCCACATCAATCATGTGTTTCGGATGCGTTGACATCTGGAGGCCTTGCGGACCCTGGAGAGACCACGCCTCCCAGGGCTCCTCAATTCCTAGGGATAGTAAAGGACTGGTCTCTAAGCGTGCCTTTCACATGCAAACCAACCACTCCAGAGCACCCGCCCCACCCCTCCGCTCTGGGACTCTCACACTCTGGGCCACTATTCCTCTGCCCTAATCATTCCAAGGCCCCGCACCAGACAATGATGGGCAGCCCCTAGACTCCAGAGCCCTAGGTTCTGAAATTTTCAGAATAACCAATCCTAAGCCATCTTACTCTGCCTTGCCTGTTCCCTCCAGATGAGGTCACAATAAAGGCTCTTGCTCAACACCCTGGGTGCGATGGCTCATGCCTATAATCCCAGAACTTTGGGAGGCTGAGGCAGGAGGATCACTTGAACCCAGGAGTTCAAGACCAGCCTGGGCAACATAGTGAGACCCCATCTCTACAAAGAATGTGAAAAAATTAGCCAGGCATGGTGGTGCATGCCTGTAGTCCCAGCTACTTGGGAGGCTGAGGCAGGAGGAACACTTGAACCCAGCTGCAGTGAGCTGTGCAGTTCAAGCTGCAGTGAGCTGTGATCACACCACTGCACTCCAGCCTGGGCAACAGAGCAAGATCCTATCTCAAAATAAAATAAAACAAAATAAAGGCTCTTGTTCATGCTTTTCCCCATCTTTCTGCCTCCTGCCCAACCCCAGTTCTTCCCTACATGGCCCTGTGTGGCGTGGCAGGCTGCCTTCCTCTTGGGATCTGTGAGTAACAAACTATTTATACAATGGCAATCTTCTCCTGATTGGTTGGCCTCATCATACTTGAATAATAATAAAACCTATATTTTTAAACAGTTCCTTACCCATCTGGACCTTAATTTCCTCATCTTTACAATGGTAATAAAAAGAGTATTTGCCTCCTAGGGTTGTAACTGGGATCAAATGAGTTAATACCTATAAGTGCAAAGCACACGGTCCCGCACATAGTAAGTGCTTATTAAATGTTAGTGATGTTAATTACAACTGATATAGGCACTGTGGAATTACAGTAGAAAGGGCAGGATTCTAAGGTCAGAGGTTCAGTTCCTGACTCCAACACTCCCTAGCAAGGTGACTGGGTTATTGAACTTTTTTTAAAATTTTAATTGAGACAAGGTCTCACTGTCGACCAGGCTGGAGTGTAGCAGCACCATCTCAGCTCACTAGAACCTCCGCCTCCTGGGTTCAAATGATTCTCCTGCCTCAGCCTGGGTAGCTGGGCTTACAGTAGCTGGGGTTACAGGTGCCCGCCACCACACCCAGCTAATTTTTGTGTAGAGACGGGGTTTCGCCATGTTGGCCGGGCTGGTCTCGAACTCCTGACCTCAGGTGATCCGCTTACCTTGGCCTCCCAAAGTGCTGGGATTACAGGTGTGAGCCACTGCGCCCAGCCACGAGTTACTGAATTTTTTGTAGCCTCAATTCTTATAGGGAAAATGGAGGTTAAAAATATCCACTACGTGATATTGCTTAGAGGACTAAGTCATGTAAAGGATGCTGAATGCTAGCACTGAGACCTGTTCTTAGAGTGAATGAGGCACTGGGAACAGGGTCTCTTTTTTGGCAAAAACTGAAGAAGAAGTTTCAAGTCCAAAATATTGATTGAGGAATTATTTGGATCTCAGCTCACAAGGAGAAGAGTTGATCTTTCTTTTATCACTGGGCCTGATTTTTGCCACTTGGGATTTTTGAAGCCAGATGGCTAAGGTGTGTGATCATTCTCACTTCACAACACTCTATGGTTATAAAAAGCTCTCACCTTCTGGAAGAGTGACTCAGGCTGCTTGCTTCAAAAGCACTGGGGCCTGGGTTCAAATGCTGCCTTCATCACTCTTCAGAGGGTGCTGCCCTGGGGAAAATGACTTTATCTCACCATGCCTCTGTTTGTTCTTCTATAAAATGGGCTCTTGGCCGGGCATGGTGGCTCATGCCTGTAATCCCAGCACTTTGGGAGGCCAAGGCAAGTGATAACCTGAGATCAGGAGTTCAAGACCAGCCTGGCCAACAAGGCAAAACCCCGTCTCTACTAAAAATAAAAAAATTAGCTGAGCATGGTGGTGGCTGCCTGTAATCCCAGCTACTTGGGAGGCTGAGGCAGGAGAATTGCTTGAACCCGGGAGGCGGAGGTTGCAGTGAGCTGAGATCATGCCACTGCACTCCAGCCTGGGTGACAGAGTGAGACTCTGTCTCAATAAATAATAAAATAAAATAAAATGAAATAAAATGGGCTCTGGTGAGGATCATATAACATGGTCCATCCATTGTTATAAAGGCCTCAGTGCAGGACTGGTCTGTTACAGTCCCTTGCAAACACATGTCATCATATTTCTCTGGCTTTCTTGCTGTTCTGCAGAAACTCTAAGCTCAGAGAGCTGCATGGGGCCAACCTGGAGCTCAGCCTCCTGACCTAAGAGGGAAAATGAAGGAACTGGGGGGTATTTAGCCTGGACAAAAAAAAAAAAAAAAAGGCTTCTGGGGCAGATGTTCTTGCCCTCCCACCCCAACCCACAAATATTTATTGAGCACCTACTATGCACTGAGCACTGTTCTGGGTGCTGCAGATGCAGCAGGGAATAGGATGAGCCCAGTTTCTGCTCACAGGGAGGAGATTTTCTACGGGGGAAGACATACAATAAAGAAACAAGTGAAGGCCAGGTGCAGTAGTTCATGCCTGTAATCCCAGCACTCTGGGAGGCCAATACAGGAGGATTGCTTGAGGCCAGGAGTTCATGACCAGCCTGAGCAATAGAGCAAGACCCTGTCTCTACCAAAAGAAAAAAAAAAAAAATTAGCTGGGCGTGGTGGCAGGTGCCTGTAGTCCCAGCTACTTAGGAGGCTGAGATGGGAGGTTCATTGGAGCCCAGGAGTTGGAGGCTGCAGTGAGTCAAGGTCGCACCACTGCTCTACAGCCTGTGCACTGCATTACAAGACCCTGTGAAAGAAAGAAAGAAAGAAAGAAAGAAAGAAAGAAAGAAAGAAGAAAGAAAGAAAGAAAGAAAGAAAGAAAGAAGAAAGAAAGAAAAGAAGGAAATAGACAAAAGTATCATAATGATGATGAACTATGGAGAAAAGAAAACTGGATTCTGATAGAAACGTAGAAACGTGGCCCAGTAGAGGGACTTTTGGATGGTGAGATAAGAAAAGAGGATGGCCGGGGGCTGAGGCTGGGACGTCAGCTAGGATCAGGAGTCTGCATTTTATCCTAAGCTTGTCCTAGGAGCACTGCAGGATCACGCAGGCCAGAGCAGGGAGGCCAGAAGGTCCCAGGAGAGTGGGGAGAAGCCCCTCAGAG
This sequence comes from Homo sapiens, assembly GCF_000001405.40. Taxonomy (NCBI): domain Eukaryota; kingdom Metazoa; phylum Chordata; class Mammalia; order Primates; family Hominidae; genus Homo; species Homo sapiens. The sequence continues at coordinate 98,665,122 of NC_000007.14, read as the reverse complement.
CTGTTTTAATAGAAAGATCGCCTCTTCTCTGTGTTCTCTGCAGGCAGCGGGGGCTTTGAATTAAACATGAGCAGTAATTTATTTATCAAGTCTTTGAAAAAGTCTCTCTCTGACTGTGATTCAGCATACTGCTCCAGTTAACTCTTCCTGGCGTTTGACCAAGGGTCTTGGAGGATCAAATGCCAAGTCCTAAGGTAGAGAGCATGTGCTGGGGGCAGGGAGAAGGAGATGGTGCAGACTCACCTGGGCAGGAGGTGAGACAGGGAGGCAGCAGGTAGGGGATCTGCCCTACTTCCTGCCCACTTGCCCCACCAGTCTCTACCTTCCCTGGGCTTCTGGAGCCTGGATCTGTGGGCTGCTTCACCCCACCCCATAAGCGACTGACTTATTGGTCACAGTTCTGTACCCCTCTGTGGTAGAACACATATACACACTCTTGCTACAGCCTGGTAGCAGGTGGAAGGGACTTCACCACCCACTGACTTTGAGCTTGGCCATGTGGCTTGCTATGACCCATGGGGTATGAATGGACATGAGGCATCAGAGGCCTTGAAATGTGCTTGTGCAGCTGGGTCTGCCATTGGTGTGAGGAGGATGCTCCCACCCTGGCCAGAGAATCAGATATGAGCTATGTGAAGCCAAGCTGCCCCCATGACCCATGCACCCCTGAGTCTGAGAATAAATGGTTGTTGTTTTAAGCCACTAAATATTGGGGTTGTTTGTGAGCAGCGCCATCATGGCAATAGCTAACTAGTAGACCCGGGCTCCATTGGAAGGCACTGGCGGATCCGAGGGCTGGAGGAGAGAGGTTGGGATATTCCTGCCCCATTGTTATAGGACCACCAGGTTTGTATGCCCACCATGCAGTAACAGGCTCATTATGCTGAGACAACAGGGTTTGCAGCAGAGAGAGAGTTTAATGATTGCAGGGCGCCAAGCAAGGAGATGGGAGGAGACCCTCAAATCCATCTCCCTGGGCTGGGGTTTTTAAGGGAATCATAAAGGGTGAGAGGCTGGAGAATTGGGGTTGTAGATTGATTGGGGCGAGGGAGATGAAGGCATCAGGATATGGAAACTGCATTCCTTGGTGGGTCAGCTTCTTGTAGGAACCTTTGGACCAACTGATGTCAGTGGGATCTTTCAGACCAGCTTGTGTTGGCGGGGTCCCTGAGACCAGTGAAGTCAATAGTTTCATCAGTATGCAGGACCTGAAGGAATATCTCAAAGGCAAAACTTAACATTTCATAAGGTTCAAGTTGTTATCTACAGAGTAACTAAGGAGAACTATAATCTTTTAACAAGATCTACATGATTCTAGAACAATAGGCATGAAACTAACAAAGTGAGTCAGAGAGCAGGCCGACCTCATGATGAATGCTGAATGTGATGCGAACTTGGTAAATTTTTACTTTGCCCTCTCTTGTCTTCCCTGATTAATTTCATAAAGTTGACAGGCGCGGTTTCACCATTGCCAATGCCCAACCCATCACCACCACCATTCTGTTTTGCTGTGGTTCTAGAAGCTACAGTTGCTGCTGGGCTGCCCCAAACACTCCCTGGGCTCTGCTAACCACCTTCCCTGTCCTTCTCCATTCGAGCCTAGAGCTTCCCAATCCTGCTTATGTCTGGATAGATCACTACCCCTGGGTAGGAAGCAGGTTCATCGCATGCTGCTTACCAACTTGTCTGAGTTTGGTGAGATAGGTCACCCACATACAAGAAGTGACATGAAGTGGGTTTATTCCTTGCAGATAGACAGCAAGGGATGACAGAAGCCTAGGATTCATAGACAGCCTGTACTCCAGGGCTCAGGAAAGTTCTCTGGGGCAGATGGAGTCTCAAATGCATGTGCTCCACTTGCACTGAAGTTGAGGGACACTGAAAATCAGCCCATCTAGGGTTTTATGCCCTGGAGAAACATGGCGCACTGGACAAAAGCATTGAAGAAACTGACACAGGAACAGAAAACCAAACACCGCATGTTCTCACTCATAAGTAGGAGGTGAACAATGAGAACACATGGACACAGGGAGGGGAACATCACACACTGGGGCCTGTTGGGGGGTGGGGGGCTAGGGGAGGGATAACATTAGGAGAAATACCTAATGTAGATGATGGGTTGATGCGTGCAGCAAACCACCATGGCACGTGTATACCTATGTAACAAACCTACGCATTCTGCACATGTATCCCGGTACTTAAAGTATAATAATAATATAAAAAAAGCATTGAAGGACAACCTCTTTCTAGGGGCTGGGGGTTGGAACAGAGGCTGGGCTGTGCTAGCTGGTTCCTCCTTGTTTCAGCTGTCTTTCCTGCATTCTGAGTGGGAAAGAGGTCGGGGGGAGAACTGAGACCATCCAAGCCCACCCAGAGAACTGTCCCATACTGATTGATTTCTCTATCTGTCCCTCACCTCTGCAAATAACCCCCGCCCCTCCTTAAACAGTCTCTGCAAAAATCCCAGCCTCTAGTGAAACCATCACCCGAATAGTGAACATAGTACCCAATAGTTAGTTTTTCAACCCTTGTCCCCCTGCCTCCCTCGCCCCTTCTGGAGTGAGGGTGCACCTGTTTCCTGGGGGACTGTGAGTCACCCATGTGGTCTGCTGCTCCTCACCTCCGCTCCCAAGCTGCCACCCCACCTGAGGAGCAGTGCAGGGGCCAGGGCAGAAAGGGGCTATGCCAGATGTCCTCCCAGACTATGCTGTCCCAGGCCACCCAGAGAGCTCAGGCTGTAGCCAGGGCCTTGGGGGAGCAGTGTGTGACATTGTCACCCAGTGGTAGCCTTCTCTCCCCCAAAGGAGCCCAAGCGTCAAGCCAAGAGTGGCACCATCTTGAGGGTGAGAAGGACAAGCATGAAGTTGTCCCGTGCATGTGAGAGGCTCAGGGGATGCTTCACTGGTGGGAGCCCTAGGGGACACTTGTGTTTTCGTCCCTGGAGCTGTCCTCACAGGCTGCAGGACTCACGGGCAGCACTGGCCTGGGAGCCACAGATCAGCTGGGAGACCTCGGGCACATTGCTCTCCCTTGGGAGTCTCAAGTCCCTCCTCTGTGGAAAAAGCTGAAGTGAAGGAGTGTTATCGGGCAGTACTCTTAAGTTGTAAGGAACTGAAACCTCACACATAACATCCTTAAATAAAAAGGATCTTTATTAGCTCACAAAACTGAAAATTCCTGAATGGGTGGGCTTCAAAGTCAGGTTCAATTCAGCTGTTTGACAACACCAAGGCCCTGGTGTCTTTGGTCCCTCCACGCTACCTCACCAGAGTCAGCTTCACTGAAGGCTGGTTTCCCTCATGGTCACAAAAGGGCTGCCATTGCACTGGGGCTTCACTTCCCCCAAGGCCTCGCAGAACCTCCTGTTGTGCCATCCTGGCTGGAGAAGGTCACCATCCCCATGGCCGGACCAGTAGAATTTAATGAATTGAGTCAGATCAAAGTCAAACAGGGTCCACCTCAGAGACAGGGGAAGAGGGAGTCCTGGAGCAGAAATCTGATTTTTTTTGTTGTTGTTTGTTTGTTGTTTGTTTTTGAGATGGAGTTTCACTCTTGTTGCCCAGGCTGGAGTGCAATGGCACGATCTCAGCTCACTGCAACCTCTGCCTCCCGGGTTCAAGTGATTCTCCTGTCTCAGCCTCCCAAGTGGCTGGGATTATAGGCGCCCACCACCACGCCCAGCTAATTTTTTGTATTTTTGGTAGAGACGGGGTTTCATCATATTTGTCAGGCTGGTCTCGAACTCCTGACCTCAGGTGATCCACCTGTCTTGGCCTCCCAAAGTGCTGGGATTACAGGTGTGAGCCACTCTGCCTGGCCAGAAATCTGGGTATTTTCAGTTGGGAGGCTGGGCACACAGGCTGGGTAGCACCCCTAACTATGTCTACTGTGTAATCTCAAAAGTCCCTGACAGCTTGAACGCTGTTGCCAACATTGTTGAAAGTGCCAACAAAAGAATCATGAAATCTATATTATAAATTTGTTAGGAGACTTTCTTTTTAAAATGAAATTACCTTTTTTTTTTTTTTTTTTGAGACGGGGTCTCACTCTGTCTCCTGCTTTTTGACTCTGAATGTGAGCCTGCTTTCTGACTCTGGGGTCAAGTGCTCCAGAAAGCATGGGCCTCTGCCGTGCCAGTTGAGCAAGTTCTGGATTTACTTAGCACTGGCATCCACGGAGACTGAGACCCGTATCACTCACCCCTACAAATGAGGGGGTTGGGCTTCCAAGAAGCCTGGGGGTCAGTGGAGGCTGAGGGCCGGCAGTCGTCTGTCATTGAGCAAATGTGCTCGCTCTCCAAGGCGCACAAAAGCCAATACCATGGCCACAGCTTTAGAGAAAAGCAAGGGCTTTACTGTAAGACAGCCAGGAGACAGGAGGCAGACTCAGATCTGTCTCTCTAATTTGGAGTCTGGGGCAAATTCTAAGGGATCAAAGAGCAAGAGAAAGGATTTAGGAATGTTGGCATGGCAGGATCTGGTTGGAAGGCTTCAAAATGGACAATTTATAGTCAGGTATGTTGAAGTGGATTTTAGCCCCAGATCTTCTGGGCCAACAGACCCTCGCTTGTGGACGAATTTCAGTATTTAGGTTTTTTGTCATGTCCCAGTCTTCTTGGTTCCAAGGGGAGAAATTATTGATTCCCAGTGTTGTTAGAGGTCAAAGCTTTTTCTTTTGTTCCTTCTTTCCCCCACCACCCTTTTTTGTTGTTGTTGTTGTTGTTTTTTTAAGACAGTGTCTCACTCTGTTGCCCAGGCTGGAGTGCAATGGTATGATCACAGCTCACTGCAGCCTCAACCTCCTGGGCTCCAGTGATCCTCCTACCTTAGCCTCCCAAGGAATGGGGACAACAAAGCATGTGCCACTATGCCCAACTAATTTTTAAAATTTCTGAGTAGATGGGATCTCACTATGTTGCCCAGGCTGGTCTCAAACTCCTAGACTCAAGCAATCCTTTTGCCTTGAAATCCTCTTGCCTCTGAAAGTGTTGGGATTACAAGCATGAACCACCATACCCAGCCTCAAAGCTTTTTCTACCATTCATGCCTTGGCTACATGACTTACAGCTGTTATAGCTACAAGATAAAACTTGACATTTTGCTATCAACAGAGTAGGCCCAGCTTGGGCAGGTCCCGTGGCTCCACCTGCAACTGGAGAAGGTGGTCTTCCTGCAAGTCCTTGTTTCTTTGCTGATTGTCTCTCTCTGGCTGAAATATGAGCCCTGGGAGGCTGAGGGACTCATCTGTATTAACTGTCACCTGGAACGGCAGCAGGCACAGAGCATAAGCCCCAGAAATACTGAGCCCTAGAAATACTGGTGAAAGAGCAGGCCTTGCTCAGCCAGTGGCGGCTTCTTGGTTCCTCTTCTTTCTTTCTTTTCTTTTTTCCTTTTTTTTTTTTTTTTTTGAGATGGAATTTTGATCTTGTTGCCCAGGCTAGAGTACAGTAGTGCAATCTCGGCTCACTGCAACCTCCGCCTCCCAGGTTCAAGCGATTCTCCTGCCTCAGCCTCTCGAATAGCTGGGATTACAGGCATGCGCCACGACACCTGGCCAATTTTTCGTATTTTTATTAGAGACGGGGTTTCTCCGTATTGGTCAGGCTGGTCTCGAGCTCCTGACCTCAGGTGATCCGCCCGCCTCAACCTCCCAACATGCTGGGATTACAGGTGTGAGCCACTGTGCCCAGCCTTGGTTCCTCTTTCTATGTATGTGCAGCTCTAAGAGAAAGGGGGGTGTGTGTGCCAATGGAGGGTCCCAGCCAAAGCTGCCCCTGCCCAGGCATGGGACAATGCATTCCCAGTGCCTCCCAGGGACATGCCAAGCCCTCCCATCCGGTTACCTGGCATCTCCGTGCTGTGACCTCAGAGAAGTCACGGTTACCCTCACTCCCAAACACTTCCCACCTGGAATCACATCGATCAGGCGGGCCAGATGGTTCCCAGAAATAGCAAGACACGGCTGGACAATTTGATTAACTTGCCTAATGAACTCTGAATTCACTCCATTTTTTTTCCATGACAACTGTATTTTCTCTCTAAAATTGTTATTGATTCTTCATATGTGGAGACGTAGGTGGGGCAGGAAAGCACATTTTGCACACGGAGGACAAGAAACCAAGATGTGGAGGTGGAGAGAGGAGGAGGTGGGCGAGGGCAGGACTCAATGTCTATCTTGAGCCCATGGTGGTCTTACGGCCCCTTCGGAAGACTGTCTTACACCTGGCCATTAGTCATCAGTGGAGGGGGGCCAGCTAAGGGGCGGGTATGGTTGCCAGATTCTGCAAATAAAAATACAAGATACCCAGTTAAATCTGAATCCAGGGCCAGGCGTAGTGACTCATGCCTGTATTCCCAGCACTTTGGAAGGCTGCGGCTGGAGAATCGCTTGAGCCCAGGAGTTCGAAACCAGCTTGCCCAATATAGTGAGACCCCCATTTCCACTTAAAAAAACGAATTAGCCAGGTGTGGTGGTGCGCAACTGTAGTTCCAGCTACTGGGAAGGCTGAGGCGGGAGGAGCCCAGGAGCTCCAGACAGCAGTAAGCTGTGAACGTGCCACTGCACTCCAGCCTGGGCAACAGAATGAGACCTAGTTTCGAAAAGATTTTTAAAAATTTGAATTTGGATAAACAAATAGTTTACAGTATAAGTCTATCCTATGTAATATTTGGAATATACTTCTACTAAAAAATAATTTGCTGTGTATCTGAAATTCAGATATTTCTGGGCATCCTGTATTTTATCTGTCAACCCTAAGAGTGGTAAGGTGTTACGTCCTCGGGTGCTCAAAGCTGGGCTGCAGCCCACAGACACCTACTCCCAGAAAGCTGGTCCAAGCAGGGACTCAGATGCTACAGGACCCGCCAATGCTCTTCTAACTGCTGTTCCTTCTTTCTGTCCACCCCGTCCTTCAATGCATAGGTCGGGACTCTTCCTCCCTGATGGGTTTCACGAATCAAGTTCCCACCTGGGTCGCGTCTCTGAGCCAGGAGTCGAGGGACATAAACGTTGCTATTTACTGCAAGAGCTTATCCTGAGCTTGGCCTGCAGGCAGCAGCGCATGTGCCGATTAAACCCGCACACCTCCGTGATGCTTCCCCGCCCATTTATCCAGGAAGGAAACAAGGCTCCAAGCGGGAAGGCGCTTGCTGGAAAGGACTCAAGACTCAAACCCAGTCCCCTGTCCCCGGCCATAGAGGTCACATCTAGAGATTTCCCCAGGAAAGTCACCAGTGTCCCGGCTCTGATGCGTCAGGGTCGGGGCGAGGACAGAGGGGACGAGGCAGTGTGGGGTCAAGGCCCCAACACTCTGGCTAAAAGTGGCCTCTAGGGTGGGCTGGGTAACCGGAGAGGGACTCTTAAGTAGCCGTCTGTGTTCATTTGCTAGGGCGGCTGGGACAGAGTACTGCAAGTCAGATGGCTTAAAACACCACGAATGTGTCCTCTCACAGTGCTGGAGGCCAGAAGTCTGATATTGTGATGTCAGTGGGGCCGCGCTCCCTCTGAAGGCCCCAGGGGAGGCCCCTTCCTTGCCTCTTCCAGCTTCTGGTGGCCCCAGGCCATCCCTGGCTTGCAGATACGTGGCTCCCATCTCTGCCTCGGTCTTCACATGGGGCCTCCCGTCTATGTCTCTCTGTGTGTCCCGTCCTCTTTTTACAGGGACACCAGTCATTGGATAAGGGCTAATGATCCTAATCCAGTGTGAGCTCATCTTAATTAATTACATCTGCAAATGCCCCATCTCCAGGTAAGGGCTCATGCTGCAGCTCCAGGTGGACGTGAATTTGAAGGACACTATTCCACACACTGCACTGTCTATCTATCTATCTATCTATCTATCTATCTATCTATCTATCTATCTATTGTCTATCATCTATCCATCCATCCACCTATCTATTCATCATCTGCCTATCTATCCGTCCACTCATCTATCTATTCATCATCTATCTATCCATCCATCGACCTATCTATCCATCTTCTATCTGTCCGTCCGTCTATCTGTCCATCCGTCTATCTATCCATCATCTATCTATCTGTCCATCTATCTATTCATCTATCTATCCATCTATCTATTCGTCTATCCATCCATCCATCTATCAATCCATTATCTATCTACCTACCTATCCGTGTGTCTGTCTATCTATCTATCTATCTATCTATCTATCTATCTATCTATCTATCTGATATGGTTTTGGATTTGTGTCCCTTCCCAAATATCATCTTGAATTGTAGTCCCCAGTGTCAGGGGAGGGGACTGGTGAGAGGTGATTGGATCATGGAGGTGGATTTCTCTCCTGCTATTCTCTTTCTTTTTGAAACAGAGTCTTGCTCTGTCGCCCGGGTTGGAGTGCAGTGGCGCCATCTCAGCTCACCGCAACCACTGCCTCCTGGATTCAAGCGATTCTCTTGCCTCACCCTCCCAAGTAGCTGGGATTACAGGTTCCCGCCACCACACTCAGCTAATTTTTGTATTTTTAGTAGAGACAGGGTTTCACCATGTGGGCCAGGCTGATGTTGAACTCCTGACCTCAAGTGATCCACCTGCCTCAGCCTCCCAGAGTGCTGGGATACAGGTGTGAGCCGCCTTGCCCATCCGCTGTTCTCATCATAGTGAGTTCTCAGGAGATCTGGTTGTTGAAAAGTGTGTAGCACCTCCCCCTTCTCTCTCTTCCTCCTGCTCTGGCCATGTAAGACGTGCCTGCTTCCCCTTCTACCATGACTGTAAGTTTCCTGAGATCTCCCCAGCCATGCTTCCTGTACAGCCTGCAGAACTGTGAGCCCTCTTTGCTTTATAAATTACCTAGTATCAGGTAGTTCTTTATAGCAATGTGAGAATGGACTTTATAGCTGTGTGAGATACACAATCGGGTGCTGGCTGGTGGCATCAGATCTGCCTGCTTGCTGAAATGCTCCTGAAGCTTGTTTTCCAGGACTCTATTTTGCACTGACCCCCTGTCACCTGCCACACTTGCATGGTTCCTGCTCCTCTCCTGACCCCTAACCCAGGAGTGTCCAGGCCTGGCACCCTGCCCTCTGCTCCCTGGGTGACTTTATGGCTTAAATTCAACTTCCATGCCTGGGCCCTGACATGTTCTTGTCCCCATATCTGACCGCTCTCCCAACTCCAGGCTGATGTGCACACCTGTGCACACCTCCACCTGGTGTTCACAGACACCTACAGCTCCAACGTCTAAACACAACAATATGTCCCTCAGACTCCCTTTCCCTGGTGCTCCAACTCAGCAAATGGCATTGCCGTCCCCCGGGCTCTGGCCCAAACCCTGAGTCATTCTCATACCTCTCCTCCTCTTGCACCCACGGCCAATCTGCCGGGAACCCCTGTCAGTTCCACTTTCAGAACAAACCCAGAATCCAACCCCTTCTCACCACCTCCACTGCCAGCACCCTGGACTCAGCCCCCACTGTTTCCCTCCTGAATTACTAGAATAGGCTCCTAGGCCTCCTTGCTTTCTTTCAGGGCCTCTACACTCTCTTCTCACAGCAGCCAGGATGCTGCTGTTACAACCTGAGTCAGATGATCATTGTCTTGACCAATCCTCCAGAGGCTCTCCACAAGCCTGGAGTGAAATCTGAGTCCTGACCCAGGACATCCAGGCCTCAGAAGCTGCAGCTCCAAGACCTGTCTTGTCTCATGTCTCACCATGTTACCTTGGATTATCCTGCCTCATGGACCTTTCCTACCCTGAGTTACTCTGAGAATGTCCCACCCCCGGGTCCTGGCACTTGTGATTCTTTCTACCTATATATATTGTATTAGTTCCGTTTCTCTGATACAGTCACCATGTGACTAATACAATCATCATGTGACTTTCTACACATTTTAGTATCTATGTTACTAAGATGATAGATCGATAGGTAGGTAGTGTGTTAGTCCATTCTCACACTGCTATACAGAACTATCTGAGAGTGGGTAATTTATAAAGAAATGAGGTTTAATTGGCTCATGGTTCTGCAGGCTGTACAGGAAGTATGGCTGAGGAGGCCTCAGGAAACTTTGAATCATGGCAGAAGGGGAAGCAGGCACGTCTTACATGGCCAGAGCAGGAGGAAGAGAGAGAAGGGGGAGGTGCTATACACTTTTAAACAACCAGATCTCCTGAGAACTCACTATGATGAGAACAGCAAGGGAGAAATCCACCCCCATGATCCAATCACCTCCCACCAGTCCCCTCCCAGACACTGGGGATTACAATTCAACATGAGATTTGGGCGGGGACACAAATCCAAACTGTATCAGATAGATAGATAGATAGATACATACATACATAGATACATAGATAGATAGATGATAGGTAGATAGATGACAGATAAACAGACAGATGATAGATAGTTGACTGAATGATTGATAGATTAATAGATGATAGATAGGTGACAGATGATAGAGATAGATAGATGATAGATAGATAATAGATGATAGATTGGTGATAGATAAATAGATAGATGATAAGTAATAGATAGGTGACAGACAGATGACAGATGATAGATAGATAGATATATGATAGATAGGTGATAGATAGATGATAGATAGAAGATAGATAGATGATAGATAGATCATAGATAGATAGATCATAGATAGATCATAGATAGATGATAGATAGGTGATAGATAGATGATGGATAGATCAATAGATGATAAATGATAGATAGGTGATAGATGATAGATGATAAACAGGTGATAGGTGATAAATGGATAGATGATAGATGATAGACAGATAGATGATAGATAGGTGATAATGATAGATAGATGATAGATAGAAGATAGATACATAGATGATAGATAGATAACTATATACATATTATTAAGTTGCAGAGTCAAACCCATCCTGGTATCAACCTGCTTTTAGTACTTCCAGATTCGTAAGTCAAGAAATCCTCCTTCCTGCTTGTACCAGTTGGCAGTGGGTTTTCTGGCATTTGTACCTGGTATGTGTAGCAGGTGGGTTGGGTTTGGTGGGAGTTGGTGGTGGGAGTGGGGAATTGTTTGCCTCAATCTGTTCCCCTCGTATGGCTGCAGCTGCTCCAGGCCCTACACCAGTACCCACAAAGTCCAGAAGAGGAGTGAGATGATTTTTGTTCCCACACACTGAGTGAGAGCTCCAAGGCTGATTTTGACCGGATGTTCTCAATCCAGGGTAAAGTCCTATGCCTTCCCAAGGTCATACACTTCAAACTTCCTGCATCTGGTGATTGAACCAGGCTAGAGAGGTCTGGCTATGGTGCACTCTGACAGGCCATCCTCTCTCCAGGGTCCCTCCAGGTCAGCCGAAGCTTTGTTGGGCCTGTGGTTACAGCTCCTCTTTTCCTTCAGCTCAGCCCTGCTTTCTCCTCCTCCTTTTCACAGCTGTTGCTTCCTAATGAGTCCCTTGTTCCCCAGACTCCATATTAGCACCTGCATCCAGAGAACCCACCTGCTGCATGTGCTTTTTTCTTCCCGCTTTCTTGAGGTATAATTGACAAAACTTGCATATATTCAAGGAGTACAACTTGACATTTTGATATACGTATGTATTGTGGGATGATCACCAGCATCAAGCTAATTAACAAAGCCATCGACACTCCCTGTTACTGCCTTTTTTTTTTCCTTTTTGTGGTTGGAACACTTGAGATCTACATCTTAGTGAATTTCAGGCATACAATACAGAGTATTAACTAATGTTACCATGCTGTACATTAGCTCTCTGGAGCTTTTTAAAATTTCTGAGACAGGATCTTGTTCTGTCACCCAGGCTGGAGTGCAATGGTGCAATCATAGTTCACTGCAGCCTCAAACCCCCAGGCTCAAACAATCCTCCTGCCTCAGCCTCCCAAGTAGCTGGGACCACAGGTATGCGCCACCATGCCTGGCTAATTTGTAAATTATTTGTAGAGATGGGGGTCTCCCTATGTTGCACAGACTGAGCTCTCTGGAACTTGTTTGTCTTGCAGTATTGAAAACTTCTACCCTTTGACCACATTCTCCCCATTTATTTCTCTTCCTACCCCCTAGCAACCACCATTCTACTCTCTGTTTGAATGAGTTTGAAACATCCACATCTGAGTGAGGTCAATGCCGGTGAACAGAGAGACAGAGGGAAAGAATTTCAGAATATCCTTAAAAATCGCAGCACCTGGCAGATCCTGCCTCACACCTCAAGGGCCTGTGTGGGGTCCTAGGTTCATCCCTGATCCATCTCAGAGGTGCGGCGATCACTGATCCATCTCGGAGACTTTTGAGCTTGGACCTGACATTTGCCACTTCCTCTCCTCCTCACTGGAGACAGAGTGCAATCTGTTTCTGCAAAGCAAGAGCACTTTAAGAGGGTGGAAGGGCACTCATCTGTGTCAGGGTCATGTCTGTGTGCAGATCCCCCAAGGTCATTGTTGAGAGAAAGGGGAAGATGTTGGGGAGGCCGGGCAAGCATGTGCCGGCTACCCTCACACTTGCACATAGCATATGTCAAGTCACCTAAAGGAAACCTGAATGATATGATCAGAGACTCTGCATAGGATTACTTACTGGTGGTGCCCTGGGTTGAACACAGAGGTCGCCAAAGCAGGACCAGCCATCATGGCGATAGAGGCCCCATGCAGATAAACCCTGTGCATGAAAAACCTAGGATTTTAGAACAAATTGAGAAGGAGGTCAGGCATTCAAGACCAGCCTGGCCAACATGGTGAAACCCCGTCTCTACTAAAAATATGAAAAGTTAGCCAGACATGGTGGTGGGCACCTGTAATCCCAGAACTTTGGGAGGCTGAGGTGGGCGGATCACCTGAGGTCAGGAGTTCGAGACCAGCCTGGCCAACATGGCAAAACCCCATCTTTACTAAAAATACAAAAATTAGCTGGGCGGGCTGGCGCACTCCTGTAATCCCAGCTACTTGGGAGGCTAAGGCAGGAGAATCCCTTGAACCCAGGAGGCGGAGGTTGCAGTGAGCTGAGGTTGCTCCATTGCACTCCAGCCTGGGCAATAAGAGAGAGACTCTGTCTCAAAAAAAAAAAAAAAAAAAGTTATTTACAAAAATATCTCTGCCAAGGCAACTGGATTCTTTTTCAGGGTCAGCAGTCTGTATCCACACCAGGGTGGCCATGAACACATGCCTGTTAGACTTCCCACTGCAGAGAGGGTGACTGGCCCACAGCCCCAGCTGCCTGTTCTGAAATTCATCACCAAGTTCACGCCAAGGCCATATGTCTTGCAGGCTGCTCCCAGCCCGTGATGGAGTGTGCCGGGGACACTGGGTGAGGCCCGTTCCTGGACCATGCAGGACTCCTCTGATGAATAACTTTGCCGAGGACACCCCATCTGCTTTGGCAAAACTTTCTTAGTCTCGGATTTTTATTTTTATTTTTTTGAGACAGAGTCTGGCTCCGTCACCCAGGCTGGAGTGCAGTGGTGTGATCTTGGCTCACTGTCACCTCCGCCTCCCAGGTTCAAGTGATTCTCCTGCCTCAGCCTCCTGAGTAGCTGGGATTACAGGCACCCGCCACCATGCCTGGCTAATTTTTGTATTTTCAGTAGAGATGGGGTTTTACCATGTTGGCTGGGCTGGTCTCGAGCTCCTGACCTCAAGTAATTGGCCCATCTCAGCCTCCCGAAGTGTTGGGATTACAGGCGTGAGCCACCTCGCTCTGACCTAAGATTTCTCCTACTTGTATTAGTTTCTTATAGGTGCTGAAACACATGACCACAAACTGAGTGGCTTCAAACAACAGAAATGTATCATCCCACAGTTAGGAGGCCAGAAATCTGAAATCAAGTTGTGGGCGGGATTGGTTCCCTCTGGAGGCTTTCAGGGAAAATCTGTTCTGTGCCTATCTCCAGCCTCTGGCAGCTGTCCTCCATTCTTGGAGTTTCTTGGCTCCTCCACCTCCATCTTCATATGGCTTTGCCCCTTTGTGTCTGTGTGTCTTAAATCTCCCTCTCCTTCCTCTTATAAGGACACCAGTCATCGACCTTAGGGTCCACCCCAAATCCAGGATGATCCCATCTTGAGATTCTTAATTTAATTGCATCTGCAAATAACCTATTTCCAAATAAAGTCATATGCATGGGTACCAGGGATTAGGATTTGGATACATCTTTTTGGAGGGACAATATCCAGCCCACTTTATGACCCAACCATCCTTCCTCTCACTCCTCCATAGGGACTGTCCATACCCCCAGCTTCCTCAGCACCCCTCCACCCCGCCATTTTTCCTTGCAGGCATTTTCTGCAATAAATGTCTTGCGCATCGAATCCCATGTAATTCCACATTGCAGCCTGTTTCTCGGAGGACCTGAGCTGACACAGATAACACAGATGTGATTTTTACTTAAAAAGGATTATATGTATATTGTCCTGAAGCTTGTTTTTATTTTACTACCGAGTGTCTTGGACATCTTCCCATGTCAGTACAGGCAGATCTACTGATTGTTTGGAAGAGCTGCAGAATCTGTCATCTTCATTTTTTTGTAGTGTTTTTCAGTGCATCTCTCTGTCTAGTTTTTGTTGTGGTTGCCCTGGGTATTACAATACACGTATGTAATTTATTATAATCTCCTAGTAAGACCTCATTGCAATTTTGGTCTTTTTCTCTTTCCCACTTTTAAATATCTTGGTCTTGAGTATTGGATGGTTTCATAATTTTTGTTCCAATCATCAAATATGATTATAAAGCTCAGGAGGGGAAGGACAGTCTATTGTATGTGACCCAGATCTCTGCCCTCCTCATTGTTCCTTCTCCCTTCTGATGCTCCAAGACTTTTTCTTTCTTTCTTTCTTTTTTTTTTTTTTTGAGACAGAGTTTCACTCTTGTTGCCCAGGCTGGAGTGCAATGGCATGATCTTGGCTCACTGCAACCTCTGCCTCCCAGGTTCAAGTGATTTTCCTGCCTCAGCCTCCTGAGTAGCTGGGATTACAAGCATGCACCACCATGCCTGGCTAATTTTTGTATCTTTAGTAGAGACAGGGTTTCACCATGCTGGCCAGGATGGTCTCGATCTCCTGACCTCATGATCCACCTGCCTCAGCCTCCCAAAGTGCTGGGATTACAGGCGTGAGCCACCGCGCCTGGCCAGATTCTTTCTTTTATCATTTTCTTTCTGTTACAAAACCTTCCTTCAGCTAAACGTTAAGGGTAAATCCACTTGCAACACATTCTTTTCATTTTCCTTCATATGAGAATGTCTTTATTTCCCCTTCATTCCCAAAGGATGGCTTCACCAAATATAGAACTAATGGCTCACCTCAGACCTTGTTATTGTTATACCTAGAAGTACAATCTGGACCTTTTCTGGGTATATCACCCATATCTCTACCTAAAATGCTCAATCTTTTCTCCAGCTTCTTGAACACATGGAATATGACCTTTTCTGGCCATTCTACAAATTCTGGCTCAGCATTAATTGGTTGCTTTTTCTCCTCATTTTTGGTTGTATTTCTCTGCTTCTTTGAATGTCTGGTCATTTTTGACTGGGTGCCTGACATTGTGAATTTTCCCTCACTGGGTTCTGGGTAATTTTGTATTACCACAAATGTTCTGTTTTATTTGGGGATATCTTTAATTAGTTTGGGGGCTCTGCATGGTGGCTCATTCCTATAGTCCTAGCACTTTGGGAGGCTGAGGTGGGTGGATCATATATATATACAAAAAATTAGCCAGGCATGGTGGTTGCATGCCTGTAGTCCCAGCTACTCGGGAAGTTGAGGCCAGAGAATCACTGGAGCCTGGGAGGTTGAGGCTGCAGTGACCTGTGATCACACCACTGCACTCCAGGCTGGGCGACAGAGCAAGACCTCATCTCAAATAAATAAATAAGTAGTTTGGAAACCATTTTGTTACCAGAAAAAGGGTCTCAATCCAGACCCTAAGAGAGGGTTCTTGGATCTCACATAGGAAAGAATTCAAGGCAAGTTGCAGAGTGCTGTGAAAAGAGAGAGTTTATTGAAACCTACTTCCTTAGGGAGTAGGGCATCCTCAGGAAGCAAGAGAAGGAATGCACTGTCCTTGTTTTAAGTTTTTCTTATATAGAAGTCTTATCTATGTAAAGACTAAAGCAAGCCATGTCTACATGTGGGCGGGCAGACAGCATGACAAAATGTATTATTCTATTGATTTAAAGAAAACTATCCTTGACATTTTAGCGGGTAAGTACATTAAAGCATAACTATAATTATTTTGAAAGCATGTATTGTTATGGATATTGGGACATCAGGACTTTCTGTTGTTGTAGGTATTTGTCCTTGCAGGCATTACTAATCTGCTTTCTTAGCTGTAAACATCTTATGACCGTGGGTTGTAACTGGCAAGGAATGTGCCTTGTTAGTCTCAAGATGGAGCTGAACTTAAAATGGTGCTACTCTGGCTCTCTGAGGCTCTTGCTTCCCTAACAATCTCATCCTTTCAGGGCTTACTCTTTAAGATTTGGTAGGTAGAACCAGAGAAGTGTTTAGTCTGGGGTTAATTTTCCCCCACTACTGAGGCAAGACCCTTCTGAATATTCTCCCTGATACCCTGTGAATTATGAGGATTTCTACTCTGGCTGGAGGGAACAGAAACTATTCCCATTCCTGCGTGAGCTCCTTGAATTGTTCTTTCTAATCCTTTTGGGCGATTCTTTCCCTGGCCTCAGGTAATTTTTTTTTTTCTTTTTTTGAGAGAAGTCTCACTCTGTCGCCCAGGCTAGAGTGCAGTGGCATGATCTTGGCTCACTGCAACCTCCACCTACCCAGTTCAAATGATTCTCCTGCCTCAGCCTCCTGAGTAGCTGGGATTACAGGCACCTGCCACCATGCCTGGCTAATTTTTGTATTTTCAGTAGAGACGGGGTTTCACCATGTTGGCCAGGCTGGTCTCGAACTCCTGACCTTAGGTGATTCGCCCGCCTTGGCCTCCCAAAGTACTGGGATTACAGGTGTGAGCCACCACGCCCAGCCAGTAATTTTCTCACATACATGTGCTGGCCAGTACTCAACTAAAGATGGCTAGAATCCCTCCTCTCTTATTTCCTTGTACCTGGCACTGTATTCCCCATGGGAAGCCCCACTTATTTAAGAGACAAAGAATAGCTCTTGGCTGCCTTTGGAACCAAGAAATTGGTCTTTAACTGGAACAAAAACTGAGACCAGAGCAGATAGAGCATTGTCTACCTACTGCGGGTCCTGGAGCTTACTGTGGAAACAAGGACACCCTCCAATAGGGAGAAGGAGGCTGAATCTGGGCTTTAGAGATTGCCCGGTTGCTGGGTTGAGAATGGAAGGTGCACGGATCCATCCTGCAGGCCGTGTATGATGAGTAAACTGAGCCGGAGTTCATCGCTGAATTGCCCAAGGAGACACAGCTGGAAGGGACAGAGTGGGGTCTGACCCAAGCTGCCTCAATCTGGGGCACCTGCTCTCAGTCCCATAGCAGACAACCTCTCCAAGAGTGCACGTTGCCATGCAGCCTTGGTATTTCACCAAGCAGCATCTGCTGTCATCCCCATAGCCTGTGGTTTCAGCTATTTGGGAGGCTGAGGTGGGAGGATCTCTTGAGTCTGGGAGTTCAAAGCTGCAGTGAATCAGCATCAGAATCATCTTGGAGTTCATAAACAAAGCAGAATCCTGGGCCCTCACAGATTCCCTGAGTCAGAGTCCCCAGGGAATGGCCTGGAAACCTGTAGGCAGGTTGTTCTGAGCTGCACTTAGATAGCTGGATCTTAGCCAGTGTGCTTCATGGTGCAAAAGACAGAACGCCCGATGCTCCCATGGGGTCGGCTCAGGGCCTTCAACAAGGACCAGGCTGCTGGGCACAGTGGCTTATGCCTGTAATCCCAGCACTTTGGGAGGCTGAGGCAGGCTAATCACTTGAGGTCAGGAGTTTGAGACCAGCCTGACCAACAAGGTGAAATCCCATCTCTACTAAAAATACAAAAATTAGCCAGGTGTGGTGGCACATGACTGTAATCCCAGCTACTCAGAGGCTGAGGCAAGAGAATTGCTGGAACTTGGGAGGCAGAGGTTGCAGTGAGCCGAGATTGTACCATTGCACTCCAGCCTGAGCAAGAAGAGGGAGACTTCATCTCTAAATAAATGAATAAATAAAATAAAAATTAGACTGGTGTGCTGGCACATACCTGTGGTCCTAGCCACTGGGGAGGCTGAGGCAGGAGGATCACTTGAGCCCAGGAGTTGGAGGCGTCAGTGAGCTATGATTGCACCACTGCACTCCAGCCTGGGCAACAGAGCGAGACCCCAACTTTAAAAAGAAAAAAAAAAAGCGAATGTGGAGGCCAATAGTGTCCAGCACACACATGCTATTAATTGCTATGCCAATGTGGGTGAGAAGTCAGCTGGGTGGTCAGCCTGGAGGAGGAGGGATGAGCTGGGGCCTAAGGATGGGGGCAGAGTACAGACAGATGGAGAAGAAAGGGCATCACCATTGGGCCACAGCCTGAGCAGAGACCAATGTCCTGGGATATTTCCAGGGACCTCCCGCAGCAGCTAGTACACAACAGGCAGTTAATAATTACACAGCTGGCAATGGCACCCACATTGGCAGGGGAGCCCCTTCATTTCTTCTTGCTGAGCCAAGTTGTTGCCCCATATTTACAGTTAATCACTCACATTCACCCAATAGAATAGCCTGGAAACCACTCTTGGAGCAGGACTCCAAGAAAAGACGTGAAAATTTCCATGTTCCTGCAGAAAACATGATTGACATTCCAGTTGGGCTGGCATCAGTCTCATCTTCTCCTTTGCTTCCCAGCTCATTAGAATTTAATATTGGGTTCATCCTTCCCTCAGCCTTCGCCTGGGCATGCTTCTGAATCTAGCCTGATCCGGATCAGTGGAGATGGAAATGGGGAGGACATGCTTGTGCTGAAAAGGAAATGTTGTCTGGGTCTGAAACTGTAGCTGGAAAAGCTGACCTGGCCTCTGGTCTCCAGGTGTTGGGGAGTTGGAGCCTTAGGGACTGTGCTTGCCTGGGGCTCAAGATAGAATGGCTGCTCCAGGCTGGGTGCGGTGGCTCATGCCTATAATCCCAGTACTTTGGGAGGCTGAGGTGGGCGGATCACTGGCCAACATGGTGAAACTCCTGTCTCTACTAAAAATACAAAAATTAGCTGAGTGTGGTGGCAGGCATCTGTAATCCCAGCTACTCGGGAGGGTGAAGCAGGAGAATCGCTTGAACCCGGGAGGCAGAGGTTTTAGTGAGCTGAGATCGCAGCACTGCACTCCAGCCTGGGCAACAGAGCAAGATTCTGTCTCAAAAATAAAAAAGACTGGCCGGGCACGGTGGCTCACCCCTGTAATCCCAGCACTTTGGGAGGCTGAGGCAGGCAGGTCACGAGGTCAAGAGATTGAGACCATCCTGGCCAACATGGTGAAACCCTGTCTCTACCAAAAATACAAAAATTAGCTGGGTGTGGTGGCAGATGCCTATGAATCCCAGCTACTCAGGAGGCTGAGACAGAAGAATTGCTTGAACCCGGGAGGCAGAGGTTGCATTGAGCTGAGATCGTGCCACTGCACTCCAGCCTGGCGACAGAGCGAGACTTTGTATCAGAATAAATAAATAAAGTAAAAAAGACTGGTCACTCCCTCGGGCCTGTTAGATGCTCCCCCAGCTTAGAAAGTGAGTGTCAGCTGGATTGGCCTAGGAGTCATCTTCCCTTCTTCATTATCCTCCACTCACTCTCTAGATACTCATGGGAGAAGCTGCTTAGCCCTGGCACCAGGCTGGGCTCAGGGAGTGCACGATGAACAAGGCAGACCCAGTCTCTGCTTTCAGTCCTACATATGGGGACAGAAAATACACAAGCAGGCCAGGAGCAGTGGCTCACGCCTGTAATCCCAGCACTTTGGGAGGTCGAGGCAGGCGGATCACCTGAGGTCAGGAGTTCGAGACCAGCCTGGCCAACACGGAGAAAC
The DNA here is from genome assembly GCF_000001405.40 of Homo sapiens. Taxonomy (NCBI): domain Eukaryota; kingdom Metazoa; phylum Chordata; class Mammalia; order Primates; family Hominidae; genus Homo; species Homo sapiens. The sequence continues at coordinate 98,645,227 of NC_000007.14, read as the reverse complement.
CCCATCTCTACTAAAAGTACAAAAATTAGCTGGGCGTGGTGGCATGCATCTGTAATCCCAGCTGCTTAGGAGGCTGAGGCAGGGGAATTGCTTGAACCAGGGAGGTGGAGGTTGTAGTGAGCCAAGATCACGCCACAGCACTCCAGCCTAGGTGACAGAGTGACTCCAGCCTAGGTGACAGAATGACTCCAGCCTAGGTGACTCCAGCCTAGGTGACAGAGTGAGACTTCATCTCAAAAAAGAAAAAAAGAAAAAGAAAAAAAAGTACACAAGCAGTCAAGAGACACACTAGAGGCCAAGCATGGTGGCTCACTCTTTACATTCAACATTTTGGGAGGCCAACGTAGGAAGAGTGCTTGAGGCCAGGTGTTCCAGACCAGCCTGGCCGACATAGCGAGACCCCAGCTCTGTAAAAAATACAAAAACATTGGCTGGGTGCAGTGGCTCACGCCTGTAATTCCAGCATTTTGGGAGGCCGAGGTGGGTTTTCAAGACCAGCCTGGGCAACATGGTGAAATCCCGTCTCTACTAAAAATACAAAAATCAACTGGGCACAGCAGCATACGCCTGTAATCCCAGCTACTTGGGAGGCTGAGGCAGGAGAATCACTTGAACCCGGGATGCAGAGGTTGCAGTGAGCTGAGATGGCGCCACTGAGTGTGACAGACTGAGACTCCATCTCAAAAAAAAAAAAATTTAGTTGGATGTGGTAGTATGCACCTCTGGTCCCAGCTATTTGGGAAGCTGAGGTGGGAGGATTGTTTGAGCCTGGGAGTTCAAAGCTGCAGTGAGCTATGATTGCGACACTGCACTCCAGCCTGGGATACAAAGGGAGACCCTGTCTCTAAATATAATAATAATAATAATAATAAACACACCAGATGACGATGGGAAGTCATCGTGCTCTAGAGATCATAAAGCAGGTGCCGTAAGAGGGAGGGAAGGATGGGGCACAGGAGAGGAAGAGGTCTGGGAAGGCCCCTCTGAGGCTGTGTCCCTTGAGCATTTTCCTGGGTGGCAGGAAGGAGGGAGTCGGTGCGTGGAGAGAATCTCATTCTAGGCTCTTTGCACCTTCCAAGTGCTTCGCTCCAAAGCAGGTGAATGAAGCAGTGGGAACCCAGGTGAGTAAGGAGTCACTCGGTAAGGCGCAGCAGATAGCTCAGGAAACCCCATAGGGCGTGTGAGCAGAGCACGCAGGACTGGATTATCGCAGGGTGATGGCAGCTTCAGAGGGGAACTCCAAGGACAAGAGCACCCAGGGGGCCCACTCCACCCACTCCAGATGCCTCCCTGATCTGTGGGGCAGGGACAGGCAGGGTGCAGGGTTCAGCTGGATTCCTGGCCATTGACTGACCTGGGCTGCCCTGGCTCTGAGCTGGTGACCTGGCTCCTGCAAGCTTGTATCCTCACTGGGGTCCTCCTCCTGCCCCTTCTCCACCTGGCACAGCAGGGCTGGGCACCAGGTCTCTTTGCCTGGTCCAGGAAATGTGCCTCCATTGGGGCCTGCGGTCCCACTTCTGGGTCTGGTCTCTTTCCTGCATTTCCTTCTCCAACCCTGAGGCATTCTAGGTTCTGGGGTTGTGTACTGTAGAATAACTGTGTCATCTCCCATACGCTGAGTATATGCTGCATGCTGGGCCCTGGGGGAGTCCCTTCCTTGCCATGATAGCCAAACTCACAGCAGGAACTGGGGGCCAGAGATGGCCCCAGCCATCTCTGCCACCTGGTATTCACAGCCTCTCATATATTGTAATAAGGTTAGTCTGTGTGACCAGTACAAGACAGTAGAAGTGAGGGCATGTCTTCAAAGGCTAGGTCATAAACCACATTACGCTTTCTCAGATTGCTCACCCTGGGAAGCCAGCTGCCCTGTCATGAGCAGCCCTTTGTGTTTTTTTTTTTTTTTTTTTTTTTTTAGAGACAGGGTCTTTCTCTGCAGCCCAGGCTGGAGTGCAGTGGTGCAATCATGGCTCACTGCAGCCTCAACCTCTGGGCTCAAGCGATCCTCCTACTTCAGCCTCCTGAATAGCTGGGACCATAGGTGCTCCACCATGCCTAGATAATTTTTTACTTTTTGTAGAGATGGGGTCTCCCTGTGTTGCCCAGGCTGGTCTGGACCTCCTAAGCTCAAGCGATCCTCTCACCTCAGCCTCCTAAAGTGTTGGGATTACAGGCGTGAGCTACCACGCACTGCCGTGAGCAACCCTTTGGAGAGGCCCACGTTGTGAGGAACTGAGGCCTCCTGCCAACAGCCATGCGCAGAAGCCATCATGGAAAGGGCTCCTCCCACCCAGTCCAGTCTTCAGGACTGCAGCCCTGGCCAACTATTTTTTTTTTTTTTTTTTTTGAAGTGGAGTCTCACTCTGTCACTCAGCCTGGAGTGCAGTGGCACAATCTTGGCTCACCGCATCCTCTGCCTCCCAGGTTCAAGCAATTCTCATGCCTCAGCCTCCCGGGTATCTGGGACTACAGGCATGCCCCACCATGCCTAGTTTATTTTTGTATTTTTTTTTTTTTTTTTAGAGATGGGTTTTCACCATGTTGGCCAGGCTGGTCTCAAACTCCTGACCTCAAATGATCCACCTGCCTCGGTCTCCCAAAGTGCTGGGATTACAGGCATGAGCCAATGCTCCTGGTCCTGGCCAACATTTTGATTGTGACTTTATGAAAGACCCCTGAGCCAGAACTACCCAGCAAGGCCACTCCTGGACTCCTGACCCACAGAAACAGTGAGATATTAAACATTTGTTGTCTTCAGCTGGTAAGTTTTGGAGTCATTCGTTACGTAGCAACCAATAGCTAATACAGTCAGCTCCTTCAGTCCTCAGGAGAAGTCTCTGCTGTGTAAGACTATTGTTCTCCCTGGTCCAAGCAGAAAACAGCAGCTCACAATCACCCAAAGAGGAAGTTGTGCAGAGAAATGCAAACTTGAGGGTTTGCATCTGTTGGAGCTGGTGCCACATCAGACCTCTGGGCTTTCCATCCGTCGGCAACCATACCGCCCTACTCAGCAAGCGTGACCTAAGCTTGGAAGGCTTAACTCCTCAAAATAAGCCCACAAGGGTTCATCGCCCTGATTTCACAGATGAGCAAACACGTCAGACCACCACGACTCACTCAGGGTCGCACAGCTGGTGAGGAGGGGCGCCCTGCGGGAATTCAGTCACCTGGGTTTATTGGAGGCTGGTGCCCTGCTGTGCAGGAGTGGCACCTCTTCAGGGCAGGGAGGAATGCTGAGGTGTCTGCCCAAGGCTGGTCTTTGTGGTCTCAGGCTGTCCCCCAACTCCAGGGCTGCTGGGCCTGGTGAAAACCTGAAGATTCCCCTTCCACTTCCCCAAACCCTCAGCTGGCACAGAGCCTACAGCCTGGGGTGATGAGATGTGGTCACCTGCAGGACCGGGGTTTTAAGAAGCAGCTGTTTCCTGTGGTCTTGACTTTTAAAGAGGTTTCAAGTCCAACTTGGACCCTCAGCTCTGGGGATGCCTGTAACCATGGCAGCGGCTCACAACAGCAACAACAAATATTTGCTGAAAGAGAAAGAGCAGGGAGGGAGGGAGACAGCGAGGGAAGCAGGAGCATGGCTCACCCCTGGGCACCTGCAGATGGCTGGGGGGCTATCCCTAGGTTCCCAGGGGGCACTCAGATGCCTCCAGTAACAACTTTTCTACTATCCTGTGCCTGGGTGGAGAGTTTGTCTGTGGGGGTGTTGGGAGGTCCCATGCCCCGTCTTAAGCACTGTTTCCCCCAGGTCTCTGCATAAAATATGTCCCCAGGACATCATGTCCAGGACCAGACCTCAGGTGGGCCTCCCTTGACCTAATTATTCATGTGAACTTAGACAAGTCCTTTCTTTTACCAGAGCCTCAGTTTCCTCATCTGCGAAAGGGGAATAGCAAACTGGCCTGTGTTTTCAGAGGTGTGTGGCTAAAGTGAATTCCAGGCCAGGCACAGTGGCTCACAGCTGTAATCTCAGCGCACTGGGAGGCTGAGGCCGGAGGATCGCTTGAGGCTAGGAGTTTGAAGCAAGCCTGGGCAGCAAAGTGAGACACTGTCTCTATAAAAAATAAAAATAAATAATTTTTTTTTAAGAGGGAGTCTCACTCTGTCACCAAGGCTGGAGTGCAGTGGTGCAATCTTGACTCACTGCAACCTTCACCTCCTGGGTTCCAGTGATCCTCCTGCCTCCGCCTCCTGAGTAGCTGGGATTACAGGTGTGCACCACCAAGCCTGACTAATTTTTGTATTTTTAATAGAGATGGGGTTTCACCATGCTGGCCAGGCTGGTCTTGAACTCCTGGCCTCAGGTGATCCACTTGTCTCGGCCTCCTAGAGTGCTGGGATTACAGGTGTGAGCCACAGTGTCTGGCCAAAATAAATAAAAATTTAAAAACTGAAATGAATTCCAGCCGTCACCATCTAGAGCATCCTGTTGAAGGATTGTTGTAAAGATCCCATCACTGGCTTCCAGGACAGAGTGATGTCGTGAGCTCCAGGCCACATTCCAGATAGCCCAGAGAGGGAAAGTGGCTTGCCCTGGGCCACACAGCAAGGGCAACGAGACCCAGAACTTAGCTACCTCATCCTGCTGCCTTCTCAGGCCATGAGGGCGCCCCCTGCTCGGCTGTCACCAGCTGTGTGGTTGTGATGGATGGCTGAGCCAGGCTTCCCTGCGGATGTGCTCAGGGCTTAGCTACTATCTGGGTCAGGGCCCTGGGTGAGCCATGTGCATGGACAGTGTCTGCTGAGCAAGTTTCCGCAGAGAGAAGACGGAAATAGAACCCCGTAGGCCTAAGCTGCCAGGAAGGGACCCTGGGTTCTCCCAGTGGGGCGGTCCCTATCACCACAGGTTTGCAGGTTAACTGGTCCACATACAGACTTTGATGTATACATAGGCCAAATGCTGCATTTATATTTAAATTACATCTCAGGGGTAAAAAATAGACTACATCCTATTATTAAGAGAATGAGGTGTGCAGAGCTAGCATGCAGAAATACTACAGAGAGATCCAGGATGGAGCATCCGTTTTTTTCAGAAGTCTGGGGCCTTGGATCCTCACCTCTAAACGGGGGTGGTGTCCATGCTCCACATTCCCCCCAGCTGGGAGTGAGTCTGAATATTCTCGAGACTCTGGCCTGAAAGTCTCCTGGGAGGCATCTCCACCTGCCTCTTCTCAGCTGAAAGCTCATATACATTTATTTTTTTCATTTCCCTGTTTTTGCACTGGACATACCTAAAATAGAACGGGAGGTAGGGCTGTGAGGAGCAGTCCCCAGGCACAGACTCTTCTTGGAGGTCCCCAAGGAATGGTCCAGGCTCCAGGAGCAGGAAGCTGTTTGGTGAGGCTTCAAATTTACCCTCCACATCCATGCCATAAAGAGACCTGCAACAAAGTGGCCCTTTCCACTGCAGAATTAAACCGAGAGCCCACTAGGGGTGGGATGCCCTCCTCATCTATGCCACATCTGGATTCCTCAGCTCTACTAGAGGCCCCTGCTTCTAACGAGCAGCTTGGGGACCAGCTGAAGGGCTGCCCTGGGGAAAATGAACACTGTCTGCAGCAATTGAGCTGGTCCTGCACTTCAGGGTTGCTTGCCTAAGGAGAAGATGCTAGGCATGGCCATCTCCTGGGACCTCCCTACCACACAAGGCCATCTCAGAACAGGCAGGAGATCCGGGGCCTATAGAGCATGCACCCTGAGGAAGGACATCAGAGAGTTCCTCCACTCGAGCCCATCACCCTTTGGGGCAGACAGCTTGCTCAGTCATTCCACTGTCCCTGGACAGATGTGCAGATGTGGAGTGAAAGATGGCAGACAGACCACACTCAGTCGAGGACTTATCCCCAGACTGGAAGCCACTGAACACTTGCTGGGATAAGCCTCCTGGAAGCCTCTATCAGGTCCCTGGGGCAGGTGGCAGCTGGCAGGCCTCCTCCCTGGTAGGGCTGTGTGGCCTCAGCCAGACCTTCCTTGCCTGCTGGCTGGGGCCTCAGCCCCCACCAGCCAGCTGACCTCAGCCACCTACCACCTGAGAGAGGAACTCTCTCAGCCTATCTCTGCCCCATCCAGCTGTAACCCTGACCCAAGCCTTGATCAAAGGCCAACACACATCTTGACAAAGACATCATTATTGATTTGCCCAAAACCAGTAATCAATAGCCACAATAAATGTAAATGGTCTAAATTCCCCAACTAAAAGGCAGAGTGTGTCAGATTTCAACCCAGCCATTGCACTCCTAGGCACTGGCCCTAGAGAAAATTCTTGCACACTGCATTAGTAGATACGCACCATCCAACAGTCCCTGAGTAGGAGAATGGATAGAGAACCATAATATATGCCGTCAGGAAAGACTAGATAGCAGTGAAAATTATCAGCCTGGAGAAATCTCAAAAACATAATATCAAGAAAAAAAAAGCAAGTCACAGAAGAACTCATAGAGTTTGATCAAGCAATGATATGCGTGGCCAATTCTCTCATCTCCGTCAAGTCTTGGATCAAATGTCATCTTCTCAAAGAGGCCTCCTCCATTGCCCTACCTTAAATTGTGAACCCCCGACAACCACATTTCCATTCCCCCTTTCCCGGAGCACTTGTCATCTTCTAACAAATTATATAATTTACTTACTCATCTGTCTAGTATTTATCATCATTCTCCTTCCTCCAGAATGTTAGATCCACAAGGTGAGGAGTCTTTTTCTTTTTTGTTCATTGATTTCAACAAAGTTCCCAGCAAAGTACCTGGTATAAAATAGGCATTAACTAAATATTTCTTAAACTGAGTCATTGGTACACAAATATTCATTTATGATTATTCTTTCTACTGTGCATATGCATATACTTGGTCTATTGTATCTATGATGTCTCGTAATAAACTATACTTTAAAGATGATAAATAGGTGTGATATTTCTTGCAAGATCTGAGTCTTCAGCTGAGACACAGACTCTCCATGATCTATGCTGCCCTCTTAAGCACAGAAAGCCAGGGTTGACCATATTATTCCCGAAGGGCATGATCGCTTGTGTATGATGATGAGTGACAAGGAAATGTCATCCCGCCCCCCAGCTGTAGTCTTCTGTGATTTATCTCTGCTTGAACAGGGTTTTAAAATGTGCCTGTGAATATTTGCACTGACAACTACAGAGAGCAGAATCGCTTTGTAGAGAAAAGTAAAACAACTTGGTAAATTTGTTTTGTGCTTCTTTGAGAAAACAATGGGAAGCTCGCCGTTCGTCAAGGCCAAAGTCATATAACCCAACCTGCACAATCCCAGCCTTGACAAGCTTCTTACCATGTTGAAATTCCCAGGAACAATCAAATTGCTTCTGTGTGACTGCTCAATACCAACCCCTTACAGAGTCATCCAGCTGCTCTGTGAGCCACCAAGGCTGAGGTCAACAACTCTTCTTGACTGGTTCGGTGTGTAGCTGAAGGTAGAGCTATGGATGATTAAAGAAGTCACTATGGAAACTGCCCCTCCCTCAGCCTTAGCCAGGTGAAGGCTTTCTGATATAGCAATTTGCTTAATTGGCTCCATTCTGTCTCTCATACTAGACTGTGAAGTGAAGACCATGTCTCATTCATGTAGACACTACACACAGTAGGATAATGCATGTTGAGTTAAATTGGCTTATGCATGAATATGCTTCCTACCAGTGAGGAGTCAATGGTCTAAGTAAGGATGAACATATCTGTTTCTGTACATTTACTTTCAAACAGTAGTGAGGCTGGGAGTACCTAGAAGCAAGGACTATGTTTTTAATCCAATTTTCAAAAATTTATCTTTTATTCGTTTTAGACACAGAGTCTTGCTCTGTTATCCAGGCTGGAGTGCAGTGGTGTAATCACAGCTCACTGCAGCCTTGACCCCCTGGGTCAAGTGATCCTCCCGCCTCAGCCTCCTGAGTAGCTGGACTACAGGCACGCATCACCATGCCTAGCTAATTTTTGTATTTTTGTAGAGACAGGGTCTTGAAATGTTGCCCAGGTTGGTCTTGAACTCCTGGCCTCAAGAGATTCTCCTGCCTTGACCTCCCAAAGCACTAGGATTATAGATGTGAGTCACTATGCCCAGCATAACCCATTTTTTATCTCCAGCCCTGACCTCTTCCCAAATCCAATTACCCACTTGACAGTTACACTAAAATACGTTCTCACACTTAAGTCCAAAAAAGAACTCTTTATTTTCCCCCATCCCAAAACCTGCTTTTTGCCCCCACTCCAACTCCCCATCAGTAAATGGCATCTACCCACCTGGTCCAAAACCTTGTTTTAAAAAATGAGACTGTGTCCAGTGGCCCATGCCTGTAATCCTAGTGCTTTGGGAGGCCCAGGCAGGAAGATAATTTGAGGTCAGAAGTTCGAGACCAGCCTGGACAACAGGGCAGAGACCTGTCTCTACAAAAAATTTTAAAACTTAGCCAGGAGTGGTGGTGCACATGTGTAGTCCCAGCTACTCAGGAGGTTGAGGTGGAAGGATCCCTTGAGCCCAGGAGTTCAAGGCTGCAGTGAGCTTTGATCACATCCCTGCACTACAGCCTGGGTATCAGAATGAGAGTCTGTCTTTAAAAACAAACAACAACAACAAAACCTGAGATATAATTTACACACCATCAAATTCACCTTACTTTTAAAATGTTTAATTCAGTGGCTTTCAGCATATTCACACCACTCTGGCCCTGTCCCCTAACTACCATAAGAAACCCAAACCAGACTTCTTTTCCTGCTCTCTCAAGCCATTTTTGGACCTTCCTGGGACCCACCTGCTCTATTCAGAAATCCTCATTACGTGAGTGTATTAGTCGGGGTTCTCTAGAGGAACAGGACTCACAGGATAGAAGGGGAGTTTATTAAGGAGTATTGACTTACACAATCACAAGGAGAAGTCCCACCATAGGCTGCCTGCAAACTGAGGAACAAGGAAGCCAGTCTGAGTCCCAAAACCTCAAAAGTAGGGAAACTGGCAGTGCAGCTTTTAGTCTGTGGCCAAAGACTCGAGAGCCCCTGGCAAACCACTGGTGTAGGTCCAAGAGTCCAAAAGCTGGAGAACTTGGAGTCCGATGTTCGAGGGCAAGAAGCAGCCAGCACAGGAGAAAGATGGAGGCCAGTAGACTCAGGCAGTCTAGTCCTTCCACGTTCTTCTGCCTGCTTTTATCCTAGCTGAGCTGGCAGCTGATTAAATAGCGTCCACCCAGAATGAGAGTGGGTCTGCCTCTCCCAGTTCACCGACTTAAATGTTAATTTCCTTTGGCAACACCCTCACAGATAAACCCAGGAACAATACTTTGCATCCTTCAATCCAATCAAGTTGACACTCAATATTAACCATCACAGTGAATAATCAGCTTTTTCGCACTCTCTTGGTGTGTGTATATGTGCAGTCATCAGACTCAACATCTGAACACATTTTTTTTTATCCACTGAATGTTCACAGCAGCAGTCTTTTTTTTTTTTTTTTTTTTTCTTTGAGACAGAGTCTTGTTCTGTTGCCCAGGCTGGAGTGCAGTGGTGCAATCTCGGCTCACCACAACCTTCACCTCCCGGGTTCAAGCAATTATCATGCCACAGCCTCCCCAGTAGCAGGAATTACAGGTGCATGCCACCACGCCTGGCTAATTTTTGTATTTTTTAGTAGAGATGGGGTTTCACCACTGCTGGTGGTCAGGCTGCACACCAGCAGTCTTAATATTAAGTCTTCCAATAAATAAACATGGATAACTTTTCATTTATTTAGGCCTTTAATTCTTTTTAATAATGCTTTATGGCTTTCAGAGTACAAATCTTTCCCTAATTTTATTAAATCTATTCCTGACTGGGTGTGGTGGCTCATTCCTGTAATCCTAGCACTTTGGGAGGCCAAGGCAGGAGGATTGCTGGAACCCAGGAGTTCAAGACCAGCCTGGGAAACATAAAAAGACCCCATCTCTACAAAAAAATTTTTAAAAGTTAGCCAGGCATGGCAGTGCAAACCTGTAGTCGCAGCTACTCAGGAGGCTGAGGCAGGAGGATTGCTTGAGCCCAAGAGGTCGAGGTTTCGGTGAGCTATGATCACACCACTGCACCCTAGCCTGGGCAATAGAGTGAGATCCTGTCTCAAATATAAATAAATAAATAAATGCATTCCTAGGTATTTGAATTTTTGACACTGTTGCAAATAGAAATGCTTTCTTAGGTTAATTTTAGATTGTTCATTGATCACGTATACAGGAGAAATACAGTAGATTTTTGGCATATTGCTCTTATTTTCTGCATCCTTGATAAACTTATTTATTAGCTCTAGTAAGTTTTTTCGTGGATTCCTTATGATCTTATAAAGAAGATAGTTTTACTTCCTTTACTTTTATATGACAAGAAGTATATGTTTTATATGTTTTACTTCTTCCTTACAATCTGGGTGCATTTTATTTTATTTTCTTGCCTAAGTTCCTTGACTAAAACCTCCAATGCAGTAATAAATAGAGGTGATGAGAATAGCAATATCTGGCTTATTCCTGTTCTTTTTTTTTTTTTTTTTCAGATGGAGTCTTACTCTGTTGCCCAGGTTGGAGTGCAGTGGCGTGATCTTGGCTCACCGCAACCTCCACCTCCTGGGTTCAAATGATCCTCCTGCCTCAGCCTCCCAAGTAGCTGGGATTATAGGCACGCACCATCACGCCCGGCTAATTTTTGTAATTTTAGTAGAGATGGGGTTTTGCCATGTTGGACAGGCTGGTCTTGAACTCCCGACCTCAAGTGATCCGCCCACCCTGGCCTCTCAAAGTGCTGGGATTACAGGTGTGAGCCACCATGCCCAGCCAGGTTGTGTCTTTTTTCTTGGTCAGTCTAGCCAAAAGTTTGCCAATTTTGTTAAATGTTTTCAAAGAACCAATTTTCAGTTTTGGTGTTTTCCTCTATTGTTTTTCTATTTTCTATTTGATTTACCTTTACTCTAATCTTTATTATTCTCTTCCTTCTGCTAGCACTGGGTTTAGTTTGTTCTTTTTCTAGTTCTTTACGTTCTAAATTTAGGCTGCTGATTTGAGATCTTTCTTCTTTTTAATGTAAGCATTTATAGCTATACATTTCCCTCTTAGCACTGCTTTTGCTATGTTCCATAAGTTTTGGTATGTTGTGTTTTCATTTTCATTTCTCTCTAAGTTTTCTGATTTCCCTTGTGATTTCTTCTTTCACCCATTGGTTATTTAAGAGTTTGTTGTTTAAAGCCAGATGTGGTGGCTCAGGCCTGTAATCCCAGCACTTTGGGAGGCCGAGGTGGGCGGACCACCTGAGGTCAGGAGTTAGAGACCAGCTTGGCCAAAAGTGGTGAAACCCTGTTCTGCCTTTTAATTGGAGTGTTTAATACCTTTACATTTAATGTGATTACTGATAAAAGTAGGGTCTATATCTGCTATTTTGCTATTTTTTATTTGTCTAATTAATGTGTTTTGTGTTCCCTTATTTCCCATTACTGCCTTCTTTCATGTTAAATGAGCATTTTGTGGTGTAGTATTTTAATTCCCTTGTTTCTTTTAATACATTCTTTCAAGTTCTTTTCTTAGTAGTTGCCTGAGGTACAATTAACATCTTAATTTATAATGATTGAATCTAGATTAACACCAACTTCATTATAATAGTAACAAAAAATTTGTTTTTACATAGCTCCATCCCCTCTCCACTTTTTTGTTCTGTTATTGTTGTACAAATTGCGTCTTTATACATTTATGCCCATCAATGCAAATTTATAATTATTGCTTTATGCAGTTGTCTTTTTTTTTTTTTTTTTGAGATGGAATCTCACTCTGTCACCCAGGCTGGAGTGCAGTGGCGTGATCTCGGCGATCTCGGCTCACTGCAACCTCTGCCTCCTGGACTCAACCAATTCTCCTGCCTCAGCCTCCCAAGTAGCTGGGATTATAGGCGTGCGCCACCACATCTGGCTAATTTTTGTGTTTTTTAGTAGAGACAGGGTTTCCCCATGTTGGTCAGGCTGGTCTTGAATTCCTAACCTCGTGATATGTCCACCTCGGCCTCCCAAAGTGTTGGGATTACAGGCGTGAGCCACCACGCCCAGCTTACAGTTGTCTTTTAAATCAGATAAAAGAAGGAAAGAGTTATAAACAAAAAAATACACTTACACTTTTATAATTACATATATAGCTACCTCTAACAGTGCTCTTTATTTTTTCAAGTAGATTTGAGTTACCGTCTAGTATCCTTTCGCTTTGGCCTGAAGGACTCCCGTTGGTATTTTTTTGTAGAGCGGATCTACTAGTGTTAAATTGTCAGTTTTTGTTTATTTGGAATGTCTTAATTTTGCCTTCATTTTTGAAGGATAGCTTTGTCAAATATAGGATTCTTGGTTGACAGTCTTTTTCTTTCAGCACTTTGAATGTGTCATCTCTCTGCCTTCTGGCATCCATAGATTCTGACGAGAATTCAGCTATAAATTTTATTGAGGATTCCTTGTACATCTTGAATCTCTTCTCTCTTGCTGCTTTCAAAATTGTCTGTCTTTACTTGGTTTTCAACAGTTTGTAATATTTCTGGGTGTGAATCTCTCTCAGTTTATCCTACTTGGAGTTTAGGTTTTTAAAAATTGTATTTTATTTCTCTCCCCAAATTCCAAATATCAACAAGTCAGGATGACTACTTCTAAGTATATCCTAAATTCTTCCACTTTTTTTCTGTCTCCTCTGCTACTTCCCTAGTCCAAGCCATCATGACCTCTTACCTGGACTAGTACAGTAACCTCCTCACGAGTCTTCTCTATTTCCCTTTACAATGCTCTACAGTTTATTCTCCATCCACCAGGAAGAGTAGTGGGCTTACAATATTAATCACATTATCACACTCCTCTCCTTAAAACCTCCAGGCTTCCCATTTCATTGAGATCTCAACACAGGCTCTTTGTCATCTGATCCTACAATCTCTTCATCCCATCCACTCCTCTCCTCTCCTGTGAATGCAGCCAACCTGGCTATTTCTTCTCTTGAACATCCAAGCTCAGCTCTACCTTAGGGCCTTCACACTTCCTGTTCCCTCTGTCTGTGAGGTTCCACCCAAGATTGGTTCCCTCTCTTCATTTAGGTCCCAGCTTAAAGGTGACCCCAGAAAGTAGTTCCCCAGTGACTCCCTAACACATCACCAGCATTTTTCTTGTTTATATATTTGCCTTCTATCTACACTTCCCACTGAAATTAATCTCCATTTAAAAGGAGAACTTTGCTATGTTGCTCACCATTACATCTCGAGTGCCTGGAATAGTTGCTGACACAAAGTAGGTGCGCCAGATATTTGTTGACAGAATAAATGATAACATCTGTGCTCAAAAGGAAGTCATCTTTTCTTTCTGAGAGCTTCTGTATAAGGAGAGCTGATGTCAAAGCCCCCAGAGGCTGGGCAGGATCTTGGTCTGCCTTTCCTATTGGTGGAGACCTGGTCCCAGCCTGCCTTTGATTTAGCTGCATTTTATTACTTTTCAATTCATTAATCATTGATCATTTGGCTACCGTTTCCATGACAACCCTTAAGCAACCTGAATATTCCATCATCCAGGACAATCTCTACCCCACCCTTCTTGGAGAACCCAGTTTGCTATCAGTATCTTTCCAGCCTTGTACAAAAAATAAGTCTTGAGGCTGGGCGCAGTGGCTCACGCCTGTAATCTCAGCACTTTGGGAGGCCGAGATGGACGGATCACAAGGTCAGGAGATCGAGACCATCCTGGCTAACATGGTGAAACCCCATCTCTACTAAAAATACAAAAAATTAGTTGGGCGTGGTGGCGGGCACCTGTAGTCCCAGCTACTCGGGAGGCTGAGGCAGGAGAATGGCGTGAACCTGGGAGGTGGAGGTTGCAGTGAGCCGAGATCGCACCACTGCACTCCAGCCTGGGCGACAGAGCGAGACTCCGTCTCAAACAAACATACAAAAAGAGTCTTGAGTGGGGGAAACTGAGGCCACAGGTCTCCTTCACATGGGAGGATCAAGGCATAAGGAACTTGCTGGATTGCATAAATGATTCTTGTTTCTGCTTGTATGTCAGGAGGACCAAACTGCCAACAGGAGGACTGGTGTGCGGCTATGATATGGAGAGGTGGTTCTCTCATCTTCAGGTCAGATCAGCAAGGAGCAGTTTGATCCCATGTTGTGGGCTCAAAGCTCTTCCAGTTGCAGGGAGGAAGTTATCTGGCTCAGCAGCGTTTCCAAAGCCCTGATGCAAAGCGATGCTCTTGTGGGAGGCAGTGCCTGGGAAAAAAGTTGGGCTGGCTCAGCACCTGGCATGCATATGAAGTGAGGAAACCCCTCAGCACCTTTCAGGGGGAGATCTGAGTAGCTGGTGTTTCCAGCATGAAGGAGATTCAAAACAAACTGCTCTCCGCCTGGTCTCAGCACTTTTGAGTTTCAAAGGTCCCTGAGCAGGATATCTGGCCTCATTTCATGTTCTACCCAACACCAGTGGTATTTAGTTCTTGCCAAGTTATACTTCACAACATCAAAAATGGACTCCAGGAACCTCTGTGACCTGCCGGTCTTGGTTTTAGAGGTTATGGCTTCCATTTCAGCCTTGGTATCAAGTACATCTGGCATAAGTTGTCAGTTGGCTCCAAGATTAGGCTCTGCTCCGCAATTATAATAGAAATTGACATTGCTACTTGGAAAAGGCCGCAATTATAATAGAAATTGACATTGCTACTTGGAAAAGGGACAAACTAAGTTACATTCTGCAGCTACCAAGACAGAGTAAAACGACAAAAGTGGAAAGAGGTGGTGGTGGTGGGCGGTGGGGGGGATCTAATGCTTGTGAGACCATCAACGCACCAGCCAGGGCCAGGTGAGCACAGAGAGGCGGATCTGGGAGGACACAATGGCACTGGGCCCCTTGGAGTGAGCAGTGGAAGGGACAGAGCCCTCAGAGCCACAGGACGGCTTTGAGCCCAGCTCTATCCTCTATCGGCTGCATGATCCCAAAATAGCTTTAATTGTTGTGTATTCACCTGTAAAATGGGATTAGCTCATTCAGGGAGGATTCAATGAGATGTCTAAAGAACACCTACACAGAGTAGACGCTAAGCAGGTACCACACCTGGAAGGCGGCCGCAGGTCTTCTAGCTAAGCTGGCTCTCCTGGTTGAGAAGACAGGGGTGAGCTGGGGACAAGGAGCCTGGGCAGAGCCTGCCAGGCACCCACAGCCTGAGCCAGGCATTGAAATAGGAAGGATGGACAGCTGGACCACACCCTCCTCTAACCATCCTCAGCGCCCCCAAACCCACCAGAAGCAGGCTGCGGCAAACCAGAGACATCATCCTTCTGCCAGAAGTTGCAAAGCCCTACCCCTTCCCACCTTCAGCCCCAGAACATGAGGAAGACAAACACAGAAGCATCTTTCAGTGCACTTTAATCGAAATTCCATCATCAGAAGAGTTCTCGTAGCATACAATGTCAGGATGGGCATGTCGACTTGGTCCTACAAATGGAATATCCACAGATTTGCACTTCAAACATGTATGAAAAATAAAATATATAATATTTAGCTTTATAAATTTCCCCACTTAGTCACTTTATCTTTAAAATAAATTACTACTCCCGTCCAATACAGTGAGTAGCTTGGAGTCACTCAGACAATCTCTAGCCAAATGATCTCTGTTTTCTTGAGGAGTTCTGTAGGGAAATACTTGATGAAGACAGTCCAGTGCTTACAAGAATCAACATGAATTTAAAACGAGCACACTCTTCACAGTGGGGCGGAACATCAGAAAATGGGAGCCTTCTTCTAATGGCTGTTCTTTTCTGTTGGGAAAAAAAAAAAACAAATCCTCCAAACCACACCGGATGGTTGTAAAAAGCTGCAACGGAACCTTTGGCACCAGATGAGAAGAGAGGCCTTTTAATGCCATAGCTAGTGATGATTCAGTCAAAGCATCAGTCTAAGGAAGGATGATGGGGGAAGGGACCGGAGATCACAGCCCTTCTCCTTTCTGAGCCCCCCTCCCCCCCGATGTCCCCTTTCTGGAGACACAGACAGCCCCTCTGCTTTGGGGAAGGCGGGGCTTTGTCTGGGCAGGCTGGGCGTTCTTCAGACGGGAAGATTCACAATGTATAGAACACAAAGGGAGAGGCCCTTTTGCAGATCGGGGGGTAGCCGCTTGCTGCGAGCTTAGTCACCAGCGGGGATGCACTCAATGCACAAGGGACATGGCCACTCCAGCGGGACGGCTGCACAGCCATGAAAGGGGACAGACAGAAGGGGTGCACGGGACACCAAGGAACTGGAAGGCGGCAGGACTCAGGCTGCGATAGCATTTACAGGGGCTCTGAAGAGGGGCTGCTGGACCTGCCTCCACTTGCAGCAGGAAGGCAGATATCCACCCACTTGGGGCAGGTGTCTTGGGGGCATCTTCCCAGGGGACCCTGGCACTACTTCAAACAGCAACAGAATATTGGTAGGGAACAAACAAGCCAGTGACAGACACTGCCCCAGCCCTGGTCTTAGAGATTCCTGGGGAATGAGCTCTGGGAACCCTGAGCCCAGACTGACAAGAGTTTAAGTGGGGCAGTCTATGGCCCTGAACTTCCATGGCAACAGCCTGATCCCGGCCTCCTGGACAGAGGAGAAGGCGGCTACAAGTCAAGGAGACGCTCCTCACACGTCTCCACGGGCCACTTGGAGGCCCCTCCGAACACATCGACGTTATTGTCCACCCACGGGATGATGTTGCCCGGCATGTTTGTGGAGCAGTTGGCGATGTTGACAATTTCTTGTGCGCGAAGGACGCGGTCCCATATGTTGAACTGGCTGAGCTCCCCGACAAATGCCTGAGTGGCATCAAACCTACCCCCCACGGTGTCCTGGGGAATGGGAACAAGAGAGCTGCGTCAGGGCTGGTTCACAAGTCCCCCTGCACACGGGCTGCAGACAGGAGATTTGGGCATTTCTCTGATGCCCCCCAGCTCTGACCAACACTACCTGTTTCTGTAGGTTCTGAAGCTCCCAGGCATGTCAGAACTGGGAGGTGGCATCGCTCAAATCTCCCCATTTTATACAGGGGAAACTGAGGCTGGTAAGGGAAGACACTGCTCAAAGTCCCAAAGCCAGGATCAGAGCCAGGTCTCATGACTCCCAGCCCCTCCCAGCGGAGATGTAGCAGGGGAAATTGAGGGAGGAGTGGGCCAAGAAGGAACCAGACTCAAAGCCCCCCAGTGCACCTGGAGTCTACGCCCCACTGTCCATCATCAAAAACCCAAATACAGACTGGAATGCCAACACTTATCTGTCCTAGACCAGACAGCCAACTTAGCCATTCCCTCCCCTAGATGGTAAGTTTCTTGAGGGCACTTTGAGGTGCCACCCTTTCATCCCTGTCTCCCCCACAGGCTGAGCACCCACTATGGATTACCTAAGTGCCCCTTGCTGGGTATCAGGGTTAAGACCCTGAGCAGGGGGCTCCTGGAAGACACCAGCCCCACAATCCTGAGTTGGTACCATGAGCATCCCAGGAGGGTCCCTCACACAGCCTCCTCCCAGATGGAAGCTGGAGCCTGTGTCACGAGATGACCCATGACCACAGGGACACTCACACCCCTCTGTGCCAGGTTCTATTTGGAATCTGTTTGAACCACACACCCACCTGGTCCCTGCCATGCAGGCCGTGACCCCACGCCCAACCTCTAACCACAGGACAGCAAGGGCCAGGCTGCGGGGGTTCTCACTCCCCCGACCTGGCTGTCAGGACACTGTGGCCAGGTCTGAGGGGCCAACAGCTGGGGCCGGGAGCAGGAACAGCTGCAGGCCTGGCCTCGTGCTGCTCAGTTGGCCCCTCCTCGCACCATCCCTGAAAGGGCGCACGGCCACCCTGTGCCCATCCTGCACCCACCCTGTGCCCACCTGCACCTGCCCTGCACCCACCTGCTCTTGTCCAAGGATCAGCACGCCCCCGGGCTTGATGGGGTGCCAGGGGGCCAGGTTCTCCCCAGTGCCCAGCTTCTCTCCGTCCTGGAATGCCTCCCACATGCCATCCCGTGTCGTCCAGGTGACACAGATGTGGTGCCACTTGCCGTCACTGACAAACAGGGGCAGCTGCGCAACCTGTGAGCAGCAATGTGCAGGTAAGGACCTGCTGGGCCCACGCCCTCAGGGTCCCCCAGGGCAGGAAGCAGGAAGGACACCCCACAGTCCCCCTGGGCCACACTGCTCCTCCTGTCACCGGGGTCATGCGTGGAGAACATGCAAGGGGGCAGCCTTGGTGGAAACCCTGACCCCAGAGCAGCCCTCACATTAATGGGACACCCTTGGTGCCTGGCGTGGCTGAGGACCGAACAGATGTGAGGGTCAACACCCCCACGCTGGCCCTGAGCTCTCCATGCCAGAGAAACTCGGGAAGTCAGCGTTCCATGGGGCCAGTCTCCTTGGAAAACAGACGAGAGATCCTCATTCCTCATGCCAAGTCCCAAACCTCCATGATGGCACGCAGGGATCTGTGTGCTGCGGGTGTGCCCCGTCCTCCCTGCGCAGCGGCACGTGTGTGAGTATCTGTGTGAGCAGGGAACTCACGGACAGCGTGAGGAACTGGGGGGAGGACGCTGCCACTGGCCGGGTCCCTGGCGGTCCTGCAAGCACTTTCTATGCAGGCTCGCCTATGAACCACCGCGTTGTTGCTGCTGGTCTCCTAGCAACCCGAAGCCTCCCTCCCAGGAATTCGATGTTTACAAGCCGTCCAAACCCAGAGGACAACAAGGCTCTTAGCCCCACTGTGTCATAGGGTGTTATTTAGAACAATTATTTAACCCCTGGCTCAGGCAAGGGGGTCTATCTAGGAGGAGCCCAGCAGGCTGATGCCACAGCGTTTTTTAAACCTCGACAGACTCCACCCAGGGCAGTTCAGTGAGGACAAACAGAGTGAGGGGCTGAACTGCCCCCGCCTCCACCAGGGGTGGCCCGGGTGGCAGGGAGTTTGCGTAGCCACTCAAATGCCCAAATCCGGACAGGTTCTGAGAATGTTCTTTTTGTTATATGGAGTCTGCCATTAGAATGAAAGTTTGGAAGCAGGGCTGTGAGAGGTCCCCAGGAGGCCCAAAGTGGCCTTTTTTTTTTTTTTTTTTTTTTTGAGACAGGGTATCGCTCTGTCACCCAGGCTGGAGTACAGTGGTGCGATCATAGTTCATTGCAGCCTCGACATCCTGGGCTCAAAGCCATCTTCCTGCCTCAGCCTCCCGAGTAGCTGGAACTACAGGTGCACACCACCACACCTAGCTAACTTTCTAATTTTTTGTAGAGAAGGGGTCTTGCTATGTTGCCCAGGCTGCTCTTGAACTCCTGGGCTCAAGCAATCCTCCTGCCTCGGCCTCCCAACACACTGGGATTACAGGCATGAGCTACCATGCCCAGCCCTTGAGAAGACCACTCCTGAATGCCAAAACCAAGCAGTCTATTAAGAAGGGGCATTTGCTCTGGAAAAGGCAAGACCATGGGTATACATAACAGGTCAGCAATGGCCATGGGCTGGGGCTGGGATCAGAGTTAACTATGAAGGGGTATGAGGGGGTTTTGGGGGGTGATGGAACTGTTTTATATTTTTTCATCGTGGTGGTGGTTACACAACTGTGTGCATTTGTTAAAACTTCCTGAATTGTACATTAAAATGGGTACACTTTGCTGTATGTAAATTATATCTCTAGAAACCTGACCCCCACCAAAATATGCTTGTGGGGAGTCTCTTACACTGAGACACACACACCCCCTTAATCAGTGTGGCCCTGGGGAACAGCCCTCACTGACCGGCCTGAGGTCCTCTCTCAATCCAGGCTGCACACGGAGATCTGTTCCTTCTGCCCTTCCATGGCCTAGGTGCCTGGACCTTCTGCAGCTTGGTGGTTGGACTCACAGCTCGGCCCCTCCCCACCCCGCCCCTGTGAGCCGCCCGGCGTGTGCAAAGCTATCCCCACCTCGAGGAGGACAGCCCCGCAGTCCCATGTCTGGGACACTGCTGTGTGGCCCGAGGAGGGCGAGGACGGCTGGGGTGGGGGCTGTGGCTCCCTCCACCACATGATGGGTTCTGGGGAGGGTGGCGGTGCAGGCGGGCCTCACCTTGTCGTTGATGAGCAGCTCGATGGGGTTGTTGCCCCACTCGATCAGCACGATCTCGTTGGCCTGCCCTGGCACCGCATAGGAGAAGGGGGTGCCAATGCCTGGTGAGGCGCTGGACCGCAGCCACAGGCAGATGGTGAAGGCGTACAGCTCAGGCAGCGTCTTCTTGATCTTGCCGTATAGGTAGTTTGTGCGGAGTGGGAGGGACACCTTGAACGCATCTGGTGACTTAAAGGCGCTATTGCCTGGGGGTTGGGAGGAAGAGAGGCCAGGAGTGCGTTAGGCCACCCCACCACCCACCAGCACGGCCCAGAGCCACATCTTGCTAGACCCACAAGAAGGTCCCTCACACAGCCTTGATGGACCCTCCAGCAAGCGACCAAAGACCGCTCCACACCAGCCACTGATAAAAGGCTGAAGTCTGGCAGGATTCAGGACACAAGATGGAGTCCTTGTCCTTAGGGAGCTTACATTCAGGCAGGGAAGGTGACATGAAACCAGCAGCAGGTACGCGAGGGAAGTCCAGGCAGTGGCTCCTGCTAAGACGGGGAGTGGCCGGGGGAGGGAAGGCAGAGGATGCAGGGAAGGCCTGGAAAGACCTGCAGAAGAGAACCCCAGACACAGGTGACAGCAAGTACAGGGCCCCAAGGACGCCCAGAAAAGGAAAGAAAAGGAAGATTTTGTGGGCACTGCATGGGGCACGTTAGAGAATTTAGCTCCATCTTTTAGGACAGGAAAAGAGGCCTCTTGAAATCTAGAAGAAAAAAAGCTCTTGGATGGGTGCAGTGGCTCACACCTATAATACCAGCATTTTGGGAGGCCGAGGCAGGAGGATTGCTTGAGGCCAAGAGTTCGAGACCAGCCTGTGCAACATAGCAAGACCCTGTCTCTACAAAAAATTTAAAAAATTAGCCAAGTGCAGTGGCTCATGCCTGTAATCCCAGTGCTTTGGGAGGCTGAGGTGGGAAGACTGCTTGAGCCCAGGAGTTCAAGAACAGCCTGGGCAATACAGCAAGACTTCATCTCTACAAAAAATATAAAAATTAGCTGGGTAGGGTGGCACACACCTGTGGTTCCACCTACTCAGGAGGCTGAGGTGGATCGCTTGAGCCTAGGAGGTCCAGGCTGCAGTGAGCTATGATTGCATCACTGCACTCCCACCTGGGTGACAGAGGCTCTGTCTGGTTCCTTCTAGTTAATACTCTCTTTTCATAAGTCATATTAGGTGACTAGAAAGCTTGAGGAAGGAGCAGAAGAAAGGTAGATTTAATTTTCTTGTGTTAAGCCAGAAACTGCGTCCTTAGCCACATCTTATAACTTCAGATATTTCCTTGAAATCTTCGCAGGATCTAGGAACCCTGGAGACTTGGGCTTAGAAGAAGGAAGTCTTACAGGGACCCAGGCACCCAATAAACACTTGTCAAGTGAATGAGTCTGTGTCACTCCTCACATGAAAGAATTACCACTGCCGAGGTGAAGCAGTCAGGCTCCCGGGTCTTGACTCCATAACTTAACTCAAAAGTGGCTTTTTGGTCTAAATCCCTGACAAAAAGCACTTTGCTCTTTTCCTCCTCAAGAGAAGACTGAGTTTATTGATCATTTCCTGTAGTCTGGAGCCAGTGGGAGGCAGGGCAACCGCAGGTGTCTCTCCTCATTTAGGGGAACACACCTGGTCACAGCCTTGGCCCTTCCAGACCTTCCTGGAATTGGTGAGAATCCACCCGCCACCCCTATGTCATTGGCACTTCTAAAATCCTTGAAAACAAACTCTAGAATGGGTTTACAATATTTCCAAGGCAGCCTTGGTTGAAGTTCAAAATTAAGTAAACCACAGCGGCAGCCCTTGTCCAGGCATCGTGGATTCCAAAGTTTGCAGGACACCATTTGATTGTGCCAGCTGTCATGGCAAAGGCGGCCCTCTTATTTGAGAACCAGACCCTGCCGTTGAAGGAATCTAAACGCCCTTCACTCATTCAACAAGTGTCGGTTAAGCATCCACAAGGGCTCAGACAGTCTCCGAGGCCATCAGAGACAGGCGGGCTCTCTGGAGCCAGAACTGCCTGTGTCACTGTGGAGTTAAATCAGTCCCTACTGCACAACATGAGCCAGAATAGATAAACCTTTCTCCACCACAATCCCCCAAACTCATTGTCCCTCAGAGTGAATAATACACACGAAAGGCTCTTGGGGGCCGCAGTTCACATCTATCTAAGGAGGGTTTCTGCAAAGGGGCACAGAAGAACCCCCTATCCCCTTTCTAACCTCTCTGGAACAGGCAGTGTGTACATTCTAGAATCTGGGCTTCACGTGTTGCATGTACTCATATCTGCCAATGGTGGCCTCCCGATTGCTCCTGACCTCCTAAGGATGGGCACCTCTCGATGCCACTGCAGAGCTGCTGGGCACCTGGCGAGGGCTGGGAAGACCTGCTCCCCGAAGAAGTCAAGGGGCCAGGCCAGAGTGAAGGCTGGGACTAGTCTCTCATTAGGCTGAAAAGCAAAACTGAGAGAGAGAACCAGAGTGTCCCTACTCCCCCATTTTTGCAGGTTGCACAGTTGAGGCTCGGAGGCTCAGCGAAGTGAGGTGACGTATCCAAGGTCACACAGCTAGTGAATGACAGGCCAGGGGCCGGAAGTCCCTCTTTCCACGACACTTAGCCACTCACACTTAATCTTCAAGTGGCAAATGACCATGTCCTTAATGAAGGCATCATTGTCTAATAAAGAGAAATGGCTGCTATACTTGCGGGAGGGCAGCCTTGCCAATCTGATACGACTCCGTGTGGGTAATATTGTTAGCTTGGTGACAACAGATAGGTTTAATTAGAGCTGGAAGAGCCGAGGGGCAGAGGAGGGGGCCTGTACCCTGAGAGCCAGTGTCTTTTATTTAAATAAAACAGCTTGGCGGTTTGGAGGAAACTTGGTTAAAACCAATTAAGGAATTAAAAGGCCTGACCAATAAATCAGACACTGCAGGTGGCGGAGAGGCTCAGCAGGGGGTGGGCAGCCTGGGGCTGGAAGAGAGGCAGCTTTGGTTTTCTCAGCAGCAACATTTATTTCAACACTGAGCTGGGCAGTGCCTGGACAGCTGGCCTGGACTCTGGAGGCCCTTGCAGAGGAACAGGTCTTGCAGCAAAGAAAAGCAAGCAACCCTGGGCCCCGGGTGGCAGGGGCATCCATATGCCAGGGGTCAGGCGCTTGCTGGGGGCTCCAAGGAGCCTCCGACGCAGCAGGGCTGGGGCCCACACACCGCTCCAGGCTGCAGCCTCCATCACTCCTCTGGGGCCCCACCAACTTCACTCCCAGCTCTGCAATCTGCTGGCAATGTGAATGCAGGCATCACTTTAGTTCTCTGACTTGAGTCCCTCGTCTGAACTAATCCCTACCTTGCAAGGTCATGTCAGGGATTACAGAATGCCAAGTGTGGAACTCACAGCCAAGCATCTGGTCCCTAAGGGGTGGAGGCTGACAGACCAAAGGCCAGAGTTCCCCCACCAAGGCCCCCTGCCTGTAGTGAGGTTAAGGTCTAGCTACTCTGGGTTCAGCTGGATGTGTCTAAGAAACTTGGCATCGTTTCCAATCATAGTACATGTGGAGGGCTGGGCGTTTACTCATCTCTCTACAATTGTCACAAACAGGACACTCAGAATTGCCCAGAAGACAAACTGGTCTGCAAATGATCACTTTCCTTAAAGCACATCCCAGAGCTGAGTTGGTGGAGCTCACAGAAGGATTCTAGAGTTCCCACGGTGGGATGAAGAGAGGCTGGGCTGCCTCTCTGGGGTGCATAAATGGCCAGCAGCGTCTTTGCCCTCGTAGAGGTGAGCTTCCCCTCTGTGCCAGATGAGCTTTGAGGGCTTGCTGGGAAACTAAAGGGTCAGGAGTCAGGCTGGCGGGGTCTGAGTCCTGACTGTTTCTTTCTGGCTGGTAATGGACAGGCTGGGGATGAAAGGGACAGTCACAAAGTGGCAGCTTCTGGGTGGCCAAAGCCATGATGATGGCTTACCTTAGGAGTAAGCCCAGTGAAATGACATTGGCCTTGAGTGAGAGAAAGAGAAGGAGGAGGTGCAGGTTGATGTGACTGTCACTGTTTGCCAGCTAGTGGCCCAGGACCCACTTTGGGCCCCCTCCCCAAAAGATACATGTCCCACTGAGAACGGAGTCTTTTTCTCATCTATGAAACGGGCATACCAGGAGTCTGAGCTCCCGCCTGGCATGACTGAAGCTCTGGCTCACTATTCTGCTATTTACCCACCTCCTCATGGCAACTTGGCCACTGTGCAGAGGGAGGTTTACAGCCACCAAGGTCTCTCATGGAGCCCTCCTCTCGTTCCACAGTTCCCCTTTCGAGAGGCAAACTACCTTTAGTGTGCCAACTCCATAGCCCTGGGTGTCCCGAGGATCCACTGTGGCTCAGGCTGGGTCCACGGAGCCACGCTCACCTGTGCCTAGACGTTCCCTCCTCCTGTCATGGGAGGAGGGCCACAGCAACGGCTGCTTTACCTTCAGGGATGGCTCCTGAGGCCACCCAGCAACAGAGGGGAGACAGAAAGGAAGATTTTTTGGAAACTCAAGAATCTAACAGATCTAACAGGTAAGCCATACTCACCTTTTTCTGAGAAGGGCCAGGAAGAAAGGATAGGTTTTTCTGTAGGAAGAGACTAGGAAAGGGATGAAAGAGACCTGTGGCTTGTGGATGCTGGCTGTAAAATGGAACAGTAACACCAGCCCCTTCTCCATCTGCCCCACCTCGGCCAAAGTCATTGGATGTTCTGCTATTGGGCATCCTCCTATCAATGCATGAAACGGAGTCATGGGGAAGTGGCTTCATCAGCTTAGTGCATCTGGGAAAATTCCAGTCTTATAAACACCCACTACGGGCAAACCTACAACTTCAAACCCAAGCCACCCAGTGGTTTGGGGGTTGATGACGCAATCTGAATTATCCCCTGATCCCTCCCACTCTGTCTCCTGTGGGAGAAACTTACTCACCACAGTGTGAGCAGAGAAGAGAAAGATACACAGAATCCGCTGCCAGGACTAGTTAACAAAGGACTGAAACGCCCGTGTGGTTGCTTATCGAAGCTGGTCCTGGACACTTTCACTTTTCCCTGGATAATGCCAGTGGGGCTGGCAGCTCATTCCTGAGATGACCTTGTTCAGTCGCCTTTATTATTTGCTCACACACTCGGGAACCAGGCCCATGTGGTGTCACAATCCCTGCTGTCCATCAACCAGAATCGCATGTCTGACCACAAGTGGTGAAAATCAGGCCACTGCCAGACAGAGAAACAGGCCAGGCACACACCTCGCTCCAGCTCGGTGACCCTCTGCAGCAGCGCGTTCAGGGTGCTCTCGGTCTTCTGCCGGTGAGCCGAGGTCTCATTGTGCAGCAGGGACTTCTCGTCCTCCAGCTCTGCCACCTTGCGCAGAAGCTGCCTCTCCAGCTCCCCCAGCCGCTGCTGGAGCACCTCGCGGAAGTCGCCGGGCAGCCCAGCATTGGACACGTTTGCTCTGAGCTGGTGCTTTCAGCCACCGGGGAGGAGGGAGGGGCACAGAAAGAGTTAAAAAGAAATTGTGAAATGTGGCTGTGATGGCCCGACCACACAGGGAGAAGCTTCCAAAACGCAAGCCCTGAATCTTGCCACTGGCAGGCAGGGGAGCATCTCACTGATGCTTTTTTGGTATGGAAAAGATTTCAAAGTCAGATAAGAATTACTTTGCTGCAATATTTGAAACTTGTGAATCTAATTTTCCCTTCTCAAAAAGCCGTTTTTCTCCTCTTACTAAAAAGTCAATATTCTAACCAACGCCTAGAATTCTATGTTGGGTAGAGACCAAAACTCAGCTCCAGGATTTTTTTTCTTTTTTAAGAGTAAATCGATGGTTACACAAAGCCAAGGAGCTTTCACCTAGAAATGAAAACAGCCCCCAAGTTCCGGTCTGGCACCAAGGTAAATAACTATGCATGCAGAGATGTTTCTGGAAAATGACAGATCTAAAACGTTGCTATTCTGAACTCCAGCAATCTTTGTTTTTAATGCTGTTTCTAAATCCTCACTTCCTATTTCTCTTTCTCCCCTACCATCATGTGGTTCTGGAGGCTGTGGCAGGCTGCCTACCCATGAGTTCATGGCAAGCTATTTACCTTTCTCCACAAAGTGTTCCAAATTGTGAAATGCACATAATGGGACCTGCCTCATGCCATTCATTGTTCCAAGGATTAAAAAATTAAATGATGTGCCTGACTCATATTTAGTGCTCCAGAAATGTTAGCTGTTAGCAATCACAATGAATCAGGGGATATACAGATGCTGGAAATACTGTATTCAGCCCTCACGCCAAAAGAAACCCTAGAGTCATTTTTGCAATAATTACCACCTGTAATTTAAACCTAGTTTTGCTGAGAAGTATTTTCACAAAGGCTATTAACAGCAGTGTCCACACTTCTTAAAAAGGGTGGAGCCTAAAGATGAAAAATAATTGAAGATTTTTCTCTCAAAGTTCCAAACTGCACGCATTTTCAGAGATAGAGATGAGACGGAGGCGGGAGCGGGGGGCGGGGGGGGGGGACGGAGGGGGAGGGGGGGAGGGGGGGAGAGAGAGAGAGAGAAGGGAATGAGGTCCCTTCCCCTGAAGCAATCCGGAAGAGCACCTTAAAATGGTCCAACTTGCAGACACGGGAGTCTTTGAAGTTAACCAGAGGTTGCCCCTCTAATGCGCGCTCTGGGGTCGCCGGTGACCCCCTGCGCTCGCCTCCCTGCGACCT
Source organism: Homo sapiens (assembly GCF_000001405.40). Lineage (NCBI taxonomy): Eukaryota > Metazoa > Chordata > Mammalia > Primates > Hominidae > Homo > Homo sapiens. The sequence continues at coordinate 98,618,398 of NC_000007.14, read as the reverse complement.
CCGCCCCCAGACTTCCGCCCCCTCTAGCTCAGCCTGACCTGATTTAAAGAAAGAAACACCACATGCCCGGGGCAGCTGACCTCCCGCGGCAGCCTCGCAGCAACCCGCACGGCCTGCGGGAGCGCATCCCGGCTCGCGGAGATTTGGAGATTTGCAAGAGGATAGAGGCTACCGCGTCCCCGGGTATTTGGCGCCCGCGGCTTGGCCGTCTGGGTTCGCTAGCCCGGACCTCGGGAAGTGCTCGGCGGATCCCGCTGGCAGTCCCGACGCGCGGGGGTGGAATTTAAACGTTTCCTTCCAGCAAGAGCAGCGGTGTGGGAAGGGATACCACGCAGGGGAGTTCCCGAGCAGGATCTAGATCCCCGCCTTTCACCCTCAAGTCCAGCTCACCCCCACGGACGATCACACCCTCCCCAGGGCCAGGCCCCCTTTCCCCATCCTCCCGAGTCTTCCGCCCCCGACTCGGGAGCGTCCCCATTCCAGGTCCCCCGCGCTCCCCGCGGGCCGCTACCTCGAGGCTCTCCAGGCGGTCCTTGAGGGTCTGCAGCGAGCGGCTGAGCTGCTCCACGACGTGGCCGGGGTCCCGCGGCAGGTCGCCCATAGTGTCCTTGCCCGTGGCCCCCGCGCCGCGCGCCTTGCCGCCCGCCAGCCCCTCGCAGCGCGCTAGCTTGCCCGTGAGCTCGCGGATGGCCTCGCGCTGCGCGCCCAGCGTCTCCTTCTGCTGCACGACGGTCTCGCGCAGCTGCAGCACCGCGGCCCTCAGCTCCTCCTCGGGACTCTGCGCGCCGCCCTGCATGGGCATCGCGGGCAGCGGGCAGCCGGCGTGCACCGCCTCTGGGGGCAGTGCCGTGCACACGAAGCGGCTACCGGGCGCCGGGCTGTCCTGGGCCCCAGCGGCCACGGCGAGCGCCACGCTGGCGGCCAGCAGCGCCAGCATCCCGCCGCCGCTGCCGCGCTCAGCTCGGCATGGGCGAGCGGGCGCCGTCGGGGCGCTCCGCGGGAGGCGCCTTCGCTGCTGGCAGTAGCCGCGCTGTCGTCTCGAGGGTCGCGTGCACCGCGGGGCAGAAGTCTCCTGCCGTCTCACAGCCGCACCCACCGCGCTGCTCGGCACTCTGGCCTGCCGGGTCCGCGCGCCCTTTCTTAAGCTGAGGGGCGGAGGGGGCCGGCGTGTGGGGCGCGCGCCACGAGCTCTGATTGGCTCGGCCGGGTGCGCGTCACGCAGTGGGCGGAGCGGGGCGGGGCGGGGGCGCTTTCCGTTGCGCGCCTGGCGGCCGGGCGGGAGCGTGGGCCGGAGCCTGAGGCGAGAGCGCGAGGTCCCGGGCTCTGCCTCAGGAAAGGAGGCCTGAGGTGGAAAACGACACTGGGGCTCTCGAGAGCCTCGGCTGGCCGTGCCCAGGCGCCCCTCGAACCCACCCGAGGACGCGGGCGTCACAGGCTGAGGAGAAAGTGGGAACCCCTCGGTGTCCCGGTGCCCCTTTCTCAGGGTGGCTTCTGGCGCGGCACGGGGCCTCGCTGCGCGTTTGCCGCCGCCCTCAGGGAGGCGTTTTCTCCAGCAGGAGCAGCCCCCCAGGCGGGACTCGAACCCCGACTGCCATCGCGAGCCACCCCCGCGGCAGGCGTGGGCCTTCTCGTCAAGGCCCGGCCACCTCACTCTCGAGGCGGGAAGGAGCCGCACGACGGCCGCCTCCGGATGCAACGGTCCCCGGGACGCGCTCCATGGCCCCGCCTCCACCCCCCGCGCCAACTCGGAAAACGCTCGGGAAGAATCCCGGGGGCCTCGGGGACCGGGACCAGGACCAGGCGCCGGACGCTGATGGGAAGGAGGGGACACCCGGAGTTAGGGACAAAGTCACGAGGCCACTCGCAGAGCCCTCGCGCGCGTGTTCATCGACTGCCCCCTGGGCGGTGACCTTATTCAGCAAGACCTGAGCTCAGGGGCGGGGTGACATCTAACTGGAGTCATCATGATGGAGCCACGTGGTCCAACAGTGCCCGGTCCTTGTAACCAGGAGGGCCCGCAGTGTCACCACTTCCTCGAAGTGAGGCCACTGCCCTCAGCTTCTTGGAGACAGCAGATATGAGCAGAAACCCCCAAAAGTCAGGAGCAAATTTGTTTCAGAATCTCTCCAAATCTGTGGCTTAAAACAAGTTCAGAGGGATTTTGGTGCACAGCTACAGACTGAGCTGGTTTACTGCACATTTATAAATGGAAATCTTTATTTCTTTTCCTCTCTATGTTTTTAAGAAATCCTGTTGCAAGGTCATTAATCACGTTATCCATTATACCACAAACAAATGGATTTGTCACTTGTGCGCAGAAGCCGAGGTTGATTCTGAAAGCAAATTGTACCAAAATAAATGAAATTATTATGATAATATAAACTAGACTGCAGTGATTAATCTCTAGAAACCAAATTCTGACCTGCTTTGCACTTCAAACAATAGCTTCTATTATGTAAATAGTTGTGGGGTTTTCAAGGACATTATTGCTAAATTATAAGAAAAGTTCTATTCTTGAAAATCTCTTCGTGGATAAAAATGAGAGACAGGAACCTGGTCTGCAAGGTATCCAAAGCAGAGGACAATGGAAGTAATGATGGTTCAGGTAAGAATATTCATTAGCAGAAAAAGGTATGGATGGGAGATTTGGGGTGAGTAATGGGCTCATGTTTCTGTTAGCCTGCATCCCCAGGAGGTGTCAGTTTCACCTTGTTAAGTATGACCTTGACTGGACTCATTCTTCCTACATCCTTTTTCAGCTGGATGAAAACTCGAAAAAGTTCAAATAAACCTACATATGCACAAATTACAATAATGAAGGCAACAGGGTTGCAAAGCACTTTATGCCTTGTTACATTTCAGATGATTCATAAGGCACCAAATCCAGACGTTTTCAAAATTATTCAGATAACGATGTGACTTTTCCATTTTCACTCATAGCTTTGATGTTCCTCTTTACTTGTAGACCTAGGTGGCCCTTAATTGGATGTGACAATAGAGTATTATCGTTCCTGTATTGTTCCATATATCCTTTCTTGACACACAGACTGATACATTCATATTTGCAACTACTTGAAGTAGAAGCTTGTTCCTTTAATAATTAAACAAAATCAAGTATCTTTCCAGAATTCTAATTTCCTCCTGAACAAAGAAAGCAGTGTACAAGAGTAAAAATAGCATATATCCCAATATAATTACTCCTAAACGTCTTAAAAGAGATTCCAGTATGAGAAGTGATCAGTGAAATTGCCAAAGCTCAAATGGAAAGACCCAGACATTTGAAATGTTATTTTCTTTGGAGGCAGTATAATTAGAGGCTTAGTTAACAGAGTACATGCTATTTACAGTTTTATTTTATCTTCCTGGTGCAATGAAAAGCCTGCTGGCTTAGGAATGAGGGATCTAGTGCTAATTCTAACTCTGTCACTAGCTAAGTGGTTTGGGGCAAGTCATTTCTCCTCTGGACTTCAGTTTTCTTGCATATAAGATAAGGGAGGGGCGGGGGTTGGGCACGGTGGTTCACACCTGTAATCCCAGCACTTTGGGAGCCCGAGGCAGGCAGATCACAAGGTCAAGAGATCGAGACCATCCTGGCCAACATGGTGAAACCCCGTCTCTACTAAAAATACAAAATTTAGCTGGGTGTGGTGGCGCCCGCCTGTAGTCCCAGCTACTTGGGAGGCTGAGGCAGGAGAATCGCTTGAACCCAGGAGGCAGAGGTTGCAGTGAGCCAAGATCATGCCACTGCACTCCAGCCTGGTGACAGAGCGTGACTCCATCTCAAAATAATAATAATAATTTTAAAAAGATAAGGGGATTAGACGCAACTGTCTAAAGGTGCTTTGGCTGTACTCAAGAGCATGATAGTTTGAAAAAGAAGGAATCACTGTTGGTGTGAGGAACGTTTCAGAAACTTGTTTTTTCTGTGTGTGTTATTAACCACCTGTAGCCAAAGGTGAATGTGGAAAGGCAGGGTCGTTTTGTAGTACAGCAGGTAAACCTTCATACACGGAGACGCCGTAGTTGTGGTTAAAACCTGCTTTCGACAACACGAAAGCTCATACTGGGTTTACTCACAGCACAACAACTTTGTCTACCTGAAAGATCCTGCATGTATGACTCATGCTACCCATGAGGATGGTTATGTGAGTGGCAGAGACCAGGGCCCACAGATTTTCCTCCACTTGAAAAGTCGTGCAGATCTGCAGCAGTGAATCAGCTCCACCTAATCTCTTAGTGTAACTGATGCTGCAGCATAGTAACCACCCACTCATTCACTATGTCGGCTGGTCCCAGGTCAGCTGTGAGCCCAGTATGGACTTAAACCGTGTGCTGGGAATCCTGATGAGCTCATTCCGCCTCCATTTTATTGCCCCATCTGTTTGGTTCTCTTGTTCTTCTCACATGCATTTTTATCTTGGTCTTCTGGGAAATGTGCTAATTTCCACCATGGTGTGAGAGGATCCCATCTCATACTTTCTTACATTTCCTTCTCTCTTTCTCAGTGCCACTTGGGAAGTCAAGAATGAGAGTGTGAGCTCTAACAGAATCCAAGGACAGCTTCCTGCAAACATGATTCGGGAACTGTCCTCGGTGCTGAATTTCAATTGGAAGGGGGAAATAGACGTGTGTGTGTGTGTGTGTGTGTGTGTGTGTGTAAAGTTCAGTGCAGATAAAATAGAATTTGGAAGCTCCAGAGGATCCCTACTAACACACATTTATGCTTAAAATGCTAAGACGCTTTCAAGAGTGGATTTTTTTCCCCACTAGATTGAACTGCATGGTAGTGTGGAAAGAGCTTGAGCTTTGGAGTCAGACAGCTTTAGTTTCAGTCCCAGTTTTATGACTTGCCACTTTACCTTGAGAGAATGATTTAACCTCTCCCAGCCTCAGTTTTCTCATCTCTAAAATCAAAGCTAAATTTACTACAAAATATTGTTAGGCTTGAGTGAGATAATGTAAGTGAACATGTTTGGCATATAGCCAGTGCACAATAGATGATAATTGTCCTTTTCTTCCCCTTTTCTCCACTGAATTTAGACCTGTATTATGTAAGTCCCTTTAAAAACAAAGTTGAAAAAAATTCTTCCCTTTCTGCAATATTCTTTAGAGTTAAATAAGGCAAGAATACTTAAGAAAGAACAGGCCAGCCTCCCAAGAGGAAAGACAAGGGATGAAAACTTCAGGAAAATATACTGGTGTCTCAGCAAGATAAAGATATACTACTTTGTGGGTTTTTTTTTTTTTAAAAAAAAGATAAAGCATGGTATTATTGAGCTTTAATCAGAGGATTCAGTCAAAGTGAACTGTTTCACACCTACACTTGGGATATATCACCAGACTATGTGCCTGGACCCAACTAAAAAATTTGTAATATTTAACATCTCAGTGATTCTGAATTTGTGTTGCTACGGGACCCAAATAGATATAAGCCCCTCAGATAAAGCAAAATGTTCTTGCTTCAGTGCATCTGTGTTCTTCTTGAATAACATATTTCTGGCTAAATTTTGGGAGCATGTGAGATGAGACACTGAGTTTCAGGAAGTGGTGTCCCTGTACAAGTATATTATCACATTTAGCTAGAGAGCCGTGATTTAGGGGAATTGGTTGTTCATATTACTCAACTGATTTCAACAAACCAAAAAAGGCTTTTGGTGGCATCCTCTGATTTCAAGCAATAGAACGAGTCACCGGATATACCAGGGATAATGTCTTACCTCAGTTTTTAAAAGTAAGGGATAATAGACTGGGAGTGGGAGGAGGCTGAAGGAAGGAACATCATCAACTTAGTTTGCTTTGAGAAAATCTTCTATGAATGTAGTCTCAATTTCTCTATATTAGGAAACACCAAGAAAGTGCCCCACTTTCACATAACTTACAAGTGGTGAAATTGGCCTATTTCTGATAAAGACATGTGGCTCAATATCTCTGTATGATTCAGGCACACAGGTAGCTTGTATGAATCTTTGAAAGTGAGAGTTTGAAGATATTTTATAGAATTTTGAAGACTAGGAAACAGTTTGAGAAAGGTTAAAATGTCATATGGCAGCTAGATAGGAAGACTAGGTTCTGGTGTTCTACAGCACTGTAGGGTGAGTATAGCTAACAATAGTTTATTATATATTCTCAAATAGCTAGAAGAGAGGATTTTGAATGTACCCAACACAAAGAAATGATAAATGTTTGAGGTGATTGATATGCTAATTACCCTGATTTGATCATTATACATTGTATGCATGCATTGAAATATCACTCTGTGTCCTATAGATATGTACAATTATTACATGTCAATTAAAATTATGTTAAAGTAAAGACTTCCCCTCCCCACAAAATAAGTTCAAAACCATGCTAAAAAGATCATAGGGCTACTTAACAGCAGGGCCATGCTGGAACTCAGGCCCTCTGGTTTCCAGTAAGGGCTCTTTTCTCTGTATCACTCCCTAACATACTCATTAACCTATTAGAATGCTTGGTTTCTTCTTCAATAACTGCTTTCTTAAAAATCAATAATTTGCCATTAATTTCAATGTCCCCTTTTCTGTCATTCTCCTGGAACTCATCAGCATTGAACACTGTTGGCTAAGTCTTTTTTATTAGAATTTTCCAACATTGGTTTCTATGATATTGTATTCTTCTGGTTTTCTTCTTTGATTTCTGAACATTTTTTCCTTTCTTTCTTCTTTTCTGGACCTTCTTTCATTACCTGCCTCCTCAACACACATATTCAAAGTTGAACTGTCCATAGCTCTCTCCTTTCTCTCACTGTACTCTCTACCTTAACAGTTTGAAGTTTTTAAGTTATATTAATGATTCTGTCTTAGTTCATTTTCTGCTTCTATGACAGAATACCACAGGCTCAGTAACTTGTAAATAAAAGAAGTTTATTTGGCTCATAGTTCTGGAGGCTGGCAAGTCCAAGAGCATGGTGCTGGTATCTGGTCCATAGTGGAAAGGTGGAGGGCAGAAGCAAGTGCATATATCTGAGAACTACCAAGGGCTGGGCTTGCTTTTATAACCACCCACTCTAGTGATAATTGACCCACTCCTAAGATGATTGCAATAGTCCATTCATGAGGGCTCCCTCCTCATGACCCAGTTAATCCATACTTGGTCCCACCTCCCAAAACTGTTGCTTTGGGGGTTAAGTTTTTAACACATTAACTTTTTAAATTTTAACTTTAAGTTCTGATATACATGTGCCAGATGTGCAGGTTTGTTACATAGGTAAACGTAATACAGGAATTTTGAGGGACACAAACCGTAGCAGAAACTATCTATACTGAGTTCCAGATTATAATAAACCAACCGCATGTTGGACATCTCAAAGATAAACTACCCATACTTCTAACTCAATATGTCAGGTAAATTTATTGTTCTCTTTATTTTCCCTCTATTCTTCCTCCTGTTTCCTATTTCTTATGTCATTAATGCTTTCCAAGTCATTCAAATTCAAAACTTTGGAGACATCTGTATCTCCTCCACCCCCAATTTTATTCAAATTCTAGTGCATTTCTAAGTCCTAATTCTGCTTGTACAATATGCCAACTCTATTCTCACTGCTACAATCTCATTACTTCTGTTCTAAACTATACAGTTGCCTCTAACTGAACGATTCAGCTCTACAATGTCCATTTCAGCTTGTACATTCTATTGCCAGGTCAGTTTTCCTGAAGTACAGCACTAAAGCATTGATCTGCACTGCTCAGAAACCTTCATTATTTCTCTATGCAAATGTGTAAACTCTTTAGTCTCCATCATTTTTCCCCACACCCACCTATTCATTCCAATTTTTACTATATCCCTTGATCTACCCTCACTCCAAAGTAAACTTATGCTTTTCACAAATGACCCATATTTTTCATCCTCTGGCATTGGGACTCAGGTTGTTTCCCATATCTGGAGACAGATCTGGAATGATCTTTCTTGCATGTCTAGGACCACAAGACCCACTCTCATCCTTCACGGCTCTGCTTACACACTACCCCCTCCACAAAGCTTACCCTGATTTTGCTCAGTTTGAAATGACACAATAACGTTCTTTATTTCTCTTAGTACTTTAAGCCCTGCATTATAATTATCTTTTCTACTGGATTATGAGCTCTTTAATGGCAACATCTAGGTCTGATGTACTTCCTTCTTTCAATAAATATCTCTTGGATGTCATTGTACACAGCCATAATAGCATTGTGGGAAAGAAATGAAGGTTTTGCTCAACATGTAATCAATCCATTCTGCAACTTTGTAAGAACAAAGTTAGAATAGCAGGGGACATTTTCACGGAGGAGTTGGAAATTAAATTAGCCCTTGAAAAGGGTAATGGAGGATATGGTAGATAGGAAGTGCTGGGTATCTGGAAGAGGGGGCAAAAGAAGGGAAAGTTGAAGCCATTGGAGAAAAACAAGATATGTAGTTAATAATCTCTGACTTTCAGCCCTCTGTTCCAAATTGGTTCTCTGTTTCCAAGGATACCTTAGGATAAATTTATCTAATTTCCAGCAGCTATCACTCACCTACCATCGTGAGGAAGGACAGGGCCATTATTTTAGACAGGTGACCAAAACATCTACTTGCAAGAATGAACAAAGTGAGTAGTAACAATGTTCAGTTTTTAATTGAGCAAAGGGAAGTGGGAATTTGAGTCTGAAATGTCTACACATTCCAGACTTCCTGAAATTCTTCCATCTGGATTCCCAGATGGAAGTGTCACAGAAATGGTGGGGAGATGTTTAGCTGGTTTTTTTTTTTTTTTTTCCAGGCTCTATAACACCACTTGGTAGGGGTTAAAGTGAAATTATAGAGGAACAGACCTCTCTCCCAGCACTATTACAGGTTTTGAGATCGAGAAGCAACTAAAATTAGAGGGTCAGAGCCAAGACAAGTTCTCCAATGGTATATTCTCAACAGATTAGGTTCAGTGCAGCTTTGAGCTTTCAGCTAAAATTCTTATTGGCCCTTTCATCTCATTTAATCATTTATTCTCCCTAGAATCCTGATGTTCACACCCGGGATAGCCTTCTCTTAGCTGAATGAAAAGTGCAAAAAGACTGCATATTTGAGACTTCTATCAGAAAGGAATTGTACCATTACCAGCCTCCATCAGGAAAATATGTTCATCTATGTTCCAGATGTCCCATTGCCATCTCCACTCAGCCCTAGACCACAGGAAGTGAATTAAACCCTTCATGTACATTTGCTGCTTTTGTTGCAGAAGTAGCAGCTCATTCCATCCAGATTCTTTCTTCTTTTGCTCTGTGATTCAGTCTAGCTAATGAACAGCCCATCTGGGTTACAGGGGGTAGGAGATATTTCCCTTAAATATAAGCAGCCTAAATAAATCAATTCTCCAACTATGACTTTCTTCTCTCTTCAACAAGAATCAGTTAAGCAACCTTTATTTTACTCCCTAACTCAAATGAATCCCATTTGGATTCATTAGGAAATAGTTTAAAACCCTTAGAATGAAGAAAAAAATCTTCTGTGTAAAGTGATACTGTGTTATGATTGTTTTTAAGTCTAGCTTCCTGAGAACTACATAAGATAGTAAAAGGATTATGAGAACAAAGGCATTGTAATGTATTTGCAGCCTTGAGTCTTTGGGTTTGACAGAGAAGGTCAATTTAATCCAAAAAAAAAAAAAAAAAAGAAACTTATGGCATATGAAAGCAAAAAGAATCTGAGTCAATGTGTGGTATTTTAGGCCAAAGCTTAGACTTCATTCTTTTTATTGTATTTCATATTTTCCTTTGCCATTTTAGCACTAAAAAGAATTCTCTCAACATCCAAGCCCTGTAATAAAATAAATATGCATTAAGTATGCTACTTGAAACTGCAGTGAATGTTTTGATGTTTAACCTTTATCTTTAAACAAATAAGTGGTATCGTGAGTTCTGGTTTGAAAACCACCTAAGCCAGGAAGTATAAAGAATGTATGTGTTTGCTGGTGAGGGGGGAGAGTGCCATTTCCTTTGCATTTGAAATCAACATTAATCCTCAGATTATTATATAATTGCAATTCACAATGCTTCAAATCTTGCTGAAAGTTATGCTGATAGAGTAAACTGGCCAGGAAATATTATCTCCACTGGTAGTGATAAAGGATAAATACTTTGATTTTGTTTAATTCTGTGTCTCCAGCGCTAAAACAGTGCCCGGTATATTGTAAGTGTAGCTTACACATACACAGGTGTGGCACATTGTCAGATTCTGGTGGTATAGTGTCTTAGAGGAAAAGGCTCCTAACTTCCTGATCTACAGGCTTACTTGATGGCCTAATTTCCTTCTGAAAATTGCAGGCAAGACTACTATATTGGAAGTTTAATTTTACATTGGAAATCTCTACATCTGGGAAAAACAACAAAAACAAAAGCCTGCCTTTTGGGGAATTAGACAATGAGGGAATGGCCTTGCCACAGAGAAAGAATGAAAACCTTAACAGGAGATGCTATGAGGAGAAGCCAAAAACAGAGACTATCCCTAAAAAAGACCTTTCCATTGGAATAAGCCTCAGCTATTCTTTTCATATCATTGCAATTAACATTCCTTATGGAACCTCAACCACCACCCAAGCCACACAGACATACACATACACACACACTCTGCAAATGGAATCTTGGGAATACAAAGCAAAAACGTGAGGGCATTCATTTACCTCCCACGTTGCTTATGTGCTGATTGTCATAATTCTAGAGCAATAATATTTGCTTTAAGTACAACACTTGCAGAATCTTTGCACTGGCCTAAATTGAACGGGAGTTATTTCTATGATGCTCCCACCCTTGTGGGCTGATATTGATAACTAGGTGATACAAAGGGCTTTTTGGTCCTCTTAGCACAAATTGAAAGTGACCCCTGTGAAGTTTTGTTGAATCATCAATCATCATTATAAGCATATGCCTTTAGAAGACTATTTTGACAAATCTAAAATAGAAATGGCTTTGTCAAAAGCTAGCACATTGACCCACTCTGTGATCAGTATCTGAGCTGACGGATTGGAAAAGAATGAAATTGAAACTCAATTTCACAACGGGCCTTACTGTTGGAAGAAATGAGAAGCAACCAGGAACATAAGTGGCAGAATGAGGGAGAGGGCCTGCCCAGCACATTTTCACATCTTTTCTAGTACCTATGGAAAGAACAGAAAATATGGTTTAAGAAGTTCTGGTTGTGAAATAAGATCTTGGAGGTCATGTGAAATAGTTTAATGATCTAAAAGCTCAGCTTGAGCCCTATTATATTATGATCACTTTTATTCCAGACAGAACATCCTAATCCTTGGACCCAAGAAATATTGAATAAGGAATTCATTGTGGAAATGGATCCTGTTCTTTAAGTTACTATCCAACCCATTGGATGGCAATAAATTATGTCATGAGATCCCCAGTCAATGGAGCTTCCCCATCTTTAGAAGTTAAGAATTTTTTGCTCTTTGAAAGACATTGTTAAGAGAACACAAAAACAATTAAGCAAAAGACTGGAAAAAATATTTTCGGATTACAGATTTGACCAAGTACTTTTATCCAGAATATATAAAGAACTCTCAAACTCCAGCACAAGAAAACAAACAACACAACTCACAAACGGTAGAAGATTTAAACAGGTGCCTCACCAAAGAGGAGCTACAGGTGGCTAATAAACACATGAAAAGATGTATAACATCATTAGATATTGGAGAAGTGCAAATTCCAGCCATGGGATACCAGTACACACCCACTAGACCGTCTAAAATAATAAACAACTGAACACACCAAGTGTTAGCAAAGATGTGGAGAAACCTAAACGCTCGTCTATTGCTGTAGGAATATAAAATGGTACAACCACTGTGGAAAACAGTTTGGTGCTGGAAAACAGGTTTTAAAAAATTAAACATATGCTAGCATTTCCAGCCATTCTATTCCAATATATTTACCAAAGAGAAACGAAAGCTACCTTTATACAAAGACTTGTATGTGGATGTTGACAGCAGCTTTATTTGGAATAGCCAGGAAGTGGAAACAATCCAAATATTCACCAATATATGTGTGGATAAGTAAATTGTGCTAAATACTCAGAAATGAGATGGAATGAACTATTAATATGTGCAACAACACAGATGAATCTCAAAACAATTATGATTGAGGGAAGGCAGAAAAAGAAGAGTAGTACTCATTATTCCACTTATGTGAAATTCTACAAAATGCAAAACAGATCTATATGTCTATAGGGACAGAAAGCAAATCAGCAAGGGAGGGTGGAGAACTGGAGAGAGTCTGGGAGGAATTACAGATGGCCAAAAGGAAACTTTTAGGAGTGATGAAATCTTAGTCCATTTGTGCTGCTATAAAGGAATGCCTGAGGCTGGGTTATTTATGAAGAAAAGAGGTTTATTTGGCTCATGGTTCTGCAGGCTGTACAGGAAGCACGGCGCCAACATCTACATCTGGTAAGGGCCTCAAGCTTTTTCCACTCGTGGAAGAGGAGCTGGTGAGGGCAGAGATGACATGATGAGAGAGGAGGCAAGGAAGATAGGGTCTTTTATTTTTTCTTTGAGACCAAATCTCACTCTGCTGCCCAGGCTGGAGTGCAGTGGAGCAATCACAGCTCACTGTAGCCTCCAACTCCAACTGGGCTCAAGCAATTCTCCCACCTCAGCCTCCTGAGTAGCTGGGACTAAAGGCGTGAGCCACCATGCCCAGCTAGTTTTTTAAAACATTTTTGTAGAGATTGGGTCTTGCTCTGTAACCCAGCCTGCAATGCAGTGGTATGATCATAACTCACTGCAGCTTCAAACTCTGGGACCGGAGTGATCCTCTGCCAGAGTCTTTTTAGCAGCCAGCTCTTGTGGAAACTAATAGAGTAAGAACTCACTCATTAGCCATTCATGGGGAATCCAACCCCATGACCCAAACACCTCCCATTAGGCCCCACCTCCAACACTGGGGTTCAGATTTCAACATGAGGTTTGTGAAGACAAACATTCAAACTATAGCAGATGTATATAGTCATTATCTTGATTGTAGTGATGGCTTTATGGATTATACATCTGTAAAAATTTACTAAGTTGTATGCTTTAAATATGTGAAGTTTATTTTATGTCAATTATACCTCAATGAAACAATAAAAATAGACAAATAAATAAGCCAGTGATCACAAAAGAAGATATAGAAATGACTAGTAAGTACATGAAAAGGCACTCAACATTATTAGTCATTGGGGAAATGCAAATCAAAACCACTACACACCAATTCAAATGGCTAAAATAAAAAATACTCGTCATTTAGCAAAACTGTTTGGTGGCTTCTTATAAAGTTAAACACACATTTGCCATATGACCCACCAACCTCACTCCTAGGTATCTCCCCAAGAGAAATGAAAACATTTGCTTACACAAAAGCTTGCACACAAATGTTCATAGAAGCATTATTCAGAATAGCCAAGAAGTAGTATGTTCCAAATATCTATCAACTAGTGAATGGATAAACAAAATGCGATACATCCATACCATGGAATACTACACAGTAATAAAAGGAAAGGAACTGCTACGACATGGATGAACATTAAAAACATTACACTAAGTGAAAGAAGCCTACATAACCTGTAATTCTGTTTATAGGAAGTGTCCAGAAAAGACAGATTTATAGACAGAAAGTAGATTAGTAGTTGCCTTGGGCTGGGATGGGAATAGCAATTGATTGCAAATGAGCGCAATGGTCTTCTGGGGGCAATAGGAATGTTCTAAAACTAAATTGTGATGATGGTTACTAAAATTATTTACTAAAAACAATTGAAGTGCACTCTTAACACAGGTGAAATTTATAGTGTGCAAATTATATACTAATAAAACTGTTTAAAAAAAAGGTGATATATCTAGCCTGGGCAACAAAGTAAGACCTCATCTTTAATAAAACTATAAAAATTTAGCCAGGCGTAGTGATGTGCTCCTAGTCGCAGCTACTTGGGAGGCTGAGATGGGAGGATGGCTTGAGCCCAGGAGGTTGAGGCTGCAGGGAGCCATGATTGGGCCACTGCACTCCAGCCCGGGCAACTAAGTAAGACCCTGTCTCAAAAACAAAATTGTTATCACCAGTAGCTGGAATGTAAGGCCCCAAGAACACCTGGTGGGATAACACAGTTATACATAGATATGTGTCCATGTGATGTAACACAAAGAAATGATTGTACAATTGAGATCATGTACATGAGATCACATTTTTGTACATACGAGAATGTGTAGATCTAAATAATGCAAGCTTATGATATAACCATACATATAAGTTAACAGATACACCTGAAAAATTGTAATTGTGCATTTGAGACGACATATACACAATGAGATGACATTTATTTTGTTCTGTTTTGAGACAGGGTCTTGCTCTGTTGTGTGCAGGATGGAGTGCAGTGGTGCTATCACAGCTCACTGTAACCTCAAACTCTTGGGGTCAAGTGATATTCCCACCTCAGCCTCCCAAGCAGCTAGGACTATAGGAGCATGCCACCACACTTAGCTAATATTTTTAATTTTCATAGAGATGGAGTCTTGTTATGTTCCCTAGGCTAGTCTTGAACTCCTGGCCTCAAGGGTTCCTCCCATCTTGGCCTACCAAAGCACTGGGATTACAGGCATGAGCCACTGCACCTGAACATGAGCTGACATTTGTAATGGCCTGGCATGGAGATGTAGTATAATTTTAGTAGAAGAAAGATCAATAATACATTTTCATCTATTAAGCATTAATTTATTTCCTCCCTTCTGACCATAGAGTCCTGGCTTATGACATGAGTAACCTATTTTCTGCTGTGAACCATCTTGTCTTATTACTCACTTTGACCTCAATAAAAAAAACGTAATCGTTAAGCCTTCTGTGGCTCTCAGACTCATAAACTCGTAGTCCAAGGCCTTGTTTATGCAGCACTGCATTTATTCTGGGACATTTCAGGTGAAGCCAAGAAGATTTCTTTCTGAAACAAGATACTTTCAATAAAACTGCAAAGAAGAAAACCACCACCTCTTAAAGAAGTACATTGGGTAAAGATATAGAAATTTTAAATGTGTATATTCTTTACTTTCTGCAAGAGGCCAAGGCCAGGGCTGGAGCTGAGTTAGTAAAAATCCGCAAGGAAGAACAGATGAGCAATTTTCAACAATTCATTTGGACTTTGACTGCTTTTTTTTCAAGGTTAAGTAAAACTGATCCTTAGAGAACCTTCCTGACATAATATAGAATAAACCAGCTACATAAACCTGTAAAAGTAATACAAGTCTTTTACAACACTCATTCTCCCTCCCTCCCTCCTTTCTTTCCTACCTTCCTTCCTCCTCCTCCTCCTCTCTCTCCCTGTCTCTCTCTCTCTCTCACACACACACACACACACACTCTCTCTCTCTCTCTCCCTCTCTTCCCTCTCACCCACCCTCAATACAGTAAATCTGTGAAAGAATCCTCCTGGGTGATATTTCCTCATCTGTAAAATGAAGACTTGCATGATCTCTAAGGCCCATGAGAGAGCATCTGCTTCAAAATGCTATGAGATATACTGCTCGGTTGATCACTGTGGTTCTAGCAAAGCCAAAACTAGGCTATATTTTAAGACTCAGACTAAAAACTTGCATGGTATTGTGCTATGCAATGTCAGAACGTTGAATAATTTTTAAAAATCTAGTAAAGCAATCTGTTTGTAAGGTCTGGGCGACACCAGGGTGCTGATGTCTTAGTCCATTTTCTGTTGCATATAGCAGAATACCTGAAACTGGGTAATTTATAAATAAAAGGAATTTATTTCTTATAGTCCTAGAAGCTGAGGAAGTCCAGGGTTGAGGGACTGCATCTGGTGAGGGCCTCCTTGCTGATGGGGACTCTCTGCAGAGTGCCTGGATGGTGCAGGGCATCACGTGGGGAGGGGGCTGAACGTGCTAGCTCAGATCTTTCTTCCTCTCCTTCATAAATTACGGCCACCAGTCTCACTCCCATGTCAATCCATTAATCCATTAATCCATGAATGGGTTAATCCATCCATGAGGACAGAGCCCTCATGATCTAATCACCTCTTAAAGACCCCACTTCTCAACACTGGTGCATCGGAGATTGCATTTCAACATGAGTTTTGGAGGGGACAAATGCTCAAACCATAGCGACTGGTTTAACTGACTTTTAAACATTGATCAAAATTCCATTCATATCAATGAACATCAACCCTGCCCGGACATTAGAATCACCCAGGGATTTAACCAGTCTGAGGTTGGGGCAATGAGGTGTTTTGCTGTCTTTGGTGCTATGATTGTTGACTAGTTCAGGCTATGCGGTCAGGCTTCAGAACTCCTAATTTATACTGTACCAGTATCAAGATGTAAACAGGCTGAAGTCCAAGCTTCACATACTTGAATATTTGGATTTAGCTGGTTCGGGGTAGGTCCAGCCTAAATCTGAGACAACATCAGGGAATTAGAAATTTTTCTTCCCTGAACCCCCAGGTCTGCCAACCCCTGGGTGGGGTCACTATGTGAATTTTTTTTAAATGGCCACTTTTTGCAAAGCAAATATATTTTCAATATGTTTAATTACACAAGCAGTACTTACTCTTCATAGTAATTTGAATAATTAAGTGCTAAATAGATTTTAAAATAATAGTCCCTTCCCCGTTTCTACTCTAACACAACTTCCTGGAGGCCTGAGATAAGTCACCTTAACAGTCAGGAGTATATATATCCTTCCATTCTGTGTATTAAAATACATGCACAAACATATACAAATATATAAACTCATATATCATGGTTTTGTAATTTTCTCTTTGTGATCTACGGAAAACAGATATTTCTGTATTAATTTTTTTCTGCAGTGTTCTTTATTCACTCAATCTGTATCATGAGACTTCGGGAAAACCTGGTGGATTAAATACCCTCCTGCAACCTCACTGAAAGTGGCAGAAAAGGGATTAAAATGGATATGAGCTGCAAGGATAAAGAGAACTGCAAAGGAGAAGAGAACAATAACACCTTAGAACAATAAAATCTCAGAACTGGAAAGCAAATGGACGAGCTGAAATTGTCTTAGGAGATGAGAGAAATAAAAACTGGACATTGAAGAGAGGCCCCAGTCCACTTCCACTGCTTTTTTTTTTTTTTTTTGAGACGGAGTCTCACTCTGTCACCCAGGCTGGAGTGCAGTGGCGCGATCTCGGCTCACTGCAGCCTTCACCCTCCAGGTTCAAGCGATTCTCCTACCTCAGCCTCCCAAGTAGCTGGGATTACAGGCACCTGTCACCATGCCCGACTAATTTTTGTGTTTTTAGTAGAGACAGGGTTTCACCATCTTGGCCAGGCTGGTCTCGAACTCCTCACCTCGTGATCCACCCACCTCGGCCTCCCAAAGCGCTGGGATTACAGACTTAGGCCACCGTGCCCAGCCTTTTTTTTTTTTCCTTAAGACAAGGTCTTGCTCTGTCACCCAGGAGTGCAGTGGTGCAATCTCGGTTCACTGCCACCTCCGCCTCCTGGATTCAAGCGATTCTCATGCCTCAGCCTCCCTAGTAGCTGGGATTACAGGCATGCGCCACTATACCTGGCTAATTTTTGTATTTTTAGTAGAGATGGGGTTTCGCTATGTTGGCCAGGCTGGTCTCGAACTCCTGACCTCAAGTAATCCACCCGCCTCAGCCTCCCAAAGTGCTGGGATTACAGACATGAGCCACTGTGCCCGGCCCACTGCTTTCTAATACAAAATCTCAGATGGAGGCACTGGGGACCCAGACACTTCTCACAGTGGGTGTGGAGGTCAGGCTGAACACTGGAAGACCAGCTGAGACACTGCAGGAGAAGCGCTTGGATCCTCAAATGCCATTCCCCAGTTTGAACTGAATGTCTGTGCTCCCTCCCCAGTAGAAGACTAGAGGAGTAGTTCTCAAAGGTGAGCCAGTAGCCCAATGCCTGGAAGGCTTGTCCAGGGGCAGATGGCTGAGCCCCACCTTTCAGAGCTTCCGAGGCAGCAGATCCAAGGCAGGCCCCAAGAGCTTGCATTTCTAGCAAATTTCTAGGCACTGTTGATGCTAGTGCTGATTACACTAGATATTTACACTCCGATTCCAGGCACAGGCACACAAGGCACAGTTAAGTGTGCTTCTTTTTCTGGTTTTGTGTTTTTGAAATTTATTTTAGAGACAGGGTCTTGCTCTGTTTCCCAGGCTGGAGTGCAGAGGCACAATCATAGCTACCTGCAGCCTCTGACTCCTGGCCTCAAGTTATCCTTCCAGCTCAGCCTCCCAAGTAGCTGGGACTATAGGCACGCACCACCATGCCTGGCTAATTTTTAAAATTTTTGTAGAATGAGGTATTGCTATATTGCCCAGGATGTTCTCAAACTCCTGGCCTCAAGTGATCCTCCCGTATCGGCCTCCCAAAGTGTTGGTATTACGGGCATGAGCCATCGTGCCTGAACAAGTGTGCAACTTCTATACAGAGAGCACGAATAGCATGAGCATCTACTTACCTATTTTTTTTTTCTTTTTCTAGAGATGGAGTCTCACTATATTGCCTGTACTGGTCTCAAACTCTTGGCCTCAAGCAATCCTCCCGCCTCAGCCTCCCTAACTGCTGGGATTACAGGCATGAGCCCCTGCACCCAACCCCAGCATTTCCATACCTATGTACTGATTAAAGAGACCCTCAGCCACTTCCCCCAGTAGGGTCATAGAACCTTAGACACCTACCCATAAGGTGGGAGATTGAAAGATTCTCTTCCAAGGAATCTGATAAGCCTAAAGAAAAAAAGCATGTCCTGTGTATTGGTAGTTGAGGTCCCTCCCAGTGAAGGGGGCCAGTACCCCAGCTGAGCTTCTTCCCCCTGGACAATGGAACCATCTGGGAAGCTTTTAAATATATGAATGTCAGGGATCCAGCCAATTCAACCACATGCTCCAGGGGCAGGGCCCTGGCATTTGTGTTGGTTTTAAAGCCTCCTTGGTGATAAAAGCATGCTGCCAGGGCGGGCTTGGAACCACTCCTTTGTGGGAAAGATCACCAGCCAATAAGTCACAGCCACATAGACCGGAGGACTTCTGAGTGCTTCATTCCCAAGCATGAGTCTATAGTCAAATATCACCTCATATTGAGGAAGCTCTACTGTGAAAGTCAGAGACCAAAATAAACAGAAGAAAGGAAGAGCTTAAAGGAAACAATGCAAGGAGCAGAAGAAACCTTCAAGTGAGATCTTCAGAGATTTTCTTTAAAAAAAGGATAGTACATCTATGAAGCAAGAACAGGCAATTACAAAAGGACATTCAGAGAACAAGAAAACAAGTTAAACATTTTGTAACAAATAAAATCTTCAATGGAAGTTTTGGAAGCTAAGTTGTGGAACTCTCCCTTATTTATTTATTTATTTATTTATTTATTTATTTATTTATTTATTATTTTTTTGTTTTAAATAGAGACAGGGTTTCGCCGTGTTGCCCAGGCTGGTCTCAAACTCCTGGGCTTAAGCGATCCTCCCACCTCAGCCTCCCACAGTGTTAGGATTACAGGCATGAGCCACCGTGCCCAGCCAGAGGTCTCCTTTCAAGCAGAACAGACAAAGGGAGAGAGATGGAAATTGGAGAGCAGGTAAGAAAATTAAAACATCACTTGGGGGATCCAATACCTGAATAACAGCTATTCTAGACAGAGAACAATGAAAATGGAGGGGGTGGTTATTAAAGTAATAATTCTTAAGAATTATTCCCCAAGTCATTTGGTAGTGACTTAGGGCTGGTGATGGGGAGATTGAGAAATTATTGCAAATGGGTAGAAGGTTTGTTCTGGTGATGATGGAGATACTTTTATGATGGTTGCACAACTCTGTAAATATACTGAAAACCATTGAATTGTACACTTTACATGGGTGAATTTTATAGTATATAGGTTATATCTCAATAAAGCTATTTTATAAATGTCCCCAGAGATAAAGGGCATAGGGACTTAGATTGAGGGGGGCCACCAAAGGCCCCATGCAAAATAGACCTTCAGTAAGGCACGTAATAATGTAATTTCAGGATACTAGAGGCAAAGAGAAGTCCCCAAAGCAAAACTTCCAAGACAGTAAAAATTCACATAGGAAGGATCAGGGATTAGAATGGCATCAAGTGTCTCAGCAGCAGCACTGAACTCTACAGGGCAGGGGAGTGATGCCTTCAGAATTCTAACAAAAATCTAAAACTAGAACCACCATAGAATCCAGTAATCCCACTACTGGGTATTTATCCAAAGGAAAAGAAATCAGTATATCGGAGGGATACCTGCATTTAAATGTTGATTGCAGCACTGTTCACAACAGCAAAGATATGGAACCAACCTAAGTGTCCATCAACGGATGAAAGGATAAAGAAAATATGGTATACCTGTCTCCACACACAAAAAAATTAAAAATTATCCAGGTGTGGTGGTGCATACCTCTAGTCTCAACTACACTAGGGAGGCTGAGGCAGGAGGATCTCTTGAGCCCAGGAGCTGGAGGCTGCAGTGAGCTATAATCATGCCACTGCACTCCAGCCTGAGCAACAGAGTAAGACCCTGTCTCTAACAAATAAAAAATAAGAAAGGAATTCAGGCTTTAGATCAAACAAACCTGTGTTCACTACTAATCTTATAATTTGAGCTGATGATCTAAAAACAGATTTAATTTCCTTTTCCATAAGATGGCACTAATCATATCTTTTCATAGGGTCGTTATATTAGATGACATACTACTTATTTGTTAAGTGATGATTGTGGGACTTGGTACACAGCAGCACTCACTATTATTATTAGTGTCACGATAAAAATGAAGACGTCTAATAAAGTGATGAAGATGATACATTTGGTGATTCATAAATATCAGACTTGTACATGCTCAAAGTTCAGTTTTCCCTTTATCATACCAATACTGTGTCCACACACAAAAACCCTATTTCTTATTTTTCTTTCATCCATGCTGAGATGGATTTTTCATTCTACTCACGTTCTTTTGGGAAAAGGCCTAATAGCTTATATCTCTATCTGTAGCTATTTCTGAAATGCAGCTTCAAGGTTTGAAAGACTTCTCTCTTATCAGCTTCTCATTGTTAAACATCATACTTATGGCATCTGGAAAAAATTCAAGTTTGGTTTATAGATGTGACTTGTCTACACCAGGCATATATATTCATTCAGAGAGGGGCAGAGAGGTAGCGTGGATTCAGAAGAGGATTCTAGGCATTCATAGCAATTCATGCTTTTAGAGTTTGTCCTTGTCTAAGTTGCAATACTGAAAGTGTCCCCAGCAAAATAACTGGTTAATGTTGTGGAAGCAATTTAGGTACAAATGTGTGTGATCAAAAGTTAGCAAAAATGCCAGGTGCGGTGGCTCATGCCTGTAATCCCAGCACTTTGGGAGGCCGAGGCGGGCAGATCGCTTGAACCCAGGAGTTCGAGGCCAGCCTGGCCAACATGGCGAAACCTCATCTCTACTAAAAACACAAAAATTAGCCAGTCGCGGTGGCGCAGGCTTGTAGTCCCAGCTACTCAGGAGGCTGAGGCAAGAAGAATTGCTTGAACCTGGGAGGTGGAGGTTGCAGTGAGTCGAGATTGCGCCACTGCACTCCAGCCTGGGCAACAGAGTGAGACTCTGTCTCCAAAAAAAAAAAAAAAAAAAAAAAGAGGTAGCAAAAAACACCCCAAGTAAAAGTGAGTGGGCTAGGTGCGGTGGCTCATGCCTGTAATCCCAGCACTTCAGGAGGCTGAGGTGGCCAGATCACCTGAGGTCAGGAGTTCAAGACCAGCTTGGCCAACATGGTGAAACCCCGTCTCTACTAAAAATAAAATAATTAGCCAGGTGTGGTAGCAGACACCTGTAATTCCAGCTACTTGGGAGGCAGAGGCTTGAGAATCGCTTGAACTTGGGAGGTAGAGGTTGCAGTGAGCCGAGATCACACCACTGCACTCCAGTCTGGGTGACAGAGTGAGACTCTGACTCAAAAAACAAAAAATCCTAGCATTTTGGGAGGCTGAGACAAGAGGATTGCTTGAGGCCAGGAGTTCAAGACCAGCCTAGGCAACATAGCAAGACGCCTTTTCTACAAAAAAAAAAAAAATTTAAATCTTAGCCAGGCATGGTGGCACATGCCTGTAGTCCAAGCAACTTGGGGGACTGAGGTGGGAGGATTGCTTCAAGCCAGAAGGTCGAGGCTGCAGTAAGCTATGATTGCACCCTGCACTCCAGCCTGGGTGATAGAGCAAGACTCTGTCTCTTAAAAAGCAATACAAAATAAAAATAAAATTTAAAAAATGGGGCTGCAACAATCCTCAGATATCAGATCATGCAAAGCCTTAATGAAGAACTATGTGACAGCAGCTGGGCTTGATTCTGAGGGCACTGGGAAGCCAGGAAAGGGTTTTAGGTAGGACAGTGGTCATGTGATGAGATTTGCTGCGGTTTCCCCACTCTGGCTGCAATAAGGAGGGGCCCAGGGTGGAGGGAGGTGATGAGGGGTTGCCTGCTGCTTGGGGAGTGGCCATCCTCAGTCCCTGTCTGGAAACTGTCCTCACCCAAAGTCACACTGCCTCCCCAGGACAGCCACCTCCCATGACTGGCTCATGGGACAGTCTGAAGATTCAGGCCCCATCATCTCAGGACAGATAGCCCTGAGGGGACTGCACTGCTCCGGAGCTTCTGCAGAATGTGCTGAAGCATTTGTTGCAACTGCCTTGTAGTTTAATTCCTTCAACCTTCATTCTCCCACTGATGATGGACTCTACGCCTCCCCAGTCAACATCCTGCATGCACATCTCAGACTGAGAGCCTATTTCTGCAGAAATGGACTTAAGACAGTTGGCATCAGGAGCTGTCCAAGGAAGCTGACTCAAAAGTAGGCTATGGGGCCGGATGCAGTGGCTCACACCTAAATCCCAGCACTTTGCGGGGCTGAGACGGGAGGATCGCTTGAGCCCAGTTGTTCTAGGCTGCTGTGAGCTATGAACACACCACTGCACTCCAGCCTGGACAACAGAGTGAGACCCTGTCTCAAAAAAAAAAAAAAGCCGGATATTTGGATCCCAGCCCCCCAGGTGAGGCTGCGCCAGTGGCAAATGGGGTGCTGGTAACACCTGGTTGGCTGTAGTGATGCAAGGGTGAAACTCACACAGGTGGTGAAGGGAAAGGGGCATTCTGGCTTGGGCAATCTCTCTGGCTTTTGAGAGGTTAAGGGAATGAAGTAATATTATAATGAAATGAGTGATCCCAATGAAATGAGATGCTTTTTAATGAGCACCCACCGATGCCTTGGAGGAAGATCATAAGGGTCGAAGTGTGAAATGCAGAGGGCCTTCTCATAGCATAGAAAGAGACTCTTATCTCCTGCAGCCAGAAAACAGGAAAAGTCAAGCCCAGGTCTTCACTGTTCGATTAGCCCCAGTCCTCCAGAGTGGACTGTATTCTCAGTTCCAGCAAGTCTGCTGAGTCAGCTCAGAGCCTGAAAGGGAAGGGATGGGACCCTGAGGATTGAGATGGGGTCACCTGGGTTGATGCACTTGAGAATCTTGAAGCCCCAGACCCCTCTAAACCCCCTGACCCTGCAGCAGGAGCCCACCCCTTCCTCGTTAGAGGCTGCTGGAAGACTGTAGAGAAGCGTCAGCTTTTCAGGGTGATGTGCACACCAGTGAGGAGGGGCCTGATCTCCCCTCCTGGCACCAGACAAATGTCAAGGATCAAGCCATCACAGCGCCATCTGAAGAGGACTGGACCTGCTAAGGAACCAGAGGGATTGTACCCATGGGGTGAATAGTATGCATGGGATTGGATTCTTGGGGTGCTGGACCAAGGGGAAGGATTGGATGTGGAAGAGTTTGTTGGTATGAAAACACTGTCCCGTGTATGTATACTGCATCGGACACCCTGCAAAGACCCCTGGAAAGTGTGCTAACGTGCTGCTAGGATAAATCTTGAATATTGGAGAAAGTAGAGGCTCACATTAAAGGAAGCAGAAATGTCAGAACTACTGTGGCAGATGATGAACAAAGATTCAAAGGCTCAGAAGTGACAGTCCCCAGTGAACTACTTGCATGCAGAAATCCAGCCTAAGACAGTAAAATTTAGGATATCTAAGAAGGTGTGTTTATTTTAATAGGATGGGGTTAATTTGCTCCATTCTTTTTTTTTTTTTTTTTTTTTTTTTTTGAGACAGAGTCTTGCTCTGTCACCCAGGCTGGAGTGCAGTGGTGCAATCTCGGCTCACTGCAACCTCCACCTCCCGGGTTCAAGTGATTCTCCTGCCTCAGCCTCCCGAGTAGCTGTGATTACAGATGTGCATCACCAGGCCCAGCTAATTTTTGTATTTTTGGTAGAGACGGGGTTTCACCATGTTGGCCAGGGTGGTCTCGAACTCCTGACCTCAGGTGATCCACCCCTCGGCCTCCCAAAGTGCTGGGATTACAGGCATGAGCCACCACACCTGGCCAATTTGCTGTGTTCTTTTGGAAACTTCTGTTGTTATTGTTGGCGTTGTTGTTTTAGGGACATGGTCGCACTCTGTCACCCAGGCAGGAGTGCAGTAGTGCGAGGATAGCTCACCGCAGCCTCAACCTCCAGGGCTCAAGCAATCCTCCCACCTCAGTCTTCTGAGTAGCTGAGACTACAGGCATGCACCACCATGCCTGGCTAATTTTTAAGTATTTTGTAAAGGCAAGATCTCACTATGTTGCCCAGGCTGATCTTGAACCCCTGACCTCAGGTGATCCCTCCACCTTGGCCACCAAAGGTGCTCAGATTACAGGTGTGAGCCATTGCAGCTGGCTGAAAGTTTTTAATTTATAAGAAACTTTCTATCTCAATTCACTAGAGGAAAAATACCCCCACCTCCTTTTTTGGCTCACGATCATTTTGAATATGAATTTGGTGAAGGAAATATTTTTTCCTAAGAGCTTTTACTAAGCAGATTGTTCAGTTTTTCTTTTTCAGAGAAAGCTCTCTGCCATATCTTTCTTGAGAACAAATTTGCTTAATTCTTACCTCCCTGGCTGGTGAAAAGATTCACCTTGGATAGCATTACTGCTTGGTTTTCATGATTCAGTTTTCCTGGCTGGGCCATGTAATTTCTCTCCTTGTAATTTTCCTTGATATGCTGTGTGATTCACATACTAGGCTTATTTTTAGTCTTTTCCTTGTGTTTAGGCTTCTGGGGAACATTAGTGTTTTACTAATGGTGTTTTGGACCACGCCAGATCATAATACCAATACAACAATACAATAATAATCAACACTGAACGAAAGCTTCATCTGCATCTGGCACTGGTCTAAAAGCTTCCATTCTCATCTCATTATACTCTCACAACAGCCTTGTTTGTGGAATCCCAATCCTATAGATGAGAAAGCTGAAAGATTAAGTAACTTGTCATGGACATATGATAGATAAATGGGAAGCTTTGGGCAGGCACGGTGGCTCACGCCTGTAATCCCAGCACTTTGGGAGGCCAAGGCGGGCGGATCACCTGAGGTCAGGAGCTCGTGACCAGCCTGGCCAACATGGCAAAACCCTGTCTCTACTAAAAATAATAATAATAATAATAATAATAAATAATTAGTCAGGTGTGGTGGCACGCACTTGTACTCCCAGCTACTAGGGAGGCTGAGGCACAAGAATTGCTTGAACCCGGGAGGCAGAAGTTGCAGTGAGCTGAGATTGCACCAATGCACTCCAGCCTGAGGGACAGAGCGAGACTCCATCTCAAAAAAAAAAAAAAAAAAAGGAAAAGGAATGGCACGTTCGTAGCTTGAGGGCCTGTGGAAGCCACAGGATGTGTTTTGTGTGCTTGAAGGGAGTCACATACATTTGAATTCCTTATGACAGCCAGTTTAGACACTTGACCCCACAACTCCTTATTGTATTAAACAATCTAAGGCAGGTGCCAGGGGTTCATGCCTGTTGTCCCAGCTACTCGGGAGGCTGAGGCGGGAGGATTGCTTGAGCCCAGGAGGTCGAGGCTGCAGTGAGCCATGATGGTGCCACTGTACTCCAACCTGGGCGACAGAAGGATACCCTGTTGTAAAATAATAATAATAATAATAATAATGTATAAACAAATCTGATCCATACATTTTTATCCTTGCCTGGCCCCTGTCGGCTTCTGAGATTACATATTCAAGATTAAATTATCCCTAAGACCAACGTCAGTTGTGCTTATTTTCCCCTGGAGTCCTCAAACCAAGGGGGGATGTGAGTCCCCAGAAGGGCAGGGTAAATGAGGAAACAGGAGTGCTTTGCTGGCCTGCAGGTTCACAGTGTCCTGGAATCGTAGGCACTTGGCTGGCCTTGCCCTGAGCTGCCACAGTCCGAAAGAGAACTTCGTTTCCGATAGCAGCTTTATGCTGACTTTTTCCATGCCCGGCTCTCTGATGGACATAATCAGGGTAGGTATTATCTCTCGAGCAAAATGACATTGCCAAGCACCCAGGCATCAGGTGGATCAAGATAATGTCAGGGCAGCTCAATAGGGTTCCTCTCAGCCCTAATGAGAAACACAAAAGGAGCAAATCATGGAGACTTTCTATAGAGCCTTTTGGAAAGTGTGGGGAGGGAGGCGGGGGGGAAGAATCCCACAGTAATAAGAGCCTTTTTGAGAGGAACTAGTGTTATTTCTCTGCTCTCAAGCCCAGATTGAGTTCCGTGGGTGAGAGAACTTGCTTCTCTCTGGGTGGATTTCTTCATGGGAGCTCAGGGAAAACATCTCGAGCCAAAGATAGAATTAAATCAGCAAATGATGGTGGGAATGTGTGTGTACCCCTGGCGGAGGAACCCATAAATGAATTCCGTTCCTTTGTTTCGGCTCTCAGCTAGAACACCTTGTCTAAATTAATGTTTTTAAAACAACATTATTGAGGCTCGACCGACATTTTACAAGCTATTCTTAAGGTTGGAACTTTTGTTTATGTCTACAAAGCTCTTCTGACGTACGGTAGGATTAAAATTGTATATAGAGGAAGTGGAATCCTTAAAGATAAAATGCATGAGCTAATTTTTCTCAAATGCTATATATTTTTACATTATTGTGATATGAAATTCTTAAGAAGCCAGAGCACCTTGACAAACTATTGTATTCTTTTTTGTAAACCTTGTAGCATTCATTATTATGCCCCTATATGTACATGTTAGGCACCCCATGAAGGTAAACTGAATTGAGTTTATCAAATATTTATTAAG
The DNA here is from genome assembly GCF_000001405.40 of Homo sapiens. Taxonomy (NCBI): domain Eukaryota; kingdom Metazoa; phylum Chordata; class Mammalia; order Primates; family Hominidae; genus Homo; species Homo sapiens. Next base: position 98,591,248 of record NC_000007.14, on the reverse strand, counting down.
TCTTCTACATTTAATGTTATAGTTTTGCTAGAGTAGGGATCCTCCTCCGATAGCTTTATCCCGATTCAAGTTTTGCAAGGTAGACTTAATTTTCTTGATTTATCTCAATTAGCTTGAAAAATATGAAACATTTTGCCATTAACATAAGTCACTGTGAAATAGACTTAGGCTGAACATTTTTTTTCTTTTCTTTTTTTTTTTAGAGAGAGGGTCTCACTCTGTCACCCAGGCTGGAGTACAATGACATGATCATGGCTCACTGCAGCCTCAATATACCAGGCTTAAGCAATCCGCCTGCCTTAGCCTCCTGAAAACCTGGGACTACAGGCACATGCCACCACGCCGAGCTAATTTTTAAAATTTTTGTAGAGCTAGGGTCTTGCTATGTTGCCCAGGCTGGTCTCAAACTCCTGAGCTCAAGCGATCCTCCCACCTTGGCCTCCTAAAGCTCTGGGATTATAGGTATGAGCCACCGTGCCCAGCCCATTTTTCTAACTTAGTACACCCCATGTGTAGTTAAAGTTAAGCTGGCAGAATCCTTAAACAGATCTTTAAATAAACTTCTCCTTGATTATCAAAAAGCATTTGTCTGATTCTTTGGAGTCCCAGCCATCTTAGAGCTCAAAATAGGTTTGTGAAAAGTGCAAAGCAAAAGACAAAAAAAAAAAAAAAAAAAGCAAAGCAAAGAGACTCGCCATCTAGCCAACTGCGTCAAGAGGAAATCCATTCCCACTTCTCTGCGTTTGATTGAACCTTGGTGAACCGCCAATGCCACACACCCTGGAGGAATCGGATTAAAGACCTACAGGAGACGTTTTATAGATCTTCTTAGACAGGTGCTTCTCACACCTCCGCAGTTTATCTAAGGCTCACTTCACAAAGGCTTGGAGGAAGCTCTGCCCTTCCTAAAGTACATGAAGTAAGAGAAACCCAAGGCTGAAAAATGAGATGCTCAGCTTCAAGCTCAGAATTGTGTGAATGGCAGACAGAAGGGAGACAGCAAGCCTCTTTTTATTAAAATCCTAGGTATTGGACATTTACCACATTCAGTGGAAATCATTGTCGTTCACACACTCATTCATTTGTTCATTCATTCAGCCAGTTTGGATGGAACACCTACTATGTGCAAGGCACAAGGCTAGGACTGTGTAAGTGACTCTCTACCCAACCAGTTTATGAGTGTGTGCTAGAGGCGTGACTATTTTGTGGCTCCATCTCATTGCTCTTGTCTATTTGGAAGAATAAGAATTTTTTAACCCAGTTTTCCCACTTGTCCCACAGACTAGGTGATCTCAGATGCCTTGGCCAATAGGTAAAATCTCACTTGGACTCAAAATATCTGTGATCTCAACTATTTTTTTATTTGGAGACAAGGTCTTGCTCTGTCACCCAGGCTGGAATGCAGTGATGTAATCACAGTTCACTGCAGCCTCAACCTCCCAGGCTCAAGTAATCCTCCTGCCTCAGCCTGCCTAGTAGCTGGAACTACAGGTGTATGCCACCGTGCCCAGCTAATTTTTAATTTTTTTTTTTTTTTTGTAGAGACAGTGTTTTGCTATATTGCCTAGGCTGGTCTCAGACTCTTGTCATCAAGCAATCTTCCCACCTCAACCTTCCAAAGCATTGGGATTATATGCCACCACAATCAGCACCAACTCTTTTTCAAGATCTTAAAATTCCAGAAAGAAATCATTACAGTGTGAGTTGTATCCCCCCAACCCCCAAATTTATATATTGAAACCGTAACTCCCAGAGTGACTATATATGGAGATATGGCCTTTAGGTGGTGACTAAGGTTAAATGAGGTTATAAAGGTAGAGCCCTAATCTAATAGGAAAGATATCTTTATAAGAAGAGGAGATATATCTGTTTCTCTACCCATGCACAGAGGAATGTTTATACAAGGACGCAGCCAGAAGGCGGCCCTCAGCAAGCCAGAAAGAGAGCCCTCACCAGGAACAGGTCTTCTGACGTCTTGATCTTGGACTTCTCAGCCTCTAGAACTATGAGAAATAAATGTCTGTTGCTTAAGCTGCCCAGTCTGTGTTATTTTGTTATGGCAGCCTGGGCTGACTAAGATAGAAACAGAGCAAACGTCCCCTAAACTGTTTTTCAGGTAATGGTACCTCATACAATGCCAAGCACACAGGGTAAACAACAGGCATTTGCCAGGTGAGTGGTGGAGAGAAAAGCCAGGGGACCTCTGATCCTTGAGGCCATGCAGTGGGTTGGGAAACAGGACCAGTTACCCTGTGGCTCAACTCTCAGCTTCCTTTTCCCTGTCTGAAAAATGCAGTTGCTCCTCAATTTAGACTCTTAACTACTTTATGGGAAGACACTGTAAAGGTTGGCTGATGACCCTAAAACAGCTGAAACGTGAAAATAAAACATAAAAATAAAAACACTTTTCTTCCACATGCCTTTCCCTGATCTACTTCCTCCCTTTGCTAGTACCAGGGCAGGATGACAGGTAAGGATCTCCCGAACTCCTTGACCTGTTGTATTCATGGCAACTCCCTCTTAAATGAAGAAGATGCCTGCCCAGTTCTTCGGTACTATGGTATGTTAGAAATAACAACCTCTTTGGATATCAGGGGAAGGCCTGTGTTGGGGAAAATTATAAAGAAGGATTTGCTTGTGTTTAGTGTGTCTTCTTCCTACCCCCAAGGGGCCAGCTGCTCCAAGCTACCTGGATGCCCCTAGCACTTCTGCTCTGACAAAATAATTCTCAGCAAAGCCTTAGAGATGAATAATTCTCAGCAAGGCCTTAGGGACTAACACTGGCCACATTATAGATCAAATTTGACAAGGTTTACATGCATAAGCCATTTCTTTCTTTCCAGGGTTCATGCCTGAAATTTGGGTAACTTCCAGCGGATCAATGATGGCACTTAAGCTAGAGATATGGTCCAAATGGGAAAACTTCCTATAGTGGGGTCAAAAGTTAGCAGGCAAAAACCAAACAAAAAATTAGCATGCTATTCTACTCACCATGTGATTTCTATAAAAACAGCAGTATTTATTAAAATGTTTGGTCTATTAGCTAATAGTAAGCAATATGCAATGTAACTAATATTAGCATAATAATGTACCTTTGGAAGGAGGATATATAATCCAGAACATAATTTAGGAGAATGCATCAGGCATGGTGGCTCACACCTGTAATCCCAGCGCTTTAGGAGGCCAAGGCAGGAGGATCACTTGAGGCCAAGAGTTTGAGACCAGCCCGAGCAACATAGAAAGATCCCATCTCTAAAAAAAATTTAAAAATTGGCCAGGCATGGTGATGTATGCCTATAGTCTCAGTGACTCAGGAGGCAGAGGTGAGAGGATCCCTTAAGTCCAGGAGTTTGAGGCTGTAGTGAGCCATGATTGTGCCACTGCACTCCAGCCTGGACAACAGAGTGAGACCCTGTCTCAAATAAAATGTATAAATTAACTACATGAAAAAAGACTTCTCTATATACCCAACGTCAAAAGACAATGAAGAGGCCAGGCATGGAGGCTCATGCTCATAATCCTAGCACTTTGGGAGTCTAAGGTGGGTGGATCACCTGAAGTCAGGAGGTCAACGCCAGCCTGACCAACATGGTAGAGGCCCATCTCTACTAAAAATACAAAATTAGCCAGGCATGGTGACACATACCTATAATACCACCTACTTGGGAGGCTGAGTCAGGAGAATCGCTTGAACCTGGGAAGTGGAGTTTGCAGTGAGCCAAGATTGCGCCATTGCACTCCAGCCTGGGCAACAAGAGTGAAATTCCATCTCAAAAACAAACAAATAAAAACAAAAGACAACTAAGATACTTTAAAATTTATTAATTTATAAATTTAATTCATGAATATTAACAACTTTATAAATTAATATTAACATTAACTTTATAAACATAATTTATAAAGTGAAAAAATGAAATAAAAATGGTCCTTAAAGTATAGTTGACCCTTGAACAACATGGACTTGAACTGCATGGGTCCACTTAAAAGCAGATTTTTTTTTTCAATAAAAGAGGCCAGGTGTGGTGGCTCATGCCTGTAATCCCAGCACTTTGGGAGGCCAAGGTGGGTGGATCACCTGAGGTCAGAAGTTCAAGACCAGCCTGGCCAAAATGGCAAAACCCTGTCTCTACTAAAAACACAAAAATTAGCTGGGCATGGTGGTGAGTGCCTGTAATCTCAGCTACTCGAGAGGCTGAGGCACGAGAATCGCTTGAACCTGGGAGGTGGAGGTAACAGTGAGAGGAGATCACACCACTGTACTCCAGCCTGGGAAACAGAGCAGGATTCCGTCTCAAAAATAAATAAATAAATAAATAGCACACAGAGTGTGCCTGTCTCTCTTGCCTTCCTTTCCACCTCCTCTACCTCTTCCACCTCTGCCAAACCTGAGACAGTAAGACCAACTTCTTCTCCTCTTCAGCCTATTCAACATGAAGACAATGAGAATGAAGACCTTTATGATGGGCCACTTCCACTTAAGTAGTTAGTAAATATATTTTCCTTATGATATTCTCAATAACATTTTTTCTCTAGCTTATTTCATTGTAGGAATATCATATATAATACACATAACATACCAAATATGTTAATTGGCTGTTTATGTTATCAGTAAGTCTTCCAGTCAACAGTAGGATATTATTAATTAAGTTTTGGAGGAGTCAAAGTAACACATGGATTTTTAACTGCATAGGGAGTCAATGCCCCTAACCTTGGCATTGTTCAAGGATCAACTGTATAAAAATACGTTCAGCTGGGCGCAGTGGCTTATGCCTATAATCCCAGCACTTTGGGAGGCCAAGGCGGGTGGATCATGAGGTCAACAGATCAAGACCGTCCTGGCCAACATGGTGAAACCCCATCTCTACTAAAAATACAAAAATTAGCTGGGTGTGGTGGCGCACGCCTGTAGTCTCAGCTATTCAGGAGGCTGAGGCAGGAGAATCACTTGAATCCAGGAGGCGGAGATTACAGTGAGCCAAGATTATGCCACTGCACTCCGGCCTGGCGATAGTGAGACTCCGTCTCAAAAAAAAAAAATACGTTCAGCCTCACTCATGATAAGAGAAATGCTCATTAAAACTGCATTGAGATACCATTTCTCTTCTATTAGATTGGCAAAGAATTAAGAAGCATAACAACTTACTGTGTTGTGGAGACTGTAGGGAAATAGACACTCTTACAGATTATCAATGAGAGTGAAAATTATTACAACCCTTATAGAGGGAATTTGTCTAGCTCACAAAACTACATATGCTTTTACTTTTTGACCCAGTAATCCCGCTTCTAGGAATTTTTGCTGAACACACCACCTCCAACAATGGAAAATATTGGAAACTAAATTCACCTATGCAACAGAGTGGTTGAATAAACTGTAGTACATCCACTCCACGGAGTCCTATGCAGCAGTAAAAAATAAGATCTCAGTCAGGCACCGTGGCTCACACCTGTAAACCCAGCACTTTGGGAGGCCGGGGCGGGTAGATCACCTGAGGTCAGGAGTTCGAGACCAGCCTGACCAACATGGAGAAACCCTGTTTCTACTAAAAATACAAAATTAGCTGGGTGTAGTGGTGCATGCCTGTAATCCCAGCTACTAGGGAGGCTGAGGCAGGAGAACTGCTTGAACCTGGGAGGCAGAGGTTGTGGTGAGCCAAGATCATGCCATTACACTCCAGCCTGGGGGACAAGAGTGAAACTCCATCTCAAAAAAAAAATGAAATAAAATAAGATCTCTATGAATTTATTGAGACTACTTCCTAGGATATATTCTTAAGTGAAAAAAAAGTCAAATGTGAAAGAGCATTGATGGTATGCTACCTTTTGTACAGAGGAAAAGGTGAATTAGAAAATATACATCTATCTGCTCATTTGGCTGAAGAGAACTATAGGAAGGATAAACAAGAGGCTAATGTGATTGGTTACCTACAGGATATGATTGGGGATGGAGTAAGTAGGACAGAAAGAACGGGAGGGGAAATGACACTCCTCTGAACATATCTTTTTGTATGATCCTGACTTCAGGACCATGTTAAGGTTTTACACAGAAAGAAAGGAAGAGAAAGAAAAAAGTAAGGTTTTACACAGAAAGAAGGAAGGAGAAAAGGAGGAAAGGAGGAGGAAAGGAGGAAGGGAAGAAGGAAGAAAGGAAAGAAGGAAGGAGACAGAGAGAAAGGAAGAAAGTAGGGAGGAAGAGATGGAGAGAAGAGGAAGGAAGGAGGGAGGAAGGAAGGAAAGAAGGAAGGAGAAAGGGAGACAGAGGAAGAAAGGAACAAAGGAAAGAGGAAAGGAAGGAAAATAGGAAAGGAAAGAAAAGCAGAGAAGGAAAGAAGGAAAGAGGAAAGGAAGGAAAGACAGAATGAAGGAAGGAGAAAAGGAAGGAAGGAGGGAGGGAAGAGAAAGGAAGGAAGGAAGGAAATCAACAAGGATCAGGGAAGAATTCTAAAATTGACTTTAAAAAACCCAAACTGAACCATGATTCCAATGAGCAGCATAACCACACTGAAATAGGGGGAAAAAGAACAAACCCAATTAACTTTTTGAAAACAGAATTTGAACTATATGTCCTCAGGTAAAAAACAAAAAGAACTCTAAATAAATATTGAACTCTAATTAGTAGCTTTCTTTTTTCTTAGAGACATGAGCTAGCAATTCTGAAACTACTTTCTGATCATCCTGGGATTGAGCAAATGAGTAAGTACATTTATTGTGGATAACAGGAGTCTGGTTTCTTACTGTCAGAAAAGGAGTGGAAAGGGGGAAGGATGGAATGAACCCTGTGGTGTTGGGTTGAAATTGAATTGTATGAGTGTGAACTCATGGGTTTTAGTATAACTAGATTTAGAAGCAGATGAAGATTGTAAAGCTATGTATGTATGTGTGCATGAATTTACCAATATCTATTTCTCAGTTCTGCATGCTGACACCTCACTAGCAATGAACACATCTAGTGCCCAGATTTTGGTTTCTAAATACTATTCTCTACCAAAAGGAACCAAGGCTCTTTGGGGAGACAGCTGACTCCAGGGTGAGATGAGAAAAATACAAGGCAAGACTGGACTATCTTGTACCAAAAAGTAAAGAAAACAATAGTAAAGAAATGCTCAAAGAATCATAGGAGACTGTCAAGAGGACACAATGGTTGCTGGAAGGTGTTGCCACTGGTAAAATATGGACCACTTTGAGCATCAAAATAAATATGATAATAAAGGATTCTAACCTATGGAATGCACAAATCCACATGGCCATACATAAATAAGGAAATGGGGGAGAAAGTTCTTCCTTTTTATATATTTGATTCTTTTAATGTTTATATATTGTTTTTTTAAGCAACTTTATTGATATAATTCGTACATCAATTTGCCCATTTAAATCATACAATTCAGTGGCTTAAGTATACTTACAGAGTTGTGCAGCCATCACCACATCTAATTTTAGAACATTTTCATCATCCCAGAAAGAAGCCCTGTACCATTAGTAGTTATTCCCCAATGCCCTCCAGCCTTGGGCAACCACTAATCTACTTTGTCTCTGTAGATCTGCCTACTCTGAACAAATCACGGGAATGGGTTCATATAATATGTAGTCATCAGCTTATCTCACATACTGTTTCAAAGTCCATCCATCTACGTTGTACCATGTATCACTACTTCATTCCTTTCCATTGCCAAATAATATTCCATCGTATGCACACAGCACATTTTCATTTATCCATTCATCAGCTGATAGTCATATGGGTTCCTTCCATGATTTATTTAGTTCTTATAAATAATGCTGCTATGGCTGGTCACAGTGGCTCACATCTGTAATCCCAGCACTTTGGGAGGCCAAGATAGGCGGATTGCTTGAGGTCAAGAGTTCGAGACCAGCCTAGCCAACATGGTGAAACACTGTCTCTACTAAAAATACAAAAATTAGCCAAATGTGGTGGCGCATACCTGTAATCCAGCTACTCAGGAGAATTGTTTGAACCCGGGAGGCAGAGGTTCCAGTGAGCTGGGATCGCCCCACTGCATGCCAGCATGGGTGATAAATTGAGACTCTGTCTCAATAAAAATAAACAAATAAATAAATGAATATGCTATGAACATTCACCTGCAAATTTTTGCGTGACTATATGCCTTAATTTCTTGGGTGGGTTTCTCTATGAGTGGATTTGCTGGGCCATATAACCCTGTGTTTAACATTTTGAGGAACTGCCAAACTATTTTCCAGCACAGCTTCACCATTTTTACATTCTGCATGTTACATTCCCACCAGCAATACATGAGTCTTCTGGCTTCCCCTCATCCTGTTACTGTCTGTCTTTTTTTATTACCGTCTTCCTACTAGATGTGAAACTTTATCTCATTGTGGTTTTGATTTGGATTTCACTAATGACTAATGACATTGAGCATCTTTTCATGTGCTTGTTGGTCATTTGCATGTTTTTTGCTTTTTTTTTTTTTTTTTTTTTTTGAGACAGAGTCTTGCTCTGTTGCCCAGGCTGGAGTGCAATGGTGCAATCCCGGCTCACTGCAACCTCTGCCTCCCGGGTTCAAGAGATTCTCCTGCCTCAGCAACCGGAGTAGCTGGGATTACAGGCGCCCGCCACCACACTCAGCTAAGTTTTTTTTTGTATTTTTAATAGAGACAGGGTTTCACCAGGTTACCCAGGCTGGTCTCGAACCCCTGACCTCAGGTGATCCACCCGCCTTGGCCTACCAAAGTGCTGGGATTACAGGCATGAGCCACCATGCCTGGCCGGTCATTTGCATGTTTTTGTTGCAGAAATGTTGCAGAAATGTCTGCCAAGATCCTTTGTCCATTCTGGGTGATTTATCTTTTTTTTTTTTTTTTTTTGAGATAGAGTCTTGCTCTGTCACCAGTCTAGAGTGCAGTGACGCGATCTCAGCTCACTGCAACCTCTGCCTCCCGGGTTCAGGCAATTCTCCTGCCTCAGCCTCCCGAGTAGCTGGGATTACAGGTGTCTGCCACCACACCTGGCTAATTTTGTATTTTTAGTAGAGACGGGGTTCCACAATGTTGGCCAGGCTGGTCTCCAACTCCTGACCTCAGGTGATCCACCCACCTTGGCCTCCCAAAGTGCTGAGATTACAGGCGTGAGCCACTGCGCCCGGCCGATTTATCTTTTTACTATAGAGTTGTAGGGGTCCTTTACGATTTCTGGACACAAGCCCCTTATCAGATATATGATTTGCAAACATTTTCTCCTATGCTGTGTGCTGTCTTTTCATTCTGTTGAAGGCATCATTTGTAGCACACATTTTTAAAATTTTCATGAAGTCCAATTATATCTCTTTCCTTCTGTCACTTGTGTTTTTGGTGTCATATCTAAGAAACCATTGCCTAACTCTGACCCAAGATCAGTTTCTCTCTGTTACCCAGGCTGGGGTACAGTGGCATGATCTCAGCTCACTGCAACCTCCACCTCCTGGGTTCAAGCAATTCTCGTGCCTCGGCCTCCCGATTTTGGGAGGATTGCAGGCATGTGCCACCATGCCCGGTTAATTTTTATATTTTTTAGTAGAGTCGGGGTTTCGCCATGTTGCCCAGGCTGGTCTCAAACTCCTGGGCTCAAGCAATTCTCCTGCCTCAGCCTCCTGAAATGCTGTATTACAGGCGTGAGCCACTGCGCCCGGCTCTTTGATCCATTTTGATTGTTTTGTGTATGGTCTGACAGAGATCTCGCATCATTCTTTTGCAAATGGATATCCAGTTGTCCCAGCATCATTGGTTGAAAAGACTAACATTTCCCCCATTGAACTGTCTTGGCAACTCTGTCAAAAGTTGAATGTCCATGATTTAAAAGTTTATTTCTGCACTAAAAATTCTGCTCCATTCATCTATATGTTTACTCTTATGCCAGGAACACACTGTCTTGATTAATGGAGTTTTGAAGTCAGTTTTAACTCAGAAAGTGCGAGTCCTACTTTGTTCTTTTTCAAGATCATTTGGCTGCTCTGGGTACCTTGCATTTCCTTGTCAATTTTAGGGTCTGCTCGTTAATTTCTGCAAAAACAAAACAAAACAAAAACAAAATAAAACCACACATACACACATACATCAGCTGGGATTCTGATAGGGAATGCATTGAATTTATAGATCAATCTGGAGAGTATTGCTGTCTTAACAATATTAAGTTTTCTGATTCATGAACAAGAATGTTCTAAATAAGTGTTTTCACTTATTTAGATTTTCTTTCATTTCATAAAGCTCTTTCTTACTGTAGAAAGTCAGCAAATAATTGCAGAAGGAATGACAGCATTAGAAGATCACCATTTGGCAGTTACCCTAGGAATGATTGATTTGGGTAAGAACTATCAGTGGATGATAGAAATGTCAGAGGCATTTAAACCAGAGCAACTCCATCTTGAATAGGAACTGGGTAAAATGAGGCTGAGACCTACTGGGCTGCATTCTCAGACAGTGAAGGCATTCTAAGTCGCAGGATGAGATAGGAGGTCGGCACAAGATACAGGTCATAAAGATCTTGCTAATAAAACAGTTTGCAGTAAAGAAGTCAGCCAAAACCCATCAAAACCAAGATGGTGATGAGAGTGACCTCTGGTCATCCTCACTGCTACACTCCCACCAGCGCCATGACAGTTTACAAATGCCATGGCAACGTCAGGAAATTACTCTAAATAGTCTAAAAACAGGAGGCATGAATAATCCACCCCATGCTTAGCACATCATCAAGAAATAACCACTAAAATAGGCAACCAGCAGCCCTCAGGGCTGCTCCATCTATGGAGTAGACATTCTTTTATTCCTTTACTTTCCTAATAAACTTGCTTTCACTTTACTCTATGGACTCTTTATGAATTCTTTCTTGCGTGAGATCCAAGAACCCTCTCTCAGGGTCTGGATTGGAACCCCTTTCCTGTAACAAAACTAGTGGGTAAAACTTTGAGGAGTAACAGGATATTTACATAATCACAAAGTACCACCTTAAAAGATACTTACTGAGGTCGGCCGCAGTGGCTCACGCCTGTAATCCCAGCATTTTGGGAGGCTGAGGCAGGCGGACCACTTGACGTCAGGAGTTTGAGACCAGCCTGGCCAACATGGTGACACTCCGTCTCTACTAAAAATACAAAAATTAACCGGGCATGGTGGCGGGCACCTGTAATCCCAGCTACTCTGGAGGCTGAGGCAATAAAATCACTTGAACCTGGGAGGTGGAGGTTGCAGTGAGCTGAGATCACGCCACTGTGCTCCAGCCTGGGCGACAGAGCGAGACTCCGTCTCAAAAAACAAAAACAAAAACAAAAACAAAAACTATTGATACAAAGGGTGAGACTGCTTTTTTTCCTTTTTTTTTTTTTTTTTGAGACAGAGTCTCACTCTGTCACCCAGGCTGGAGTGCAGTGGCCCAGTCTCAGCTCACTGCAACCTCTGCCTTCCAGGTTCAAGCGATTCTCCTGCCTCAGCCTCCTTAGTAGCTGGGATTACAGGCGCGCACCACCACACCCTGCTAATTTTTGTATTTTTAGTACAGACAGTGTTTCACCATGTTGGCAAGACTGGTCTCCAACTCCTGATCTTGTGATCCACCCGCCTCGGCCTCCCAAAGTGCTGGGATTACAGGCGTGAGCCACTGCGCCTGAGATAAAATATCTTTATAGTGGAGAAACAGTGTAGGCACCATCCTAACCTTCCTTTATCACTAAATCCTTATACCAAAATCCTTTGATAGAAAAACTATCATTAACCCCATTTACAGATGAGGCAACTAAGACTTATAGAGACAAAACAACTTGCAGAAGGTTACACAAGACGGTAAGTTGGTGAAGTTTTCTGACTCTAAAGCCTGTGTTCTTAATTGCAGTGTTACACTAGACATTTTATTACTGCCAACAAATCTATTGAGTAAATAATTTATTTAAGTGGAGAAATGTCAGTACTGTTCTGAATAGAAGTCTTTGGTATATCAATAAGAGTCATGTATAATGTCTTTATGCAAATGCCCTGCTTGGAGTCTTTGCCAAGAAAGAGCATCTCCCTTGAGAAATGTATCTTCATTGTTTTCTCAGACAATGAGAATTATACAACCCATTTCCCTTTTTTCTTCTCTGCCAGGGGACTTAAGCTAAACTAAATGCCCAAATGGAGAAACTCATTTGGGTGCCTGGCAAAGTCTATTTCTTTTCTTTTTGAGACAGAGTCTCGCTGTGTCGCCCAGGCTGGAGTGCAGTGGAGTGATCTCGGCTCACTGCAACCTCTGCCTCCCGGGTTCAAGCAATTCTCCTGCCTCAGCCTCCCAAGTAGCTGGGACTACAGGTGTGCGCCACCCAGCCCAGCTAATTTTTTTTGTATTTTTAGTGGAGATGGGGTTTCACCATGTTGGTCAGGCTGGTCTCGAGCTCCTGACCTCAAATGATCCGCTTGCCTCAGCCTCCCAAAGTGCTGGGATTACAGGCGTGAGCCACCCTGCCCAGCCAGCAAAGCCAATTTCTATGTGGGGGGAGCTGTATTGTTTTTATTTGTTGTCCTGTTCCTATTGTGTTTAATTTTGTAAATAAATAACCTCATATCCTACTCAGAAGTCACTAAGATCTAAAGAACAAATCAGTTCATGTGAATATGCTAAACACCACTGACCTGTACACTTTAAACGGTGAATTTTATGTATATGTCAAAAAAGCTCTTTTTAAAGAGCAAATTGTCAGGGTGCAGTGGCTCACACCTGTAATCCCAGCACCTTGGGAGGCCAAGGCTGGAGGATCGCTTGAGCCCAGGAGTTCGAGACCAGCCTGGGCAACATTGCAAGACCCTATCTCTATAGAAAAATATAAAAATTAGCTGGGTGTGGTGGTGCACACCTGTAGTCCCAGCTACTTGGGAGGCTGAGGCAGGGGGATCACTTGAGCCCAGAAGTTTGAGACTGCAATGAGCTGTGATGGTGCCACTGCACTCCAGTCTGGGTGACAGAGTGAGACAGTCTCAAAAAATAATAAGGAAAGAAGTACGAAAGAAAGAGAGAGAGAGAGAGAGAAAGAAAGAAAGACAGAAAGAAGGAAGGAAGGAAAGAAAGAAGAAAGAAAGAAAGAAAGAAAGAAAGAAAGAAAGAAAGAAAGAAAGAAAGAAAGAAAGAAAAAATTGGGGGAGGGGTGGGAATAAAACAGGCAGGACTCTGAAGCTACCCAAATCAGGAGATGAAAACCCCCATGCATGAAGCAGTCTGAGTTGCTGGGGGGGAGACATTTGGGGGTTCATTTGCTGGATACTTTGGGGATGTAGTACTATATGCCAGCCGCCTTTCACTGTGCAAAGGTCAGCACTTGCTCAGCTCCTGCTTCTCTTCCATCACATGTATCAGGGGACAAGGCTCCAGCTCTCACCTCTGATGGGATCAATCTGTGGGGCTGAGATACAGCCTCGGCCCTAGTGCATTATTCGGCCTTTGTCTGAATGGATTGTCACATCTTTTGATTTCTAGTTGATTCAAGCTTCTCTGCTGATTGCACCTTCGCAACTGTCCCCCATCCTTGTCCTAGAATACCATATCCTGGGTCTGCAGAAGAATGGAGCCTTTGGGTCCATCCTGTTACTGTTCTGGAAAAACCTTCCTGTCTATTCCACTGCTGTTCCTCCTCTACTTTCCTTGTTTCTTATTTCTTTTCTTCTTTTTTTTTTTTTTTAGAGAGTCTCACTTTGTCACCCAGGCTGGAGTGCAATGGCACCATCTCAGCTCACTACCACCTCTGCCTCCCAGGTTCTAGCAATTCACATGTCTCAGCCTCCCAATTAGCTGGGACTGTAAGCGCCTGCCACCACACCTGGCTAATTTTTTGTATTTTTAGTAGAGACGGGGTTTTGCCATGTTGGCCAGGCTGGTCTCACACTCCTGACCTCAGGTGATCCGCCTGCCTCAGCCTCCCAAAGTGCTGGGATTACAGGTGTGAGCCACCACACCCAGGCTGTTTCTTTCTTTTCAAAGTGGAAAAACCAGAGTTTTGTTTCTGCCTTGGAGGTACAAAGCCAGAAAGAATGTCACTCCTATCCTAACAATAAGAAAACCATCACTTTTCCTGAACCCATCAGAAAGCTGAAGTTGCAGGGCAACCAAATAGTCTGAAATCTAAGGAAAGATGGGCCCTACTAAGGAAAAATGGGATGCAGTCACTGAATCAACTCTGACAGAGCATGGGAGGAAAAGGCTCCAGGTGACAAATAGGTAAGAAGAATTTAGGTAAAAATTTTAACGAATTTCTAAAGACCAAGGGAGGTCTAGTATGAGAGTATAGAGCTCTGGTGCAAACGTGGGCTTTTCTCTTCATCTCTCCATTGGGAGCTTACACAAAAGATGAGACATAGGATGGGACACTAGAGCAAACCTCCCTTGCATGCATGCCTGGATGAGGGGAGGAGCTGCTCCTGTAGGAGAGACACAGAACTCACTGAGACACTTGTCCTCTTGGAACAAAGGCCATAAGCTGCTGGGTGAAGAGCAGAAAACACTGTCACCCCCAGGACACAGGTGAAGACCCATTACAGGTGGGAGAAAAGTAAAATAATAAAAATATATCTTAAAAGGAGGAGCAGGAAATCATTCAGGGCCCAAAATTTTATACTAATTCCATTGGAGGTCTTTTGCTGGTTGAGGGACAATAAATTTTCTCCTGCAGAAAGCACATCAAGGATGCAAGGCAGAGTTTGCCTACCATAAGTAGGAGGGTAGGACCACTGACAAAATCCCACTGCCAAGACCCAGGGACACAAGACCTGCCTAAGATTGAGGCTGGACCAGGAAAACAAGGAATATCTTTGTCCACCACCACCAGGCTAGTAAGCACCAAGTGACAGCAATCAGTCTACTGCAGTAGGAGAGCCAAGAACATAGAAATCTTCTCTGAGATGCAGGCACACAGGGAAGGCCAAAAGATGACAGTGTCATGGAAGCATTGACAAAAACCCTTCAGCAACCCAGCCCCCACAGCAAGCACAAGACACCTCTAGAAAAATGCAAGCTGGTAGTGCATTGATGGTAAATATAACAACAACAAAACCCAATTCGTTTCATTCCTGACCAGATTGACTCAACTCCCCCCCTCCATACTAGCAGCCAAGCAAAAGAAAAGGCTTGCCATTTTCAGGCATAAATTTTTACTTCAGCCTCTACTGTTCTGTATACCATGCCCAGCACTCAATCGAAAATTACAAGACACATCAAAAAAGCAAGTGAAAACACTCCTCTGTCAAGAGATAAATCAATCAAGAGAACTAGACTCAGAAGTGACTTATAAGACAGAGATTTTAAAATGACTATGATTGATATGTTAAAGGCTCTGGTAGAAAAGGTGAAAAATATTCATGAACCATGAGAAATTTCAGCAGAGGTGAAAGAAAGGGTGTAAGAAAGGGTCAACTGTAAATGTTAGAAATACTTTTTAAACAGAAATAACAGAGATTTTAAAAATGCCTTTAGAGAGCTCATTGAAACATTTGACACCACTCAGAAAATAACTGAATGTTAAGGGAGGTCAATGAGAATTACCCAAACTGAAACACACACACACACACAGACACACAGAGTAAAAACATTTTACAAGACATTTTACAAGATAGAGCAATAATTAATAGTCTAATATATGTGAAGTCTGGGCACAGTGGCTCATGCCTGTCACCCCAGCACTTTGGGAGACCAAGGCAGGAAGATCACTTGAGTCCACCAGTTTGAGACCAGCCACATTATGAGACCTTGTCTCTACAGAAAAGTTTTAAAAATTAGCAGGGTGTGGTTGCACACACCTGTAGTCCCAGCTATTCAGGAGGCTGAGATGGGGGGATGGCCTGAGCCTGGGAGGTCAAGGCTGCAGTGAGCCAAGATCATGCCACTGCACTCCAGCCTTGGCAATGAGCAAGACCTTGTCTAAAAAAAAAAAAAAAAAAAAAAAGTTTAACATAGATGAAATTGAAATCCCAGAAGGCAAAGAGAAACAATGAGGCAGAAAAAATAGTTGAGGAGATAATGACCAATAATTTTCCAAAAATAAAATCACATCAAATTATAGATTTAAAAAATCATGGGGATGCATAGAGGGGAACAACACATGCTGGGCTGTCAGAGGGCAGGGGGTGGGAGGAGGGAGAGGAACAGGAGGAATAGCTAGTGGATGCCGGGCTTAATCCCTGGGCAATGGAAGGGTCTGTGCAGCAAACCACCATGGCACATGTTTACCTATGTAAGAAACCTGCACATCCTGCATATATACCCCTAAACTTGAAAGTTGGCAATTTAAAAAAATAAAGTTAGTCAATATTAAATGTGACTTTAAAAAAATCATAAGACCACACTAGAACACATAGCTCATCCCCAAAATACAAAACAAAAAACAAAAAACAAAAAAAAAGCTCAGACACATCCTATTCAAACTTCTAAAAACCAGTGATAAAGAGAGTATCTTAAAGGAAGCTAGAAAAAAAGCACACATTACATACAGAAGTACAAATAGAATTATAGTAGACGACTGCTTATCAGAAACTGCACACCAGAAGATAACGGGGTGACCTTTGTAAAGGATTGCAAGGAAAAACACTGTGACCCCAGAATTCCAGTGCTTGAAAATAAACAAGAAATAAAGACTCTCCAGACAAACAAAAGCAGAGATAATTTATTATCTGTGGATCTGTAATACAAGAAATGTTAAAGAAAATTCTTCAGCCAGAATATTATGATACCAGACAGAAATTTGGATTTATACAAAGAAGCGAACATCTCTAAAAATAGCTTGAAAGAAGATAAATATTTAAAAACTTTTTTCTTGTTCTACATTGTTCTAAGAGGTAATTGACTGTAGAAAGCAAAAACCATAGCAATATATTGTGATTAAGGACTTGTATGTAGAAGATTTAAAGAACTCTAAAACACTCAAGAAAAAAAAATACAGTTGAGCAAAAGATTTGAAAAGACACTTTACCAAAGAAAATATACATATGGCAAATATGCCCATGAAAAGATACTCAATATCTTTAGTCATTAGAGAAATCCAAATTTAAGCCACAGTGAGATACCATTACACACATATTAGAATGGCTTAAAACACATAAACAAACTACAAAGCCTGTCAACCCAGAACACCTGTGAGCATGGGAACAAATGACGCTTCCACTCATTGTTGATGGGAATACCACATGGTACAGCCACTTTGGCAAGCAGGCTGGCATTTCTTTCTTTTTTTCTTTTTCTTTTTTTTTTTTTTTTTTTTTTTTTGACATAGTCTTGCTCTGTCACCCAGGCTGGAATGCACTGGCGTCATCTCGGCTCACTGTGAACTCCACTTCCCAACTCCCAGGTTCAAGCGATTCTCCTGCTTCAGCCTCCCCAGTAGCTGGGGTTACAGGAACGTGCCACCGTGCCTGGCTAAGTTTTTTATATTTTTAGTAGAGACAGGGTTTCACCATATTAAACAGGCTGGTCTTGAACTCCTGACCTCAATGACCCGCCCACCTCACCCTCCTAAAGTGCTGGGATTACAGGTATGAGCCACCACTCCCAGCCTTGGCAATTTTTCCTTCCTTCCTTCCTTCCTTCCTTCCTTCCTTCCTTTCTTTCTCTCTCTCCCTTCCCTCCTTCCTTCCTTCCTTCCTTCCTTCCTTCCTTCCTTCCTTCCTTCCTTCCTTCCTTTCCCTCCCTCCCTCCCTGCTTCCCTCCCTTCCTTCCTTTCTCTCTCTCTCTCTTTCTTTTTTTTTTTTTTTGAGATGGAATTTCACTGTCGTTGTCCAGGCTGGAGTGCAGTGGCATGATCTCGGCTCACTGCAACCTCCGCCTCCCAGGTTCAAGTGATTCTCCTACTTCAGCCTCCCAAGCAGCTGGGATTACAGGCGTGCGCCACCATGCCTAGCTAATTTTGTATTTTCAGTAGAGACAGGGTTTCACCATGTTGTTCAGGCTAGTCTTGAACTCCTGACCTCAAGTGATCTGCCCACCTTCACCTCCTGAAGTGCTGGGATTACAGATGTGAGCCCCCATGCCCGGCCTTGGCAATTTCTTATAACATTAAATCCATCTTTACCACATGACCTGCAAATCCCACTCCTAGGTATTTACCTGAGAGAAATGAAAACTTATGTTCACATAAAACTTGAACATGAATATTTATGACTGCTTTATTCATAATCACCAAAAGATACCAGAAACCATCCAAGTGTCCTTCAACTGGGGAAGGGATTAACATAGTGTGGTATATGTATACCGTGGAATACGACCAGACAATAAAAAGAAATGGACCGTTCACAGGCATGGTAACAGTTAATTTAACCAAAAGAAGTCAACGTGGAAAGGCCACACATTATATGATTCCACTTATATGATATTCTGGGAAAGGACAGAAAACAGCCGGGCACAGTGACTCATGCCTGTAATCCCAGCACTTTGGGAGGCCGAAGAGGGTGGATCGCCTGAAGTCAGGAGTTGGAGACCAGCCTGGCCAACATGGTGAAACTCCATCTCTACTAAAAATACAAAAATTAGCTGGGTGTGGTGGCGGGCGCCTATAATCCCAGCTACTTGGGAGGCTGAGGCAGAAAGAAGAATCGCTTGAACCCGGGAGGCAGAGATTGCAGTGAGCCGAGATCGCACCACTGTACTCCAACCTGGGTGACAGAGCAAGACTCCATCTCAAAAAAAAAAAAAAAAAAAAAAAAGAGGGGGGACAGAAAATAGATCAGGGATGTCAGAGGCAGGAGATGGGTAGGGAGGTTGACTATTTCAGGGGCTTGTGGGAATATTTTGAGTTGCTCAAATGGTTACACGACTCTACATCCTTGTTAGAACTCGTAGAGCAATGCATTAAAATGGGTGAATCTGACTTTAGGTAGATTATATCTCCATTAGGAAAACAGACAAAACAAGCTCTATTGTTTTGTTTTGTTTTGGGTTTCACACAATTGAGAAGCTGTGAGCCGTTGGTATAGTGACCCCAAGTCCTTCGAGCACAGACACTGTGGCATTCTGGACAGGAAATGACTCGAAACGGGACAGTTCAGCCTGGAGGTGTGGAGCAGCTGCCACCGATTAAACCACTGTCTTCAAGACAGTGTTTGGGAAAATCAGCTTTTATTTATTGAACACATTTTTGTTCCTATCCCAGCAGGAGCAATGAGTTCACTGTGGGTTGTCATCTTGCAAAAATTTGTAAAGTGCTTATCCTACCAAATCATGCCTCTTGGGTCACCAGTGGGAAGGGCACTGTCTTTTTGCCGGGCTGTCTGAATGGAGTAGCCCTCTTGGTGGCCTTACAAACAGGGCAAGCCACATCCGCATCTGTCCCCAGGTACATAGCATTGTGACACGTTGATGTACAAGGAACTTCGTTAAAATGGGCTTCAAGGCTTTGAAAGGGCAGAGTGGGATGGAGGTGCTGTTGGAAGTGGAGTGGGGTACAGGCCAGGACTTCCATCGGACAGGCCTGGGTGGCCGCACATGTCCCTTCCCTCCTGACCTTGTCATGCAGAGAGTACCCATTTGCAGAAAGTTTAAGCCGTATGACTCAAAGAGATTCAGCCTCTTTTCAGCCACAGCCCTGGGCAGACGAATACGCTCCCTTGCCCAACTCACAGCCCCAGAGTTCTTCCTTCATTGCGGGTGCAGATCCACCTCGGGGAATGGTCTGTCTTGTTCATCACGGTCCCTCCAGGGCCCAAACAGAAGAGTTAGCCAGAAAATGTTTTTTTTCAGGCCATGAATGAGTGGATTTGTTTCTCTGGATGCAGCTTGAACATCCAGAAGCCAAGCAGAGCCAGGCAGAGGCCTTGGTTCTTGGAGTATCAACCCCTCCTTGCGAGCCCACCATAAGGCCAATGAAGCTCATATGTTTAAACCTGCAGATGTCAAGCCCCTGCTTAGGTTACATCCGCTAACCTTCCATTGGCTAAAGCAAGCCCATACCAAGGGAAACCATGACGAGGGCAGGGAAGGAAGGAAGAATTGTATGCAAATAATGCAACCTGCCCACCGCAGCTAGCCTGGAAGTGTCTCTGCGCCATGCAAATGTGCCTGCTGTTGGGGTTGGACCAGGGTGCCAACTCTCCCCAGACAGAGCTGGGAGAGGTGGGGGAGGGGTCCTGTCCAATGACTTTCTTTCCTCTCAACACAATCTTTCTTTATATAAGTTATACATTAAATCCAATTATAGTCCTGCTGACTGAGGACTCTCTCTTTAAAGTGACTTTGCCTACTCCGCTCTGATGCAGGGCATCTCAAGTCCATAATTCAACTCTGCAAGGGGAGTCCCTTTCCTTACTGCCCTGTTCTTTCAGGATGCCTTGCTGAGACCCCCAGGTAGCTGCTTCATGGGAGTGTTACTCCTCCAGGGCAGGAACCATATATTATTCATCTTGAAATTTATTTTTAGTTTATTTGTATTATTTTAGAGACAGGGTCTAGCTCTATTGCCCAGGCTGGAGTGCAGTGGTGCAATCATAGCTCACTGCAGCCTCCACCTCCTGGGCTCAAGCGATCCTCCTTCCTCAGCCTCCTGAGCCACGGGGACTACAGGCACACACCATCACGCCTGGCTAATTTTTTAAAAAAATTTATGTAGAGACAGGGTCTTGCTCTGTTGTCCAGCCTGGTCTCAAACTCCTGGCCTCAAGTAACTCTCCCCCTTTGGCCTCCCAAAGCACTAGGATTACACATGTGAGACAGGCCATGCGGCCCCTATGATGGAATTTTTCTGACTCTCTCAAACACCTATGTGGGGTTGAATATTGGCTTTGCACAAAGGCTGGTGATTTCAGCACCAATTTTCAACGTCTCTCTCCCCATGAAGCTTCAGCTCCAAGAGAGGGGTGGTTGTCTTGATCACCAGGGCACCTACTGTGCCTAGGAGGGTGCTTGTCACAGAGAGAAGCTGATAAACCACTGACGAATGAATGAATGAATGAATGAATGAATGAATCCTTGCTCTGCTCTTCCCACTGTCAGCTGCCTGTGACTTTTCTTTGCCCCTCAGCCTGACCGACAGCCTGAGAATTTTCAAGGCCATCTCTGCATTGTCCCTGCCATGACGCTGCCAAACAGGCGCTTATCGTTGGAGGACAGAACAGAACGTTCCCTTCCCCAAACCTTTCTTCCGTTCGGTTTTCCCGTTCGCCTCCCTCGGGCCCAACAATGGCTAATTCAAGGACATGAGTCACGCAGACGCTGGGTGTGAATTGATGGGGGCTGCGGAACAGATGTCACAAAAATCACATCCGCTGACAAGGTGCTGCTCCCTTTGTTTGCTTAGAGACCAGCCAAGAATTGGTCTTCTGGCCATAAAGGGGCCAGAAGTCCAGCCACCTGCTCATGCCCCGACCAGATAATTCCTAGAGGAGCCCCTCTGTCCCACCCGATGTGCTTCTGCGACTTCTGCTCCCGGCTCCGTATGGGGCTCGAATTTAGCATGTCACACAAGGAGGCCATTGTGTTCTGTTCGTCTTTGCAGAGAGAGCCGTTTCTGGGAGCAGGCACTGTGCCTGTTGCCTGAGAACCATTCAGAAGTGAGCACTTGAATCCCTGACTGTTCTGTTCAGCTATTACTCAGTTTCTGCCAGACATTCAATACACACACACACACAAAAAGCTACCCTCCTCGTCTCCAAAACACTAACAGGAAGACAGAGATCCATCCTGCTGCCACGGATTTTCTTTCTCCTTGTTTCTTTTTTTTTTTCTCTTTCTTTCTTTTCTTTTTTCTTTTTTTTCTTTTTTTTGGAGACCGGGTTTCGCTCTTTCGCCCAGGCTGGAATGCAATGGCGTGATCTCGGTTCACTGTGACCTCCACCTTCCGGTTTCAAGCAATTCTCCTGCCTCAGCCTCCCAAGTAGCTGGGATTACAGGTGCCCACCACCACTCCCGGCTAATTTTTGTATTTTTAGTAGAGACAGCATTTCACCATGTTGGCCAGGCTGGTCTCGACCTCCTGACCTCATGATCTGCCCACCTCAGCCTCCCAAAGTGCAGGGATTACAGGCGTGAGTCACCGCACCCAGCCCCTATTTCTCCTTGTTTCTGAGGTTAATGGGTGGCCCCTGGGGTCTGCAGGGGCATTTTTAATAGGCTCGTCCTGGCTGTGAGCTGAGGGGCACACACACTCACCGTCAATGCTGCCGTCATCTGGGAGGAGTAAGCCATGATCAGAGACCAGAGACTCAGCTTCATGAGGCAGGGAGGGATTCCCGGGCCTTAAGTGAGGCTGTGTTCTGGCTGCCTGCCAGGGACACGGCTCTGGATCCAGCTCTGGCCACTAATTAAGCCCCATTAGCTTTGCTGCCTGGGACTTGTGCCCCTAACTTTATGCCACGAGTACTTCCCCTCCACCTTTCCTGAAGTTTTTCCTTATTTCCAAATTATTCCACATCCTGCCCACCACTGCGGTAATTGGGGGCAAATATTTCAAAACCTTACACTGCATCAAGATGGGACATTTCTTAAAAATTGCTTCCCCAGGACAAGAAGTAGTGGCCCACACCTGTAATCCCAGCACTTTGGGAGGCCAAGGCAGGAGGATTGCTTGAAGCCAGGGGTTCAAGACCAGCCTGGGCAACATAGAGAGACCCCATCTCTAAAGAAACAAAAATTAGCCAAGTGTGGTGACACATTACCTGTAATCCTAGCTACTCAGGAGGCTGAAGTGGGAGGATCGCTTGAGCCCAGGAGTTTGAGGCTGCAGTGATTCCTGATCATGCTACTGCACTCCAGCCTGGGCAACAGAGCAAGACCCTGTCTCAAAAACAAAACAAACAAACAAAAAGCTTCCTCAGACAACATAGAATCAGAAAAATAAGGTCCTCTCACTACTCTTTTCAGATGTATCTTCCAGACTGCGGCTCCCATTGTCAGGGGAGTCATTTTGTTTCTGTAATGCATGTGTCATCTTTTACTTCTAGATAGCGTTTTGGGGTAGGGAAAGGAGTTGGGCAGAAATAAAGATGTCTAGGCGCCTTTTGTTCTGTGCAGACACATGCCTGAGAACTTTTCAGTGCCAAATAAAAGGAGAGTCTTTCTGGTCACAAGAGGAGTCTAATAATTTAGTTAAGCCTACAAAGCAAGTTCCTTATCCGACTGTCTTTTATGATAATTGCTGCAGTGTCTGGCCCTGATGGGAGAGAAACTACAGCCCAGACCCAATGTCCTAATGACCTGGGGATGGCGGGCTTCACAGAGAAAAAGACAAATGTCAATTAGCACAGAATTTTGAAGACGAGCCAGAAATGTCTCCAAGCACAGGCCGGTGGCTGTGGATCAAAGGTTCCCTCCGATGCACACACATTTTCTTTTTGT
Source organism: Homo sapiens (assembly GCF_000001405.40). Taxonomy (NCBI): domain Eukaryota; kingdom Metazoa; phylum Chordata; class Mammalia; order Primates; family Hominidae; genus Homo; species Homo sapiens. Next base: position 98,567,979 of record NC_000007.14, on the reverse strand, counting down.
TTTGCCATCTCTGAAATTAACTAACCTAAATATATATATACATTTAAATAGGAGCTAAGGGCCGGGTGCGGTGGCTCACACCTGTAATCCCAGCACTTTGGAGGCCAAGGTGGGTGGATCACCTGAGGTCGGGAGTTCAAGACCAGCCTGGCCAACATAGGGAAACCTGTCTCTACCAAAAAATACAAAAATTAGCGGGGGCGTGGTGGCACGCACTTGTGATCCCAGCTACTCGGGAGGCTGAGGCAGGAGAATCACTTGAACCCACAAAACAGAGGTTGCAGTGAGCCGAGATTGTGCCACTGCACTCCAGCCTGGGTGACAGAGCGAGACTCCGTCTCAAAAATAAATAAATAAATAAATAAATAAATAAATAAATAAAATAGGAGCTAAGACACCACCCTCCCCCGCCCCTCTATCAATTAATAGGTTCTTCTGGAACACAGGACCCAAGAACTGAGACATTCTCAAAGCCAGTGTGACATTCTCCAAACATCACAAAGTTAGTGAAAGATAATTAGATGGGGTTGGCCACAGCCTCGGTTTCTCGTCCCGAGACTAAATTTTTCCATCTCCCTGCCAGGGTCACGGCTG